>NC_000006.12:117192002-117495032 GCF_000001405.40 Homo sapiens
AAAATAAATATAACTGACATGCTCAGAGAGGGTCTCAAAAATAGGGCATCCTTGGGCCAGGTACAGTGGCTCACACCTGTAATCCCAGCACTTTGGGAGGCTGAGGTGAGTGGATCACTTGAGGCCAGGAGTTCAAGACCGGCCTGATCAACATAGTAAAACCCCATCTCTACTATATATATATATATATATATATAAATTAATAGCAATTCCCTAATGTTATCTAATACCCAGTCTATATTTAAAATTTCCCCAATTATCTTAAAGATTTTCTGTGCAGTTGGTGTGCCTTGTACAGTTAACCCAAAGAAGTTCTTCATGATATATATAGATATAGATATAGATATAGATATAGATATAGATCTGTAAAAGCTGGGCATAGTGGCACTTACCTGTAATACCAGCTATTTGGGAGGCTGAGGCAGGAGAATCGATTGAACCCAGGAGGCAGAGGTTGCAGTGAGCCTAGATCATGCCACTGGGCAACAGAACAAGACTTCATCTCAAAAACAAACCAACAAACCAACAAAAAGAATAGGGCATCCTTGAGAAAGAAATTACTAATGAGTTTGGAAATCTAAAATCTGATTGTTGCCCTTTAAAAATAGTCAATGCAGAGTTGACCAGCAAAACAACCATAAATGAAAAGCAAATCAGTAAGTTGGCGCATGAATCGGGGTCATTATCCCAGAATAGCATGCAAAAACAAAGAGAAATTAAAATGGAAGAAAAGAGATACAAAGACAGATCCAGAAGTTCCATTATCTGTAGTTTTTTAATTAAAAATGTTTTTCTTCTTTTATTTTTTGAGACAGGGTCTCCCTCTGTGGTCCATGCTGGAGTGCAGTGATGCGATCGGTTATATGCCGCCATTTTTTATGCAATTACAAGGATAGATTAGATGATGGTGGTGATAATGAATTTAGATGACTGCTGGATAGATAGAATGATAGATAATAGGGATGGCTTTTCTTGTGTTTTCTTTTGTTTTTTTCTTCTAAAAAGCTTGATCTAGTGCATTTTTAGAAATGCATTATGGAGAAGTTCACCCATTCTCTACTAAAGTAAAGAGAATAATATAAGAAATCTATATACACCTATTACCCATTTCCAACAATTATCACCGTTTTGTCACTCTTGCTTTATCTATCCTGCACCAGGAAGCTACTCTCTCAATTATTCTGGAGAATTTTTAAGCAAATCCTTAACCATTCACCATTTCACTTATACCCACCTCATTTTGCTTTTTCTCTAACTGATATGAACTTCTCTTTATAATACCTATAACCTGTATCATACCTAACAAAATTAATAGCAATTCCCTAATGTTATCTAATTCCCAGTCCATATTTAAAATTTCCCCAATTATCTTAAAGATTTTCTGTGTAGTTGGTGTGCCTTTATACAGTTAACCCAAAGACATTCTTCATAATATATTTTGTTGTTTTTCCATATCCTCTGCAACACTGAATATGTATTTAATACTTACCATACAACAGGCAAAAATTGCATTCTGTTTTTTATTGAAATTTCCACGAGAGGAAACTTCAATTTCTAGTGAGGTTAGACATATTTTAATATACTTATTTGCCTTTTAGTATGTTTTTGTGCTTGTATGAATTATATGGCCATATTCTTTGTCCATTTTAGTGTTTTTTTCTTATGTATTTGTGGGAACTTATTATTAGGTTGGTGCAAAAGTAATTGCAGTTTTTCCATTTATTTTAATAGAAAACTGCAATTACTTTTGCACCAAACTAATAAATTCAGGTAACTTTTCTGTATTTTTGTTGCATTGTAAGTGTTTTCTTTGAATCTGTTTTGTCGTTTTTAGAAACTTTTTAACTTTCATATGTTTGCCAATCTCTACAATGACCTCTGAAGTTTATATTCAATATTACATTCAATAGTTATCTGAAACTTTTTCCTGAGTATTATTTTCTCACCAGTTAGAATTAAAAATATTGATTAATAAACTCTCCCTAGTTTGGCGTTTAGCCTAATTTATAGCCTAAGTCTTACAATGACATTTTGCAAATGATCTCAGTTAGGCATACAAAGTTTTACCTTCTACAAAAAACATGAAAAAATCATACAAATGAAAAAAGTAAAATAGAATTCCTAGCCCAACTTTCTATCTTCAAAATCACTATAAGATTTTCTTTCCCAGAAAACTAGTTCACTTATTATGAGCAGCAAAGGAAATGATAAAATTCCAGAACAGCCAAGAACAATTTTAAGCAGGTTATTGAATACTCCCCAAAATGGAACGTTGGTTTTCCAGGAATATTCACAATGACCTCATGCTCTTTTATCAGAATAACATTTCGAGGAGATTATTTTAAATGTATCCTTGAAATCTTACCTCATGAAACCTAGAGCTCTAAAACTAAGCTTGAGTAGTCTCTAGCTATCAGTGTGAGAAGGAGGAAAATAGCATGACAATTTTGATGCATATTTGTAGAATACTCTTTTTATGCATATTATTTCCAGTGTGGGTAGAACAGCTGCAGGAGAGAGAGAGAATGCACACTGGGAAATAGAGAGGAGAGGACCTTGTAGACCTTGTTATAAAAAAACAAAACTCATTTCAAAGTAACATAAAGGAGAATTTATGTATTTTTTTCTCTGGCTTTAAGAAATAACCTATTAGCATTTCTTCTTCTGTATTTTTTTTTAAATGTTTTATAGAGAATGGGGGTCTTAATATGTTGCCCAGGCTGGTCTCGAACTCCTGGCCTCAAGTGATCCTCCTTCCTCAGCCTTCCAAAGCACTGGAATTACAAGCACGAACCACTATTCCTGGCCTTCTTCCTCTCTATTTATTCAATCATTCCATTGTTTACCAGCCCCAATACATGTAGGTCAAGAGTTATACCCATACAGCATGGGATTTCAAGACAAAACGTAACACTAATGAAAAGAGCAGTGTCCCCAGATTAGTCAGTGTCTCTCTACTTTTTAGCCAGCTTTGGCTTGTGTAGAAATCTCTCCACCTCTCTTTTTCTGTACATTCAGTGTCATAAGCCTTGAATCCTTGAAGCTACTCTCTCAATGCATGTCATATATCCTGTGTCCAAGTATGGCCAATATGAGATAGCTGTCACTGAGAGCCCTTGTGGAAAATTAATGGCTGACTACAGAGGGCAAAATGATAGGACAGATGGCTCTGTCACTACGGCCAGCCTGGAGGCTGAAAGAAATTCAGAGTCTGGGCAAATAACGCTGTGTTTCATACACTTGCTCCTTTGTTAATCCCGTCTCCCTGTCAGCAGCTGTCCTTCATTGTTTGGTTGAGTGGAAAGGTTGTTTCATTTTCTACAGGCGTTTTCTACTTTTTTCCAATTTGTTAATGATTCAAAGGACACATTTCAGAAATTCCTTGAGACCCCCTTCATGCCAGAAAGGAGTCTTCCCTGTCATTTATTTAAAGAAAAGCAGTGAAATTTGTTTTGTACAATGCCAAGAAAATACTGGTCTGTATCCTGTTATGGATTGCTGAATTTAAATGCTTTTAAGAAATTCTGAAAAATAAAAAAAATTCAGCTAAGGATACTTAATATCCTAAGGTTACATCCAGCTAATACCAACACATAATTAGGTTAATACAGAGAATGGGGGGGAATGGTCAATATTGTAAAAGTTAGTCACATTAGCATGACTGGATGATTCATAAATTTTGCACTTTTCAACAATGTCTCGAAGTCATTAATTATTCTTGTTTTCCGGCTGAACTTCCAGGCCAGAAAAAGACAACATAACATGAAGTTTTAAGAAGTTCACAAAACCTTTTCCCTTTTCTTCCACCATCTTGGCCAGTCTTAAATCTCATTTTCCCTTTGTCAGGACACCTCTGGTGCTAACAGCTAGCTTCAAAGGAAGCAGAGTGGTTTAGCTTCTCCATGTCAAGGTCATTCCCAAATTGAGCAACTCAAGGCGATGACTCAGAAGCTCACCTGCTTTCTAGTTCCTTTAAAAAGGCCAAATATGCATTCTGACCAAGGAAATTCTTTGACACGTAAATCCTTAAAAGTTCTTATCAGTGTGTAGCACTCCTCCCCTTCTTCTCCTTCCTATTACTGATGTCTGATTTTTAACCAAAGAATTACAGTCACTTCAGTGACCCTGCACAAAAGCTGACCATCAATTCACTGCAAACGTTATTGATGCCTTGGTTTTTCTCTTTAGTCTGTTCTGATGTTTTTCTAAAGAAACAGTCCTGAAGCTCTGAAAAGTCAATTAGTACTTTTACAGACTTTTTGAAGGTCTTCTTAAGGAACATCTTTTCATTCACATGCCCTTCCTACAGACCAATCCATGACTTAAAGTTGTCACATACTCCATAAAATACTAAGGAACTTTTCATTCCTATTTATAGGAATTTAGGAAAAGTGCCCTCAAAGCAACACATCCCGTTAGCAAGTCTTTCATCTGGCTTGTTAGAAGTTCGTGCTGGGAAGTTTCTGGGCACAGCTCCTACAGTCAAATCTGTCATGTCCCTCTGATTACATGATTCTGTTTTATTACCAAATCTGATTCGTAAGCTCTTCTGCAAAGGCCATTTCTAAGAGGATTCAGGAGTACCCAATTACACGGCATCTCTATATCTTTTACTAAACTTTATTAGATATTATATCCATGCCATAAAAAGTCTGGAAATACTTTAATAGCAAGCCAAGTCATTTGAGATTTATACATGATTAGAAAGAAAATTACTCTCTACAAGTTTCCATTCCAGCCTTGCAAGTGGGTCTTCCACAACCGATTAGATCGCGCCAACTCCCACTCCACACTCTTGAGCATTACTATCACATTGACTGAGCACTTCTTGTACTAATAGACCAAGCCTTGGCCCCAAATCCACTCCTCTCTACACCCTCTCAGGTTCCTGAAATTCCTGCAATCCCAGCTTTCTCCCTCTCAAGTATGCACGGCCATCCTCACATGACAATGCAATGTATATGTTCCATATTTTCTGCATCCCTCCACAAACATTGATTGTTTCACAAAGTAAACCATTATAATTCTAAATTGGCTGGAAGCTGATGGGTTTCTGCATCTTCTTATGCACAGGAATAACTAAATCACAAGCAAAAAAAATTAAACCACATTTCAATTTCTATAGGTAGCTAAGTACACATTAAGCATCTACTTTGGGCCCAACACTATGAGAGAAATCAGAAAAGTATGAGGAAATGGTTCTCAAAATGTGCTTCCGGTGACGCTAAGGCTCTCTGTAACATTTTAGGGGACTCCATGAAGCCAAAACTCTATTTTCATACTGTAACTAACATGCTATTTGTCTTTTTCACTCTTACTCTTGTATGAATAAACAGCGGGGTTTTCTAGAGAGTGTACAACATGTGATATTAGAACAGACTGAATGCAGAAGCAGGCATGAGAATCCAGCTGTCCTTTGTTAAGTCAGGTACTAAAGAGACTTGGAAAAATGAAGAACAATCCCACTCTGTTTTCTAAAATAACATTGTCTTGGAAAATCTAGTTATATTTTATAAAATATGTGACTTATATTAGTGTATAATGGATGAGTTACTTTAAATAAATTAATAAATGAATATTTTATTTTTGTCAATATTAATATCTAAAATGATAAATATCAGTAGATATAACTACATAAACAAAAACTCTTTGGGGTTCTCAATAGCAATTAAGAATGTAAAGGCATCCTGATTCCAACACTTTTTGCTAGAGGTTGGCAAAACCAAGTTCTGCCTCCATGCTGGGATGGCAATATTGGATCCTGGTATTTCTCAGAGCACAGAATCTACAGTATAAACACATCTTTCTCTTCCTAACATTGCTTCCTCCCAGAGTATAACTTTGGGATAATTATGCTAGCTCTCTTCCTCTCACCAGCTATGAGGATTAGAAGTGACAAGGAGTCAACAGGACAAAAGCTCCGTCCTGACACAGGGGTGTAGGTGGCTGGTGGGTTGGTGGTGCAATGTGCAGATTGAAGGTGCCCTGGAAGAAGGGCAGAGATGGTAGGGGGCTATAGTTAGGTGCTCATGAAAATTCCAAACAGAATTTTGGATGTAGAGAGTAGACTTTTCGATGTAGAAGTAGAAAGTTGAACACATGAGTGAATTATGTAAGGAAGTCATGGGCATAGAAAAGTTAATTTAAACAATGGAAACAGATGGATTTTTTCAAGGAGAGTATACAGAATTATAAGACAAAATGCCCAGGTCACAACTCCAAATGATCCTAATATTTAAGGCACAGGTAATAGAAGAGAACCCTGCAAAGGACACTGAAAGAAAGGGGTCAAAGTGGAAGGAAAACTGAGTGTGGTGTTACAGCAGCCAATGAAAAAGAACATTTCAGAAAGAAGGGAGTGTCATCACTTGAATGCTGCTGAGAGATCACATGAAATCAGCATTGAAGTGTGCCTGTTAGTTTTAACAACAAGGTCACTGCAATCTTGGCAAAAGCCATTTCATAGAATAAACATCTTTTGTTTCAGTCTGGTTATAAAATCAAACCATGAAATTTTGATTATGAAAGATGCTTAGCAAAACCTTTTTCAATTTCCTATTTTCTTACTCATACAAAAACATAGTAATTTTTAAAACATGATGTCTTTTGAGCCCAACATATTTAAATGTCTTTTGTCCTTGTTGGTCACTACTGAGAATGAATTAAATCTTCTCAATAGTGAAGTGTTGAAATAATTTATTACAGGTAGGAAGTATCTCCAGCCTGAAAGTTCCTGTGTAACGGAGGTGTTGGTCATCTACAGGAAGGTGCCCATTCTAGAAACCTCGTCATAAACTGTATTTGAGTTCTGAAGGCATCAAGAGAGATGGGATGGGTCGTGGCTATAACTGAAAGGGAAGAATAAACCTACCATAACCAGGAAGAATGGATCCTTTAATTCTGAAGTGATTACATTTGGAGGGGAGGGGTTATTTAGTTGATTCTATTTAGTTTTTTGCTTATTTATGTTTTGGCTGTGATTTTAAGTATTGTGTGATAGAAAGAGTAGCAGCCTGAGTCTGGTTGCCCAGGCTCGAGTTCCTTCCAGAGGTACAGCAGGCTCTGTGTCTTCAGGCTTCCTCTGGACTTAGCAAGGCTTAATCTCTCAAGTAAATATAAAGGTGCACACCTGCTATAGACACATCCAGTGTGAAGACAGCTAATTCCCTACATAAGCTTCCATCAAAAGAATGTACCCACCATTATCTGAAACCTTTCTTCTAGTCTCCCTGTTTTCTTTGCATCATTATCTCCATGGACCTCTACATATTCTTGGAACTCCTTCCTCCATAATCAATGAAAACAGAAGTGATTATTTTCCTCTAAATTCCTCTATGGAAGACATGTGGCAGTTAAACAGTTAATCATTACTACTTTTTAAGTAGCTCTTCTACTATGAGCTCAAATTGCCATTGAATTCTTTTGTTGTGGTTGTTTAATTTTTCCTGCATTTATTTTTTGCCTCTAAAAACAGATCCTATGCTCCTTGATGGGAGAAAAAATTTCTGATTCATCACTGATTTCTCCCACGATACCATTTATGGTAATACCCATAAAGTGGGCAGTCAAAAGATATTTAGTGAGAAGTTTGAGAAATAAGTGTAAAAATATTTTAAAAGGTAAAAATGTCACACAAATATAAAGAATTGTTGTTACTGTCCTTTGCTATAATTTCAATGATAATTCCGCTTCTATAAGATACCAGTCAAATGAAAGAGAATGCCTTGATTCTCAAACCCCAACACATTCCTCCTGTGATATAAAAGGCCTCCAAACTTTGAAATCATAAAATTACATTCATCTAAAATATATGGTTATATATGTTTGCTCTGCTTTTCATCATTCATGTCAATAGTTCATTATTTTGCTTTTACTCCTTAAACTCTCCTACAGCTAGACAGGACCATTAGCAACAGAATTGGGCTACTCTGGCAATATTAAATGGCTAAAGGCCAGAATGCAGTCAGTCTAGTTAGCTGGTCTATTTTAATTTTGTTTCTGCATAATGAAAACAGTCTGCTAAGATGCGTGTGACTTACGTTGACCCACGGATACATCCATTTTTTTTAAATAGATGTCTCTTCTTTATTGAAGACAAGTATGTCTTGTCACAATTTGGCTGCCTAATTTTAGCTCCAGTGGGGTTTGCTTAGACACCAAGCTCCAAATCCAGGCCAGAAATAGGCAGAAGAGTGATGGTCATGTGTTTAACAAGATCCCAGGCAACGGGCCAACACACATTGGAGCTAGGTTGGAATTTCTTGCCCTGTGAAAATGCAGTGCTAAATCTTCCTATCCCTCTTCTCTCTTTCTCTACAAGTGGATCTCCCCTGTACAGTGAGCTGTCACCTGAAACTAACAAGGAGGATGTGACTCCCAGCAATCTGAGCTACAGTGAATAGTGCGTGACCTACCAGTCTTGACATGCCAACTTGGACTATCATTTCTAGAATGGTTGAAAAATAAATTTTAATGTAGTTCACCTCGATATATGATTTCATTAAAAACTTTTAAAATGGGTACATCTTTACAGTCCTTTGACACTCTCAGCATGTAACACATAGTATTTCTCTCTCTCTCTCTCTCTCTCTCTGTCTCTCTGTAGAAAATTGCTCCTTGTTCTTGTTTCACACTTTCTCATTAGGGCTTTTTAAATAAATATCTATAAAGAGTGAACTCCTACACTCCCCACTCTCATCCTTTTGATTATTATTTGTAGATTTACTGAGAAAATTATTTTTAAGCTTGTAAGTACACCTTGTTGTTTTTAAGATATCTAAATTTGGCTATATGTTCATGTTTCCCCAACTTTCTAGGGCCTTCATATCCTCTTTCATAGAAACTTTGCCATATGTTAAGGTAGTCTATAGAGCCAAAAATAAAAATAGCACATTTATAAATGTGTTTGTCTTTTCTATGACTGACTCTCTAGGATACCTAAAAAGGAACATATAAGAATGAAACAGTCTCTATCAGAAAAGACAGAGAAGCCTGCGACCTCATACAGCATAAAATCTTTGAGTTATTTTCTGAAGATTTTTTGAACAGTTATTAGCTACCTACAGTTCCCAAAATCAAAGAATCAATATATATTACAACCAACCACCATATTTAAAGATTTAATTAAAGTTCTGAACTCTAATAAAAAAAATTTACCCCGGGGAAACTCTTAAGGTGTATTAACTGTGTCCCACTCAAGGGGAAATATGAGTTTCACATTGGATCTAGAAAACCAGACTTGGGTTCCTCTTGGTATAAAGGGGGCATTGGCTATAAGAAGTTTTTTCCAGCAGTGGTAGAAATGGATATGCTATGATCTTTCCTTCTTACCTGTACCTTATTGTGACTTAAACATGGAAGGTAGGGAAACCATCTCTGATTACAGACCTAAGTCACACCCCTCTACCACATACCCAGAAAAGAACATCTGTTACACAGACTGATTAATTCAGTGAACCACCCAATAGGACCAACAGCATCACCACTTAGCTAATGGGCTAATAGATGGAGATGAGCCAGCGGCTTATGTAATGATCCAAACTTTAATGATAAAGGAAAGTCCTAAGCATGATATTAAATATTTTGACTGTGAAATATCTCACTGTCATTATTATTGATCTAGAGATGGATCTTAAAAAGCTTATTGGGAGGTCATGGGAAGGAAGCTAAAAATGGTTTTAGACATAAAACCATTCCTTCTCTCTCTGCGAAGGCCTTCCTCAGGGAACAAGGATGCCCCTTGAGGAGGAAAACCCCTTCAGCTCCTGGGACTCACTGTGCTCTCTCCTGCTTCTGGGCCATTGCACCTGGCATCCCTTTTGATGCTGCGCTCTTCTCCTCAGTCCCCCTTTGCTGACTAACAGGTCTTGGGTTCTTCTGTCACTTCTTCAGGAGTAAGGCAATAAGAGGACAGGGACACTTGCTAAGTCAACCAGACACACTGGAGAAACCCTGGTCAATGCCTTCGCCAACTTATCTGCATCTCCTCATTAACAGTTTTGCTGACTGTTGTTCTCCTCAATACTCTATACTTAATCATATTCATTAAACTCCTAAAATAAGAAAAGCACAGTACAAAGTACTAAGAAATAGTAACTATTAAAGAGGGAGAGTGGTTGCCCTCAAAGAGATCGGAGTCTAGCAAAAGGGAGAAACATACAAACAGGTCATAATAGCACAAAACAGTAAGGCTATACAGAATGTGTGGTCAAAGTGCTATAGCATTTTTTGTTTTTTTGTTTTTTTGAAAGGGCGTTTCGCTCTCTGCCCAGGCTGGAGTACTGTGGCACAATCGCCGCTCACTGCCAGCTCCGCCTCCCGGATTCAAGCCATTCTCCTGCCTCAGCCTCGCGAGTAGCTGGGACTACAGGCGCCCGCCACCACGCCCGGCTAATTTTTTGTGTTTTTAGTAGAGACGGGATTTCACCGTGTTAGCCAGGATGGTCGCGATCTCCTGACCTCGTGATCCACCCCCCTTGGCCTCCCAAAGTGCTGGGATTACAGGCATGAGCCACCGCGCCCAGCCATGCTATAGCATTTTCATAGGTGGAGCTGAGTATGTAAGGTTGAGTAGGATTCTTACAGGTGAGGAGGCAGGAAGAACATAGTAAGCAGGAGACAAAACATAACCAAAGGAAAGACATCACTGGCGGTAGAAAGAAGTGTGTGTGAGTGCTACTTATGGGAGATGAGCTATGCTAGAGAGACTGGGCAGGATCAGTTATGTAATTTGTAGGACCTGGTACAAACTGAAAATGTCAAGCCTGTGGTTCAAAAAGCAGGGGGAGAAGTTCAGTTAAAGATATACCGACATATAAAACTTTTTCCTTTTTTAACAAAAAGGAATGGAGTGATTGTGATACAGGACTACAATGTAAACTTGTAAATTGCAATATATATATATATATATAGGGATCATCGTTTTATGTAACATAGTGAATAATATCTTATTAACATGCTATCTTGGTTGATCATATGATTTTCTGGTCATTTTTCTACAAATCTGTAAGTTCAAAATATTGACACATTTAGCAACTTCATTTTCAAACAATATAATTAAAAGCAAGTCACTATTGGCAAATGCAAAATTGCAAACAAATTTTGATCTGTTTTAAACTTAATTTTAAACTTCAGAATGATCTTTCCACTGTTTCAAACTTAATAGAATTGTTAAGGTTATTTTGCAGGCTATGGCAACATTGGGATACATTTCTGATAAATTATTTCATAATATAAACGTTGGTATATCTAGAGCTGATGATCCTTGCAGAACCATATTTTAAAGATTTGACTCTTCAAGCAAATCAATTTCATGTATGTCTTAATTTAACTTTTTAAATGTAATTTCAAATGTAAATGTATGCAATGACATTTTTGTTTTCTCTATCATTTCTTGAAACTTGTGGCAATTATACAAGAAACTTAAAGCAATTTCACAATTTACATATAATTCAAAATACCTGTTTATGCATTTCACCTCTGTGGCTTCCATTATAAGGAAAAATTAATTTTAAAATTTTCTTTCCTATTAATGGTTCACCTGCAGTTTCATATGAAAATAGCATTAGTTTCTGTCAAATGTGATAATCATTTCATTTTTATTTATAAGCCTGTGGATATTTGCTTTGCAATGTTGCAGCAGTTTTCAAAACCAGAAATTCAAAATTCTTTGGAGAATTCTAATAATTCCCTGAGACATTTTTATCCTATGTCTTATGTATGCTTCCACTTTGTAATGATTTACTGACAATGTTCCTAATCATTGATCTCCAGAGTTCCTGACCTTTCACTCAAGCCAGAGAATTCCTATTTGCACAGATGCACAGGGATGGACTCCGGGGATCAGCAGGCAAGCCTGCTTACCAGCATAGTCCTGGCATTGGCCTCATGCAAAACCCTTCTCTCCCAGAGCCATAGCCCCTGCTGCCACTGCAGCCACTGCTATTGCTTCTGCTTCTACTCTGACATTGCCACTGCTAATCTGGGCCCAGGTTCTAGCCTTGGTCACCCCTTGGGGCCAATGACTCCCAGGGTACCCCAGGCACATGCATGCCAGTAGGCCAGACCAACTGCCCAACTGTTGCTGCCACAGACCTGAGCCCACACATGTACAATCTGCTACCTGGCATGCCTCTGCTGCTCCTGGCTACACTCTGTTGTTTTGTGTGACATCACTTACAAAACACAGGATCAAAGATAAAATCATTAAGAATTTCAAGAAGTCCATAGCAGAGGATTAAGTTGAGCATGGGGCCTCATTACAGGGCAGGGACTCTGTGACTGCACTGCCACTTTCCCATAAAGCCTGCCTTGGGGATGGGGAATACCACGTAGGAAAGAGAGTCTTTAAAGTGTTCTGGGGACAGGTTTTAAAGTTATTTGAATGACTTAAGAGCTCGTGATGTCCTTTAGATACAAAAGATTTTCACGTGGGGAAGGACATTAAATTTGTTTTTTATAAAGTTCACTCTGGCGTCTAATCATGTAGAAAGACTAGTAGGTAAGTCAACTAAAAAACTGTTGGATAGTCTAGGAAAGTGGTTTTGAAAGACTGAATTTAGGGACAGTAACAGATTCAAGAAATAACCATAGTATTTTGAGTAACAAATGTGTAGCAGACACTTTAAAAACATTTTGGCCAGGCACGGTGGCTCACGCCTGTAATCCCAGCACTTTGGGAAGCCGAGGTGGGCGGATCATGAGGTCAGGAGATCAAGACCAGCCTGGCCAACATGGTGAAACCCCGCCTCTACTAAAATTACAAAAATTAGCCAGGCGTGTGGCGCTTGCCTGTAATCCCAGCTACTCAGGAGGCTGAGGCGGGAGAATCGCTTGAATCCAGGGGGCGGAGGTTGCAGTGAGCCGAGATCGAGCCACTAGACTCCAGCCTGGGCGACAGAGCGAGACTCTGTCTCAAAAAAAAAAACCAAAACATTATTTCTAATCTTCAAACAATCCTCTAAGGGACTTATTATCCCTGATAATATCCCAGATGGTCAACTGAGGCAGCTGACAGCCTCAGGGTCTAGTTTCTCAAGGTTACAAAGTAGGTAGAGCAGAGCCACCTTTAAGCCCTGGGCTTCCCCACCTCCCCCACTGCATACCAGTTCTTTTCAGCTCAAGGAAGACACCCCACAATGTGGTGACTGATCTATGCAAAGTGTCAGGGAGAAGAAAGAGTCTAAGATTTATTTAACATTTTCCCTCCCTGTCCTACACCCTCCAAAGTCCTCCAGCTTGTCCATATTTATTTCACTTGTATTTGTAAAATGAGGAAGTTCTGGAAATATAATGTACAGCACAGTGACTACAGTTAATAATACATTGTACATATATTTAAAATTGGAGAAGAGGGTGAATTGTAAGTGTTCTCTCTACGTCAATAAAAGAAAATGGTAATTATGTGAGGTGATGAATATGTTAATTAGCTTGATTGTGTTCATCACCAATGTATACAAATATCAAAACACCAAGTTGTATACTTTAAATATATATAATTTTTGCCAATTATCCCTCAATAAGGCTGGAAAAAATGTCCTTTGAGATAAAAAGGGCCAAATTCTGAAAGGGGAAACATTGAAGTAGGCCCTTTCAAGGTCACACATGTACAGTCAACATTCTATATACACTCTTTTTCTTTCCTCACTACTTCTCTAGTCACGTCGCACAGTGCTCAAGTTTGATCTGGTTTGGTTTAGTTTTTATTTTTCTTCCCCTAAACTGATACCCCACCTATCCCCCTTCCCCACTCCAATGATTGTAAATTGCCCAAAAGTCCACGTGAAGTGTATGTGTTTTCCAAGCTGTGGAGACATTGCCCTCCCTCATTTAGTTCAGGAATAGTCCATGGGGAGTCTTGGTTGGGAGAAATGAAAGAGATAAGGATGTAAATGAGTGAGGTGATTAGCACCCAGGCAGCATCCGATAAATGTCAACAGCCCGTCAGCACAAGAGAAAGATTTCTAATGGGCTCTTCTATTACCTACCACAGAGAAGTTGAGAATTCTTCTGCAATGAACGTCCCCAGGCTGCACACACAGGGCAGCAGAGTCCCAACCTCCATTCTGAAAATCACCAGGCATTAATCATTCAACAAAAATGCGTTGAATGTCTACTATGATAAAGACATCATGCTTGGTATTTTAAAAAATCTGATCTTTCCTATTCATTTAACTGATAAGATCTTGGAAATTGATAGTATCAGCATATATTATATTTGGTCAAAATAGATAAAAACATAGAGAATTATTTCTTCAGGTCTTGGGCCAAATCTCCACAACCAATTACATTCAGTTATCAGTTTGAGCAAGTCAGAAATGATTTTAGAACACAAAGTTCTAAATGACCATTTCATTTCCCATTGTAGTATAATTCCTTGTCATATTAGCCATTTTTCAAGATTGAAATAAAGTTCAACTATACACTCAAGTCCATGTAACAGATATTTATTGGTGGGGCAAGTATTCACATTTACTAAACAATGACTTTGTTGTATAAACTGAGAGGCCCCTTTACATATATGTTCTCGTTTACATTCACATTGACTGTTATTACCACCATTTTACAGATGAAGAAATTAAAACTCAGGAAAGTAAAGCAACTAAGCATATATCACAGCACTAGTACAAGGTAAAACCAGAACTTGATTGTACCTCTATTTGATTTCAAGTGACCTCCATGTGTCAGAAGTCATAACTTGTACAGGCATACACAGTTGATTTCAGGCCACTTGATTAAGTAGTACAAAAAGCTGGCACAGGACAAACCTGCCCCAATCCATACATGTGCCTTGCTATATAAGACAGTTCCAATGCCCTCTATTTCTTTTGTTACTTCCTACTACTCTGCAGAGCTAATCATTCTCCTGCAAATAATATAGACTGAATATTATTTTGCATCTCAGAATTTTAGTAAAATTAAAGTCATAGAACATAGCTATCATTTTCATAACAGTTAATCAAGGAACAACAGCTTGTGTGGTAAACTGAAAAATCATTGCTTCCTCGATTCATAATCCATGCAAACAGAGAAATACCATGAATAGGCTTGAGTTAGACAGTTGGCTACAGTTGTGCCCTGTATATTCTGCCTAGCAACAACCGTCTGGTCTTCCAAAGATGACAGAGCCCTGGGAGCTGGGTACTGACCCTGTGGAATGTGTGGAGCGCTGAGTGTGCAGGTTGCTGGAAGGCAGGGATTAAGGGAGGGCTGGCAAGCATGGGCTGGACTCTGAGGGCAGCACTGAAAGATGTGTGTGTGTCCTATGCGCGGAAGAGAGTTGGACCACACAGAAGGAGCTGAAAAACAAAGCAGAGGCAAGGGATACCTTGTTGACATTTTTAAAGGAAGACCAGAGGTTTTTGGGAGATATCCGACCCCCTAACCCACACATCCAGGTGCATACCTTCTTTTCACCTATGCCCAATCCTCATTTCTCACCAGACTTTGTGAAACCTCTACAGGGATCATGTTCTTGCATATTGGATGCCACACGTCATTGTGTCGTAATTATGCCTGCTGATGTGTTACTGCCCTAAAGAGCATCAGTCATCCCTTCCCCTCTGCTCTTCTGTCTCCTTCCTTTCCTCTGTTTTCCTCATCTCTGCAATGTTTCCCTCAGTCACACAGATACAGTTGACAGCAACAGGACTCAAGCAGGGCTTAAGAGGTGACCACAGGTAGCAGTAGGTGAGGCTCCATTTCAGAGGGTACTGTCTTCAAATGAGAGTCTGAAAAAATGACCTCCTCCCACCGAGGAATGTGTTCAATGAAAAAGACTAAAAATTACCTGTAATCTCATCTCCTAAAGAGACAGCCACTATTCATATTTTGGTAATTTCCTTCCAGCAGTTTTTACCTAGAACTTTTCTTTTATAAAATTGCCACTATATGTATGTGTATTTCTCAATAATTATATACAACCTATAATATTAATGTATGATATATTCTTTACATTATAACCTACAGAGATCTTCTTAATATATCATTGAAATTACAAATATAGTACATATGAGAATATGTATGCAGATATAGATATTTGCTATACATATAAATATAGAAACAGGTTTAAGTATATATAATAGTTCAATAGCATATTTTTTCATTTAAGATATGATCAGCTTCTTCTCATGTCAATGAATATTCTTTTTCTTTTAATTTTTGTGGGTACATAGTAGGTGTATATATTTATGAGGTGCATGAGGTATTTTGATAAAGGCATACAATATATATAATCAAATCAGGGTAAATGGGGTATTCATCACCTCAACCGTTTATCCTTTCTTTGTGTTATAAGCAATCTAATTATAAACTTTAATTGTTTTTAAATGTACAATAAATTATTTTACATATAGGCACCCTGTTGTGCTATCAAATACTAGATCTTATTCATTCAACATAATCATATTTTTGTACCCATTAACCATCCCCACTTTCAACTGCAGCCTTCTAACCACCTTTTCCAGCCTCTGGTAACCATCCTTCTACTCACCCCCTAACTACCCTTTCCAGCTCCTGGTAACCATCCTTCTACTCTTTATAACCATGAGTTCAATTGTTTTAATATTTTTAGCTCCCACAAATAAGTGAGAAAATGTGGTTTGTCTTTCTGTATTTGGCTTATTTCACGTAACATGATGACCATTCATCCATGTTGTTGCAAATGACAGGATCTCATTTTTGTTTATGACTGAATAGTACTCCATTGTGTATATGTACCACTTTTTCTTTATTCATTCATCTGCAGATGCACACTTAGGTTGCCTCCAAATCTTGGCTATTGTGATTAGTGCTGCAATAAACATGAGAGTGCAGGTATCACTTCAATATACAAATTTCCTTTCCTTTGGGTAAATGCCTATTAGTGGGATTGCTGGATCATATAGTAGTTCTGTTTTTAGTGTTTTGAAGAACCTCCAAACTGTTCTTCATAGTGGCTGTATTAATTTATGTTCCCACCAACAGTGTACGAGGGTTTCCCTTTCTCCACATCCTCACCAGCATTTGTTATTGCCTATCTTTTGAAGATAAGCTATTTTAATTGGCATTAGATTATATCTCATTGTAGTTTGGATTTACATTACTCTGATAATCAGTAATGTCAAGCACCTTTTCATATACCTGTCGGCCATTATATGTCTTCTTTTGAGAAATGTCTATTCAGATTTTTGCCCATTTTTTAATCAAACTATTAGATTTTTTCCCTATAGAGTTGTTTGAGCTCCTTATATATTTTGGTTATTAATCCTTTATCAGATAGTGAGTTTGCAAATATTTTCTCTCATTGTGTAGATTGTCTTTTCACTTTTTTGACTGTTCCCTTGGCCATGCAGAAGCTTTTTAACTCAATGTGATCCCATTTGTCCATTTTTGCTTTGGTTATCTGTGCTTGTGAGGTATTACTTAAGAAACCTTTGTCCACTACAACATCCCAGAGGGTTTATTCAATGTTTTCTTGTAGTAGTTTCATAGTTTGAGGTCTTAGATTTAAGTCTTTAATATATTTTGACTTGATTTTTGTATACAGCAAGAAATAGGAGTCTAGTTTTATTCTTCTGCGTATGAATTTCCAGCATTCTCTATTCTGTTCCACTGGTCTATGTGTCTGTTTTTATGTCAGTATCATGCTGCTTTGGTTACTATAGCTCTATAGTATAATTTGAAGTCAATTAATATGATTCCTCCCGTTTTGTTGTTTTTGCTCAGGATAATTTTGGCTATTCTAGTTTTTTTATGGTTCCATATGAATTGTAGAATTGCTTTTTCTATTTCTGTGAAGAATGTCATTAGTATTTTCATAGAGGTTGCATTGAATCTGTAGACTGCTTTGGGTAGTATGGACAGTTTAACAATATTGATTCTTCCAATCCATGAACATGAAATATGTTTACATTTTTTGTATCCTTTGCATTTCTTGCATCAATGCTTTATAGTTTTCATTCTAGAGATCTTTCACTTCTTTGGTTAAGCTAATTCCTTGGTGTTTCATTTATCTGTAGCATTACAAGTGGGATTACTTTCTTGATTTTCTTTTCATATTCTTCCCTGGTGGCATATAGAAATGCTACTGATTTTTGTTGGTTGGTTTTGTATCCTGCAACTTGACTGAATTCATTTATCAGTTCTAATAGTTTTCTGGTAGAGTCTTCAGGTTTATCCAAATATAAGATCAAACAAGGATAATTTGACTGCTTCTTTCCAATTTGGATGCCCCTCTTTTTTTTTTCCTCGTCTGATTGCTCTAGCTAGGACTTCCAGCACTATTGAATAGCAGTGGTGAAAGTGGCCATCCTTGTCGTGCTCCATATCTTAGAGAAAAGGCTTTCAGTTTTTTTCAGTTTTTCCCTATTTGGTATGGTGCTAGCTGTGGGTCTGTCATAGATGGCTTTTATTACATTGAGGTATATTCCTTCTATATCCAATTATTGAAGGATTTTTATAATGAAGACATGTTTAATTTTATAAAATGCTTTGTCAGCATCAATTGAACTGATTATATGATTTTTTGTCCTTTATTCTGTTGATATGATGTATCACAATGATTAATTTGCATATGTTGAACTATCCTTGCAACCCTGAGATGCATCCCACTTGGTCACCAAGAGTGACCTTGACCTTTTTAATGTGTTAATTTCAGTTGGTTAGTATTTTATTAAGAATTTTTGCATCAATGTTCATCAAGAATATTGACCTGTAGCTTTCTTTTTTGATGTGTCTTTGTCTGGTTTTGGTATCATGGTAATACTGGCCTTGCCAAATGAGTTCAGAAGTATTCCCTCTCTTCCTTTGTTTATTCAGAATAGGTTGAATAGAATTAGTATTAGTTCTCCTTTAATATTTGGTAAACTTCGTCAGTGAAGGCATCAGGTCCTAGGGTTGTCTTTACTGGGAGACTTTTTTTTTTTTTTTTTTTTTTTTTGAGACAGAATCTTGGTCTGTCACCAGGCTGGAGTGCAGTGGCACAATCTCAGCCCATTGAAACCTCTGCCTCCCAGGTTAAAGTGATTCTCCTGCCTCAGCCTCCCAAGTAGCTGGGACTACAGGCATGCGCCACCATGCCCAGCTAATTTTTTGTATTTTTAGTGGAGACAGGGTTTCACCATATTAACCAGGATGGTCTTGATCTCCTGACCTCATGATCCACCTGCCTCGGCCTCCCAAAGTGCTGGGATTACAGGCATAAGCCACTGCACCCGGCCTGGGAGACTTTTAATTACAGGCTCAATCTCATGACTAATTGGTCTGTTCAGGTTTTGGATTTCTTCATGGTTCAATTTTTTGTAGGTTGGATGTGTCTAGGAGTTTATCCATCTTTCTAAGTTTTCCATTTTATTGGCATATACTTGCTCATAGCAATCCTAATGATCCTTTGAATTTCTACAGTATCAATTGTAATGCCTCATTTTTCATCTCTGATTTTAGTTATTGGGCCTTCCCTTTTTTACTTAGACTAAAGGTTTGTTGATGTTGTTTATCTTTTCAAAACACCAACTATTTATTTAATTGATCTTTTGCATTATTTTCTTCATTTCAATTTCATTTATTTCTGCTCTGATCTTTTTTATTTTCCTCTACTAATTTTGGGTTTGGTTTACTCTTGCTTTTCTATTTCTTTAAGATGCATTGTTAGAATGTTTATTTGAAGTTTTTCTACTTTTTGATGTAGGCACTTATTTCTATAAACTTCCCTGTACTACCACTTTCACTGTATGTTAGTCTTCTCTTGCGTTGCTATGAAGAAATGCCTGAGACTAGCAATTTATAAACAAAAGAGGTTTAATTGGCTCGCAGTTCTGCAGGCTGTACAGGAAGCATAATATCAGCATCTTCTAGGCTTCTAGGAAGGTCTAAGGGAACTTTAACTAATGGCAGAAGGCAAAGAAGGAACAGGCACATCACATGGCAAAAGCAAGAGCAAGAAGGAGGAGGTGCCACACGCTTTTAAACGAGATCTTGTGACAACTCACCCACTATCACAAAGACAGCACTAAGCTATCAGGGATTCACCTTCATCACCCAAACACCTTCCACCAGGTCCTATCTCCAACACTAGGGATTACAATTTAACATTAGATTTGAGTGGGAACAAATATCCAAATGATATCGTGCTATATCTCGTAGGTTTTGGTATGTTGAGTTTCCATTTTCATTGGCTTCAAGAATTTTTAAATTTTCCTTCTTAATTTCTTCACTGACCCACTGGTCATTCAGAAGCAAACTGTTTAATTTCTATGTGTCTGTATAATTTCCAAAATTCTTGTTATTAATTTCTAGTTTTATTCCATTGTAGTCAGAGAAGATACTTGATATAATTTCAATGTTTTTGAAAATTTAAAGACTTGTTTTGTGGCTAACATAGGGTCTATCCTGGAGAATAATCCACGTATTAAAGAGAGTAATGTGTATTCTGCAGCCATTGAATGAAATGTTTTATAAATATCTATTAGGTCCATGTGGTATATGGTGCAGATTAAGACCAATGTTTCTTTGTTGATTTTCTGTTTGGAAGATCTGTCCAACGCTGAAAGTGGGATATTGAACTCTCCAGCAATTATTGTGTTAGGGTCTATTTTCACATTAGCTCTAATCATATTTGCTTTATATATCTAGGTTCTCCAGTGTTGGGTGCATATATATTTACAATTGTTATATGCTTTTGCTGAATTGACCTCTTTATCATTATATTATGATCTTATTTGTCTCTTTTTATAGTTTTTGTTTTGAAACCTATTTTGTCTAAGTATTAGCTATCCTTGATCTTTTCATGGTTTTTATTTGCATAGAATATCTTTTTCCATCCTTTTATTTTTCAGTCTATGTCTGTCTTTATAGATAAAGTGTGTTTCTTGTAGGCATCAAATTTTTGGGTATTTTTTTAATCCATTCAGTCACTCTATGTCTTTTGATTGGAGAGTTTAGTCCATTTATATTCAATGCTGATAAGTAAGGACTTACTCCTTCCATTTTAAAATTTGTTTTCTGGTTGGTTTTTGGTCTTCTCTTCCTTCTTTCCATCCTTCCTGTCTTCCTTTTCATGAAGATGATTTTCTCAGGTGGTATGTTTTAATTTCTTGCTTTTTATTTTTTGTGTATCTCTTGTATGGTTTTTGACTTGAGGTTACCATAGGGCTAGCAAATAATATCTTATAACCCATTATTTTAAAATCATGATAACTTAACACTGATTGCATGAACAAACAAACAAGCAAGCAAGCAAAGAGGAAACTAATAAAAGGTCTACATTTTCAGTTCATCCCGCTACTTCTTAACTTTTTGTTGTTTCTATTTATGTCTTATTTTACTATCTATGTCTTGAAAAGTTGTTGTAGCTATTATTTTTGATAGGCTCATTTTTTAGTCTTTCTACCTAAGATATGAGTAGTTTACACATCACAATTACAGTGTTATAATATCCTGTGTTTTTCTGTGTGCTTATGATTACCAGTGAGTTTTGTGCCTATAGATTATTTCTTATTGCTCATCAATGTCCTTTCCTTTCAGACTGAAGAACTCCCTTTAGTATTTATTGTAGGACAGGTCTGGTGCTGATGAAATCTCTCAGATTTTACTTTTCTGGGAAAGTTTTTATTTCCTCTTCATGTTTGAAGGATACTTTTGCTAGATACACTATTCTAGGATAAAAGTTTTTCCTTCAGCACTTTAAATATGTTGTACCACCCTCCTCTGGCCTGTAAAGTTCCCACGGAGAAGTTTGATGCCAGACATATTGAAGCTCCATTGAATGTTATCTCTTTCTTTTCTCTTGCTGCTTTTAGGATCCCTTCTTTATCTTTGATGTTTATAAGTCTGACTATTACATTCCTTGAGATAGTCTTCTTTGGATTAAATCTGCTTGTGTTCTATCATCATCTAGTACTTAAATATTAATAGCTTTCTCTAGGATTGGGAAGTTCTCTTTTATTATCCCTTTGAATAACTTTGAATAAACTTTGCACCCCAATCTCTTGCTCCCTACTCTTTAAGGCCAATGATCTTAGATTTCCCCTTTTGAAGCTATTTTCTAGATCTTATAAGTGTGCTTTATTCTTTTTTATTCTCTTTTATTCCTCTCCTGTGACTGTGTATTTTCAAATAGCCTGACTTCAAATTCATGAATTCTTTCTGCTGCTGGATAAATTCTGCTCTTAGGAGAATCTGATGCATTCTTCAGTATGTCAATTTCATTTTTCAGCTGCAGAATTTCTTCTTGATTCTTTTTAATTCTTTCAATCTCTTCGTTAAATTTATCTGATAGAGTTCTGAATTCCTTCTCCATGTTATCTTGAGCTTCCTCAAAGCAGCTATTTTGAATTTTCTGTCTGAAAGAACACATACTTCTGTCTCTCCAGGATTGGTCCCTGGTACCTTATTTAGTTCATTTGGAGGTCATGTTTTCCTGGCTGGCCCTGATGCTTGTGAATGTTCTTTGGTGGTAGGCATTGAAGAGTCACATACTTATTGTAATCTTCACAGTCTGGGCTTGTTTGTACCCATCCTTTTTGGGAAGACTTTCCAAGTATTCAAAGGGACATAGTAAGTCTTTGGTCACTGCAGCTATATCTGCTTTGGGGGGCATCCCAAGTCTAATAATGCAATGGCTCTTGCAAACTCATAGAGATACTATCTTGATGGTCTTAGGTAAGATCTGGAAGAATTCCCTGGATTACCAGGCAGAGAACCTTCTTCTCTTTTATTACTTCCCCTAAACAAATAGAGTCTCCCTCTCTGTGCTGAGCTGCCTAGAGCTGGGGAAAGGGTGACACAAGAACCCCTGTGGCTACAACCACTGGGACTGCACTGGGCCAGATCCAAAGCTAGCACAGCACTGTGTCTCTCCCAAGACCCAGTGACCACTGCCTGGCTACTGCCTATGTTCACTCAAAGCCCAAGGGATCTACAATCAGCAGGTGGAAAATTCAGCCAGGTTTGTGTCCTTCCCTTCAGGGTATTGATTTCCCTCAGCCCCAGGTGGGTTTGGAGATGGCATCCGGGTGCCACGGCCTGGAGTCAGGAAACTCAGGAATCTACTGGTGCTTTGTTCTCCTGTGACTAAGCTAGCCCTCAAGTTGCAAGAAAAAATTCTTGCCACTCTTTCTTCCACTTTCCTCAAGCAGAGGAATCTCTCTGTGGCCACCACTGCCCCAGCTTGCAGCCAAGTACTCCTGGCTACTGCTGATGTTCACTCAAGGCCCCAGGGCTCTTCAGTCAGCTTGTGGTGAATGCTGCTAGTCCTGGGTCTCCCCTTTCAGGGAAATGGGCTCCCCTGTGGCCCCGGGCAGGTCCAAAAATGCCATCCACGAGCCAAGGTCTGGAGCACCAGAAGCTTGCTTGGTGCTCTCTCCCACTGTGTTGAACGGTGGTACCCAAGCTGCATGACAAAGTCCTCTGTACACTTCCCACTCATTTTCTCAAGCAGAAGGGGTCTCTCCACATAGTTGTCACAGCTGGAAATGATGTGCTGGGCCATACCTGGAGACAGCACAGCTCTGAGCCTCACCCACAGCCTGTGGTGAGTACTGGCTAGCTACCACTAATGATTATTCAGAGCCCAAGGGCTCTTTAGTCAGCAGGTGATTAATTCTCCTAGGACTGGGTCCTTCCCTTCAAGGCAGCAGATTCTTCCCTGGCCCAGAGTGTGTTTAGAGATGTCATCTGGGAGATAGGTCCTGGAATGGGAGCCTCAGGACTCTGCCTGCTGCCTTCTTCTACTGTGTCTGAGCTGGTATCCAAGTTTCAAGACAAAGTCCTCTTCACTCTCCTCTCTCCTCTTCTCAAGCAGAGGGAAGCAGTCTCTCCTAGAGTTGTAAGCTATGCTGCCGGGTTTGTGGAGGGGTGGCACAAGCACTCCCTTGGCCACCCTAGCTGGTATTTCAATAGGTCACTGGCTAAGTCCAAGTCCACTGGCTCTGAGCCCTGCACAGAACTGGGACTTGCCCAAAAATTGCAGTCCTTGTAGTCTAAACTGCCTTTCAAGTTTATCTAGGCCCCAGAGCACTTTAGCCCAGGATGGCCGAGCTTGCTGGAACTCAGATTTCAATGGCTGGAATGAACAATTTGTCTCTGGCTAGTGCTGGTCTAAATGCTCCCACCGTGGGCACTGGCTGAGTTCTGCACCAAGTTGCTTTCTGCTGTGACAGGGTGGCACTGAGTTACAATGCAAAGCCTCACAATCACTATACAGTGATTGTGCATGCAGATTCTCTCTCCATGCCACACAGCTGCTGCTGGGCGATGTGGGAGGAGTGCTATAGGCGATTTAAGACTGTCTTTCCAATCCTCTTCACTGCCTCTTCCCTTAGTATGATTTCAAAGCAAGATATTGTGATCGTCCACCTGATTTTTGGTTCTTATAAAGGTGATTTTTCCTATGGAGAGTTGTTCAGTTTGGTGTTGCTGCAGGGAGGGCAATCACTGGAGGCTTCTATTTAGCCATCTTGCTCTGCCTCCTCTCAATGAATAATCTTAAAAACAAAATGTTTTTAACAAATGACATGCCATCTTATAAATATGACATAACTTATTTAAAGATTTTTCTGTTGTTAGACATCTAGGTTGCTTCAGGGTTTTATTGTCAAATTAATACATTAATAAATACCTTGTATATAAATTAACCTGGGCATTTATGTTTATTTTCATTAAATAATTACAGCTAATATTTACTGGTTGGAGCTAAATGCTTTACACATACATTATCTCATTTAATCTTCACAATAATTTGTGAGATAGGTTTTATTATTACCCCCATTTTACAGACCATGCCTGTGCATTGTGCCATTCTTGCCTTGCTATAAAGAAGTACTTGAGACAGGGTAATTTATAAAGAAAAGAGGTTTAATTGGCTCATGATTCTGTAGGCTGAACAGGAAGTATGGCTCTGTCATCTGCTCGGCTTCTGGGGAGGCCTCTGGGAGCTTTTACTCATGGTAGAAGGCTAAGTAGGAGCAGGCATATCACGTGCCAAGAGCACAATAAAGGGCGTGGGGAGATGCTACACACTTTTAAACAGCTAGATCTCATGAGAACTCACTCACTATCATAAGAACAGGAACAAACCATGAGGGATCCATCCCTATAACCAAAACACCTCCCACCAGGCCCCACCTCCAACAGGGGATTACATTTCAACATGAGATTTGGGTGGGACAAGTATCCAAACCATATCAGTGTGGCATACGGAAGTTAAATAAATTGTTCAAGCTCACACAAGAAAAAAATGGTGGAGTCAGGGTTCAAATGCAGGCAATCTTACCCCAGAGCCTGAACTCCCATGCTCTGCTATAACTTCCTAAAGATGGAATCATACAAAATCAAAGGCTATGGAGATCTTATTAATTTGTGTTTTTACTAAAATAATTTCTGTATGTAGGATAAGAAAAGTCTAAACAGCACAGAGTGGTATTAAATAAAAAATGAAAGACTTCCACACCCTTCTTCCCCCACCTACCAGTCTGACTTCCTAAAGAAGATAGTTAAACCTTTATTCTTTTTGCTATTTTGATAACTACCACTATAATTTGCAATAAAATACAAGTTTTTGAAGCAGTATTTGGTCAAGTAATTGAAAAGGTCAGTTAGCATGAGGAATTATCATTAATTAGAATTACAGACTATCAATGTGTGGCCAAAGTATTTTCTATTAGAGACAAAGCTGCCAATTTGAATGTCACATGGCCTGTCACACATCAACTGCAACTGGAATGCCTGGTTTGTCTCTGATTTTCAGTATTAATATCTTAACTGTGACGTGAATAACATCACTTACAAAGCAACTGTGTGCAGAATCGCTACAGGTTGTTTTTTATTTTCTTCCAATCTTTTAATATCACCTTCTCATATCTAATTCAATGCAATATTTTTGGCAACTTCCCTTTAATAAAGCATTTTCAAAGCATTTTCCTGACTTTTTAGACAACAACACCTCTCATTTCACACTTCTATTAGTTTACTTAAAATGTAATTAAGTTACATAAGAATATGCACTTCATAACATGTATTTTTATAATAATTATATTAGACCACCAGGGCTTCCATAGCAAAATACCACAGACTGGGTAGCTTAAACAACAGAATTTTATTTCCTCACACTTCTGGAGACCTGAATTCTAAAATCAAGGGCCCATTAGGGTTGGTTTTGGTAAAACCTCTCTTCCTGGCTTTCAGACAGCCACCTTCCTTCTGTGTCCTTACATGGAGACCTCTGGTGTCTCTTTCTCTTCTTAAAAGGGCAATCACCCTGTTAGATTAAGCCCCCATCCTTGTGACCTCATTTAACCTTACTTACCTTCCTGAAGGCTCTATCTCCAAATGCAACTATCTTGGTTCATCCGAGTGACGCAGTCATGTGATGTCTTTCAGTAGGCAAATGCAAATGAGTGGCTGCGCAAAGATTATTACAATGAAAAATAGTAACATTAGTTGAGGACAGAAGGAAACAAGTTTATTAAAAGAGTAATGTTGGGTATGTGCCTTCTGTTCCAAATTTAAATACATTTCCCCCATTTGAGAAAAGGAAATGTGTGCATTGTGAAGTTCCAAAATATCTCTGCCTAAAATATGTATGGAAGCCATGGGAAGAAACAGAAAGAAATGAAAAGCCATCGAGTAAGCCTACCTGGAATTCTAATCATTTGGACTTTCATACAGTCATAGGTTGATTAGATGTGTCTACCATTTGTACAGTTTTATTACTCTGAGAAAGGGGACAATTTAAAGGGGTAGGGCTGAGAATGAAAAGAGTAGCTGCAGTGTCTACATGGGCACATATATGTTCTCTATTCATGGAAATTTCCATTTATCCTAAGATATTAGTTAGGAGAAATTGGAAAGCACCTTTTAGATCCTTAGAGAAACCCTATTCATCTTGTGGGGTTCTATATTTTTGTTGGCCCTGCTGTCATTTAAGTTTTCTGCAATCTTTTTTGAAATGGCCAAGCTATTTACAATAGAAGCAAATACCCCTTCTATCATTAGAAGGAGGCACCTGTCCTTTCTAAAAGGCCTGGTCTGACAAATCAATTGTTATAGTTGTCAATTAATAATCTTTGAGGCCCTAGTGGTTTCTTCTTTCTGAATAGTTTTAGAAAGTTTATCTGCCAGGCTTACTAACTCGTGGATTTGTACAGTTACCTTGTCTCTGGCCCCCTCCTTGGAGCTTCTATTTTTGCAGTCTCTTTCAGGGTAAAACCCACAGCAAGAGGTGAGCCTGTTGTTATATATGCCCCTTGGACAAAGACTGAACTTAACAATACCATGAAAGACTTCCCAGACCCATTCCAAGATCCCATAGGGATTGCAAAAGAATTTAATTTAATTGGCCGGGTGTGGTGTCTTGTATCTTTTAACTAAGATAGCCAACTCATCATTTAAGCCATTGAGGGAAATAGAATTTATAAGGAAATCATTCCGATGATCTTGGAAGCTAGCATCAGCCATTTGGAAAATTGTTCAGAGGTGTTTTCAAACTGTTCAAAATAATCAAGCACAGATTTGTCTGGTCTTTGAGTACATTGTTGAATTCTCTTTAATCTACATATTTAGATTGCAGATCTGGAGAATGAAATCATAAAGAGCCTTGGCCAAAGTGTGGACCCTTTCATGGTCAGTTTCAGTCTGTTTTTTGAAAATCCTCTAACGGATTATTTTAGCTTCCCTTTTTCAACTGTTCACTGGCCATGCCTTCTGATACCAGCATGTGAACTAATTGATAGATCTCAGAATATTCAGGCTCATAATTTCAGACAATTAAATAAAAAAAATTTTTTTTTTTGAGACGAAGTTTTGCTCTTGTTGCCCAGGCTGGAGTCCAATGGTGCGATCTTGGCTCACCACAACCTCCGCCTCCCAGGTTCAAGTGATTCTTTTTGTATTTTTAATAGAGACAAGGTTTCTCCATGTTTA
This sequence comes from Homo sapiens, assembly GCF_000001405.40. NCBI lineage: Eukaryota > Metazoa > Chordata > Mammalia > Primates > Hominidae > Homo > Homo sapiens. The sequence continues at coordinate 117,219,897 of NC_000006.12, forward strand.
TCAGGCTGGTCTCAAACTCCCGACCTCAGGTGATCCACCTTCCTGGCCTCCCAAAGTGCTAGGATTACAGGCTTGAGTCACCAGGTCTGGCCAATTAAATCAAATTCTTTTGCAAACCCTATGGGATCTTGGAATGGGTCTGGGAAGTCTTTCATGGTATTCTTAAGTTCAGTCTTTGTCCAAGGGGCATATATAATAATAGGCTCACCTCTTGCTATGGGTTTTACCCTGAAAGAGACTGCAAAAATAGAAGTTCCAGGGAGGGGGCCAGAGACCAGGAGAGTTTCCTCAGGTGATGGTGGTAGAAGGGGAGTTAAGTCAGGGCAGGAAGTTTGAATAAGACAGGATATAAAGGTGAGGGGTTAGGAGGAGGAGGAGTTGGAGATGGAAGGGAGAAGACCTCCATAGTCTTTTTAAATTCAGAAATAGTGTCAGATATCCTTTTGTTTACCTCCTGAATGCAGTCAATTTTGTTACAATTTCTTTTAGAAGCTTCTAGGTGCCATTGAATGGGTGCTCCCATCAATTTGTCATGTTCTAAAACTAGTTTTTTTCAATTATGCACACAAATAAATTATTTTAGGACTTCAAAGGACCCTCATTTCAGCCATTGCTGCTTATGACCATCCTGGATTATGTGGGCTCATTTTCTTTAGATATTTATAAGAAGATGCCCCGTAAGTGTTATACACAGAACCAGCTTGTATTTCTAAAGAAGACTGTCCTGTAAAAGAGTGCTCAGATTCTGAAGGTTGATTTCCTATAATTTAGGAACTTTTCAAAAGTGACCAAGGCCAGAAATGTGTTTTGGGTCAAAGGGTGCTGCTCATGAGCATCACTCCTCCAAGTGTCATCAAAGAGTCTTGGATCACTCTCTTACGTGTCTCAAAATATCTGATTGCCTTGTGGTGGCAGTGTGTTCAAGGTGCCAGGTGATCAACCCTTATGTGCACCTTCTGGTTGAGCTGAAAGTTGCAATAGGTGTTCTTGTGGGGAAGCCCTATAAAACCACTACTTGTCATGGACGAACAATCTGTCACTTTCAAAAAATCTCTTGCCACCAGATGCCAATTGGATTAAATTGTTAATTAGTTGGAGGGAGCAAGTGTCTCTTAATTTTGGGGTGAGAGAATTCACTCTCATGCACCTTTTGGTTTGAAACTAACAAAAATTGGTCATAACTGAAAAGACACATTTGAATCATAATCAAGAGGAAGGAGCTGTAATTTTTAAAACATGCTATGTAATTTTAGACCAAAAGTAGTGCAACCACCAGTGCTAGACTGCACTGGTGACCCAGACCTTCTGCTATGAGGCAGAGGCAGAGAAGGTAAAAGTTCTCTTTTATCTTGAAATCCAAATCTCCTGACCTTAGATAGAGATGGAAAGCCCCATTCTTGGAAGGGAGATCTGAGAAAAACAGCTCACGCAAACACTAGACCTCAGCCTCAGGGTAGGAAGGTCCGAATTCAGGACTCATATACACGTGACAATGCTCTTAGATCTGGAAAAACACAAGAGGCTCCAGCTGAACAGGTGCTGAATCCAAGAGGACTGTCAAATTGTTGAGGTCGGGGCTTGCTCTGAATCCTGCTCATAGTGCCAGGAATGTTGGCTTAAAGGAAAAAAAGTGAGGCACAAAATATAATTTTGAAGAGTTTACTTGAGCCAAAATGAGACTGCTGCCTGGAAGACTCAGACCCAAGTAATCTTGGATATGAACTCCATTTGGCCTTTGTTACAAGCAGGTTTTTAAAAGCAAAAATCAGGGACAAAGAGTTGGCTTATACAAAGTTTTTTGTCAGGAATTCTCATTGGTTTACAGAAATAACATTGATTAGTGATACTGGCTATATGTTGTATAAATTATGGTGTCTAGCATTGATAGATTAATTTATAGCTACTTGTGATTTTAACAAGTAGTTTCAAGAGCAGATTACTTAGTCTAAAGGGGATAATGGGACATGACCTCTGTTTCATTCCATTGCCTCTCTGGGCCTGATAATTTAGAGGAGACTGGCATTCCTCAAATAAAAGAGTTTTTTTTTTTTTCTCAATACTTCTAACACAAAACATGACAGGGAGGTTTCTCCCACACCAACCAATTATCTGACACCAGCTCGGTGTTCAAAAACTTAATTCAATTCTAAAAATAACTACCTGAGTTAGTGTCAGATTCACAAATTTAAGGGTTCAGTCCCACAAGACTGCCCCAACTTCAGATGCCAGTCACAAGCCCTGGGTCACCTGTACTTCCAACCAACTGGCTATAAATTAGGGATTCTTATGACTCCCCTCTCAGGTTAATATTTTGCTAGAATGGCTCACGGAACTCAAGGAAATACTTTACTGTTATAAAGGATAAGACTAAGGAACAACCAGATGAAAGAGGTGCATAGGGCAATGTATGGGGAGGAGATGTGAAGCTTCCATGCCTGTTCCAGGAGTACCACCCTCCCAGAACCTTGATGTGTTCACCAACCTGGAAGCTTATCAAATCTCCTTGTTCGACAGTTTTTATAGAGTTCAATATTGAGCCTCCCCTATTCTCCTCTTCCAGAAAGTCAGTGGGTGGGACTTGAAGTTTCAACCCTTGAATTACTTGGGCTATTTCTTAATTATTTGGGCTATAGCCCATACTGAGGCTATCTAGTGGGCTCACTCTAAGTCACCAAATTAGCATAAACTGAGGTATGATCAAAGGGACTTATTAGGAATAACAAAAAAGACACCCCTATAACTCAGAAAATCCCAAGGGTTTTAGGAGCTCTGTGTCAGAAGCAACAGATGAAGACCAAATATATATTTGTTATATCACAGTATCACATTCACTAATTGGGATCCTCAGGAAGGAGCACTCTGATATGAAGAAGAGTATGCAGAAAGTTTATCGTAGAATGTTTGCTAGATGAACACCTGTGGAAGGGAAGAGAAGGGAAGGAAAAGAAACTAGATAAGACAAAGAAAGAAGTTAATATGTGATGGATGCATCCCAACAAAGACCTTACTCAGCAAAGGCATGAGGAATTTATACACCCCATTGACAAGCATTGACTGTAGGATGTTCCAGAATCTGGGTGTTTTGACCCTGTACAAGGCAGCTTTCTTCAACCAAGAGCAAGTGCTAAGGAGGGACTCAGCTGAGTAATAATGTCAGTCACGAACACTCCTAGAATCCAGAAGAATGAGTGAATGGCACATTACGACATCTACTACTGGCTATGCCTTACACTATTCACATCTGCTTGCTTCGCATAATACTTGTTTTTCTTTCACCCTGTTGACCAGGATTTTTTCCCCACATAATATATTTTAGAAGCAGCTACTCCAAAATTACATTGGGCCTCATTTCCTGGGAGAAGCTTACACATGGGAAGTTAGTGGGATAAGATAAAATCTCCACTACTACAACTGATGTCCAGGCTGAAACTGATCCTCATAATCCTCCTCCTTCACCATACACTTTAGTTTCTCCTTTCCCTTGGTTAACACCTCTGCTTGATTAACATCATATACTTTAGATTCTGCTTTCCCTTGGTTAACATTTCCCTTGGTGAACACTTCTAGCTTTTCTAGTAATGTGACCCAGAACCTCATCCTTGAGGGTATAAGCTCCTTGTCACTACACCCTTACCAGGCCATCTAAATAGAGCAGGGACATGCCAAGAAATGCAAATGTATTACTTGAGTGCCTACATATTCAGCCCTGTCCCCATTGTGTAACAGCAGCTCTATCTCCTCCTGATGATCAGTGTCAACGCTGTCAGTATGATGACCCTTTTCCATGCCTGTTGGCCTCTTTAACTACTACAAAGAATCTAAAGGGAACAGGGAACAGGAAACAGCCATAGCTGGAAGTTCAAGGGGATTATGGTTATGTCTTCTTTTAGGAGTCTTACTGCTGCTATCTTCTGAATGTGTTTCCCAAAATTTGTGTGTTGGAAATTTAATATTCAATGTAACAGTGTTGGAAGGTGGTGCTGTTAGAATAAGCAGATAGCCAGACATGAGCAGGAGGCAGAGTTCTTGAGGAAGGAAAAGTCTGAGAAGTCTCAGGCCTGAGGGACCACCCGAAGTTTGCATGTTAATAGCATCTCTAATGCTGGAGTGGGTGGGCAATTAGTCAACTGTGAGTAGGAAGGAGAGGAAGTACATAGACAGAAAGAAACCCCCTGAAACACCTAAGATGCCCCAAAAATCATTTACTCTGAAGTTACAGTATCAGAATGTTGCTATGTACATCCTGATAAGAAAGGAAAGAGGACAAAAGGGTGAATTCCTAAAAGATACGCAGGTTTGGTAGGTATAGATTTGACTGCTAGACAACCTTCCTTGGGTGGCAGTAATGAGCAATGCTTCCATTAGGCAAGATTTGAATTGATCGCTGGCCAGCACAGTGCATTAACTAACACTAAGTGGGGGTCCCACAAGCCTGATTAGGAACTAGGTGGGGACAAAGGCAAGAACCAAAGGCAGAGGTAGTAAAACTAGACAAAGAAAAAAGGTGGAGACTTGAGACAAGAAGCAGGAACTTGAAGAGGGAGCCTAACATGATAAAACTCACAGTCAGGACACTCAGAGCTGTTTTCCTGCAGGATCAGCTCACTTCTCTCTTGGAGTGTACTTGTTTTTTTTTTCCTACTATGAGCTCTTTGGTCCCTATTTCCCTTCAACAAAGCTCTCTGTTATCTTTGAACCTTCTCTTGACAGAAATCATTTCCCCAATTTATACAAGAACAGGAGACTCCTGCACTTGGCATTAACAGCGCCTTTTGAAACGTGTTTAGGTCATGAGAGCCCTGCCCCTGTGAATGGGTTAATGCCATTATAAAAGAGCTTGACAGAAGGACTTCCTCCTTTTTTGCCCTTCCACCATCTGCCATATGAGAACGCAACATTTCTCCCCTCTGGATGATCCAGTGGTCAAGGTGCCATCTTGAAACAGACTGAACTCTCAACAGGTGACAAACCTGCTGGTACCCTGATCTTGGACATCCAGACTACAGATTTATGAGAAATAAATTTCTGTTCTTTATAAATTACCCAGTCTATTTTTTTTCTACATCAACACAGATGGTAAAACAACCCCTCTAGGAAATAGGCCCTTTAAACTCGCGTAATTCAGAATCGTGGGGACAGAAAACACAAATTCCCCAGGTGGGTCACTAGAACTGATGATAGCTAAACTCACTCCTGTATCCATCACTTGGGTCCTGGATCAATATATTCTGCCTACTGGGGACAAATAACCATACAATGGCCATTGATTGAGGATGTATGCCTACTTCTGAAGTACAGTGCCACATCCTCATTGGGTATTCTCTCTAAGCCAGCACCTCAGGTGTCTTCAACAAGCTATTCCATTGTTATCTCAGTCCAGCAACTCCTGGATCATGCAATATGTGATTGCGCCAGTAAATTCCGATATACTGCATCTCCTTTGTTGAAGAATGAGCTTCTTTGTTGCATTAGATGTTATAAAAGGTCCTGCTCCCTAGGCCCATTCACATGCTTCTTCTCAGACCTCCTGGCCTCTAATATTACAATCTTCCTCCTTTCAGGCACCTCGCCAATGTGACCAAGCTACTCACCACTGCCCATAATTTCATATAAAAACTAACCTTGGGTCACTTATGTTTCTGAAACACAAAGTAGATGACCCAGTGCTCTTCCCATTGAGATTTACCCTTACCATTGTTTTTCATAACCACCTCTGAATAGAGCTACAGTGCAACTATGGTTCATTTTTAGTTTGCACCCACATAGTCATGAACTAAGTTCAGCCATTTCTGAGTATCTGTGATCCAACTTCCAGCCATATTTGTGAACAAAAAGGAAGTTGAACCAGTGCAACAATGTTGAATTATATGTACCTGGAGGACACTTGGTTTGTGGCTTCTTTATGCCTTCTATCCCTGCTAGTGACCAATTCCAGATGTACCGGTTCATTTTACAATGAATTCTGCTAGGGATTTCAAACCTTATAATTTGGCAAATTTGGCAAAACTCAGATCATGGTAGGCAGTCCTGGTCACCTAGCCATTTAAAGTCCCATGGTCAGGTGCTCCATCTCTACCAGGGCTCAGTAGCCATCAGAAGCTGTTTTTGAAAGATGCATAATTCTCCACTGCCAATGGCATGGTCTCATGCCAGAATGCTATGGGTCTGTGTTGTGATTCTTCCATTGAGCTTTGCCATACAGTGCACATGCTGTTTCTCATAATCCATTTTGTGCTGCTATAAACAGAATATCACAGACTGAGTAATTTATAAAGAACAAAGCTTTATTCTCACAGGTCTAGAGGCTGAGAAGTCCTCAAGGCACAGGCAGGTTAAAGCCTGGGTCTCTCTTCTTGCAAGATGGTGCCTTGAACACTGCATCCTCCAGAGAGGAGAAACACTATGTCCCCACATGGCAGAAGAGCAGAGGAAAGACACAACTTACTTTCACAAGCTGTCTTTACAGCAGCATTAATCCATTTATGACAGTAGAGCCCTCATGACCTAAACATTTCCCATTAGATCTCATCCCCCAACACTATTGCATTAGGGATTAACATTTTAACACATAAATTTTGCGGAACACATTCAGACCAACACAGTGTTTGTACTTACTACAGATACATCTAATACCACAGAGTCTGCTAGGTCATATGTCCAAATAAGCAGAGCTTCTTGTAATATGGTCTAGACCTGCTGAAATATAATATGGTCTAGACCTGCTGAAAGCCCTTTTCTGCTCTTGACCCCACTCAAATTTGGGAGCTTTTGTGTTGCCAATAGTATTTTCGAGCAGTATTATCAAGTATGGAACACCTGAATTTCCATAGGGTTTATTGTTACCCAACCTCTGGGGTACATATTACTTATTAAGGCCTTCAATGTGCTTGCCACCAATACTCTGGCCTAAATTAACTTGATATCACCAATATTGCAAACCAATATGATATTCTGTGGGAATTTTAGATGGTCCGGGTCCCTTCAAGCTACATAACAGAGAACAAAGATAGCCCTGAGGCTAGACTGTAAATGTGTATATACAGTTGTCTTTCCTAATCCTAAAGGTACAAAAGTTCACACTCACCATATCAATGACCACATTCCTTGTACCTGAGGCTATGTTTATCTGCTTTAACAAAGACATCACATCTGATATTGCTGCTGCAGTGGGGGCCACTAATTGGTGAAGTTTTAGGTAGTTCACTATTATCTTCCAGGATTCACCTAATTTTGAAAAAAAAAAAAAAAAAAAGACCTGTGAATTAAATGAGAATGTTATGGGTGCCACCACCCTTTGAACTTTAAGGTCTTTAAGAGTGGCAATAATCTTTGCCATTCCCCCTAAATCCAATATTAGTTTTAATCTACCCTCTTGACCAGAGGTTTCTACTTAGGCTGTTTCATTGTGATAGCTCTTATTCCACAGGCCAGGGATCAATTTCACAATCACAGATTAGTTGTATATCATGGGACTTGAGTTATTATTGGGCCTCCACTCTAACAAGAGATTCATGATAGTGCTACTGGTTTCCTAGTATCAATGCCATCTTGGAACCTCTGCCAACAGTTCTTAGGAAATGTACATACTTTTCTTTGCCCAGTGTATAGTTACGTAAGTAAATGGTCATAGATTCCTTTAAAGAAGGACTGAGAAACCACTTGCTGTAATGTTGCAGTCTTTTTTCCTGGAGACCTGCCCTTTCCTTCACTCTAAGGAATCCCAGTCTGTAACATGGACCATGGCCAGAAAAAACGCAAAGGATCATGATATTTTATTGGGGCAGTTTCCCTACCTCATGATCATCCATCTTGATTTATTTTTGTTGTATAAATAGAGCAATACTCTTGTTGGCTGTCCAACTATCTTCTGACTAGGAACACTGTGTTTTATTAACCCTCTTCATATCTCTCTGCATGTTGGCCTCCTCTGGCTGCCAGTCTGCACTCGTTGATCATTCTAATAACTACACTCACCTTATTTCTGATGGCTAAGTGCTACCACCTGGCTTCTATCATTTTGGCATCCTATTGTCTTCACTGTATCATTCTGATACAGCATCTTCTACTGTTCATGTTGGCCTACAAAGTACTGCCATAATTGACTTATCTTTAATGCTGGTGAACCTCTCACCAGTGCATGCCTTATAGCTTTGGCGGTATCCTACATTGGTCAATTAAAGAGTGTAAAAGACACAGCTCCTCCTCCAAAACTTGGAACAATTGTGAAGGGCTATCCTAGCTCCAGAGCTCCTCTAGAATTTGCTGAGGTCTTTGTTACAACTTCATCCCTCCTCACTTTGTTTCTCTGTGCAGTCCCTCTTCCCTCACTCTCCTAAAGGCATTGACCCCAAGAGGCCTCCCCAGTAATTTCCTGAATGCAAATATCTGCCTCAGAGTCTTCTTGCCAGAAATGGAGAGAGCAGGCCCTAAAATGAGATTTTGGAGCTGAATCACCAGCTGACTGGCTAGCAAAGATGACCCCAATACGATCCTGGGCCAGGTGGCTCTCTTCAGCTGAGGCAAGGCCCAAAGAATAACTTAGCTGGGAGTTGTTGGCTGTCAACAATCCCAACAGCTGGAGGAATGAATGTTTCAGTCCTATAAGAAGGAAGCTGGGCAGTGCACTAACAGTATCTACTGCAATTATGCTATCTGATTACTCTTTTTTCATAATAGACTATTCTTTCTGTTGTTATTGTTTGAGACAGGATCTCACTCTGTTGCCCAGGCTGGAGTGCAGTGGCATGATCTTGACTCACTGAAACCTCTGCCTCTTGGGTTCAGGCAATTCTCTTGCCTCAGCCACCACACCATTACATTACAGGTGCATTACAGGTGCACACCACCACACCCAGTTAATTTCTGTATTTCCAGTAGAGACAGGGTTTTGCCAATATTGGCCAAGGCTGGTCTTGAACATCTGAGTTCATGTGATCTGCCTGCCTTGGCCTCCCAAAGTGCTGGGATAACGGGTGTGAGCCTCTGTACCCAGCCCATAGTAGCCCATTTTTGTTTTATGTTGCAATATCTGCTTGAACTTTCTCACAGGATAATAATTAAACTTTGTGAAACATTCTTGCTATTTCTTAAATCAACAGTTTTTTTTAAGGTCAGTGATTCTATGATCCATTTTGATTTTTGGTTTTTCTGTATTGTTGGTTTCCCTCAAAATATTGTGCTTTTTGGTTGTTTAAGGATGAAAGGCTATGTTGACTATTATGGGAGTCTAATGATCTTCTACAGGTCTGCTTCCCTAACATGCTTTTCTCCTAATTGGGGGTGTTGACTACAAACCAGAGGTAGTATTACCTGGCAGGCTTTTCTTCAAGGTGCTCTGGAAAGGTCCACACAGGCAGTCTGTATGCCTTTATCCTAAACATCAAAATGAGAAAATTTCCTCTGAAACACTAACTCCCACTTTAAATCCTCAACTTTCTCATATACAGCAATCAAATCCTTTAAAGGACAGTCTTCTTTTTTTAGCATGGGAGGTAAATGGTGTTGCTACTAGTCAATATATATGTGCAGGAGGGTGTCAAACATTTTTAAGGATTTTGATGCTTACTGTTAAACTGTTGTGTTAGTCCATTCTCACACTGCTATAAATACCTGAGACTGGGTAATTTATAAGAAAAGAGGTTTAATTGGCTCATGGTTCTGCAAACCTGGCTGTACAGGAAGCATGGCAGTATCTGTTTGTGGGGAGACATCAGAGAGCTTTTATTCATGGCAGAGGCAAAGCCAAAGCAGGCATCTTCACATGGATGGAGCAGGAGGAAGACAGAGAGCAAGGAGGTGCTATGCACTCTTATTTTTAAATATTTTTTAACTTTTGTTTAAGGTTTGGGGGTATATTGCAGGTTTGTTATATGGGTAAACTTGTGTCACAGGGGTTTGTTTTACAGATTATTACATCACATAGGTACTAAGCCTGTACCCAATAGTTTTTTCTGTTCCTCTCTCTCTGCCCACCCTCCACCCTCAAGTAGGCCCCTGTGTCTGTTGCTCCCTTCTTTGTGTTCATGAATTCTCATCATTTAGCTCCCAATTATAAGTGGGAACATGTGGTATTTGGTTTTCCACTCCTTTGTTAGTTTCCTAAAGATAATAGCCTCCAGCTCCATCCATGTTCCCACAATATACATAATCTCATTCTTTTTTATGGCTGTATAGTATTCCACGATGTATATGTACCACATTTGCTTTATCCAGTCTGTCACTGATGGGCATTTAAGTTGATTCTATATCTTTGCTATTGGCTACACACTTTAAACAACCAAATCTCATGGTAACTCACTCATTCACTGTCACAAAAACAGCACTGAGAGGATGGTGCTAAACCATTTATGAGAAATCACCACCATGATCCAATCATCTCCCACCAGACCCCATCTCCAACACTGAGGATTATAATTGAACATGAGATTTGGGTGGGACACAGATCCAAACCATATCATTCTATTCCTGGCCCCTCCCAAATCTCATGTCCTTCTCAAGTTGCAAAATACAATCATGCTCTCCCAACAGTCCCCCAAAGTCTTAATTCATTCTGGAATTAACTCAAAAGTCCAAAGTCTCATCTGAAACAAGGCAAGTCCCTTCGACCTATAAGCCTACAAAATAAAAAACAAGTTAATTATTTACAAGATACAGTGGGGACATAGGTGTTGGGTAAATACTCCTATTGCAAAAGGGAGAAATTGGCCAAAAGAAAAGGACCACCAGCCCCTTGCAAGTCCAAAACCCAGTAGGGCAGTCATTAAATCTTAAAGCTCCAAAATAATCTCCTTTGACTCCATGTACCACATTCAGAGCAGACTGATGCAATGGGTAGGCTTCCAAGGCCTTTGGCAGCTCCTTCACTGTGGCTTTGCAGGGCTTCGCCCCCATGGCTGCTCTCATGGGCTGGAGTTGAGTGCCTGAAGCTTTTCCAGGCTGAGGGTGCAAGCTGCCAGGGATATTCCATTCTGGGGTCTAGAGGATGGTGGCTCTCTTCTCACAGCTCCACTAGGCAGTGCCCCAGTGGGGACTCTGTGTGGAAGCTCCAACTCCACATTTTCTCTCTGCACTACCCTAGTAGAGATTTTCCATTAGGGCTCTGCCCCTGCAGCAGGCTTCTGCCTGGGCATCCAGGCGTTTCCATACATCCTGCAAAATCTAGGTGGAGGCTCCCAAGCCTCAGCTCTTGCATTCTGTACACTTGCAGGCTTAATACCACATGGAAGCTGCCAAAACCTATGGCTTGCACCCTCTGAAACAGCAGCATGAGCTATATTCGGGCCCCTTGGAGCCATGGCTGGAACTGGAGAGACTGGGACATGGAGAGCAGTGCAGAGAAGAAATGTGGGATTGGAGCCACCACACAGAGTCCCCATTTGAAACCAATTTTCTGTGTCAGTCCATTCTTGCACTGCTATAAATAAATACCTGAGACTGGGTAATTCATAAGAAAAGAGGTTTAATTGGCTCACAGTTAAAGGCTGTACAGGAAGCTTGGCAGGATCTGCTTCTGGGGATACTTCAGGGAGCTTTTACTCATGGCAGAAGGCAAAGCCAGAGCAGGCATCTTCACATGGCCGGAGCAGGAGGAAGAGAGAGGCAGGGAGGTGCCACACACTTTTTTTAAACAACCAGATCTCATCATAACTCACTTTCTCACTATCACAAGAACAGCACTGAGGAGATGGTACTAAACCATTCATGAGAAAACACGCCCATGATCCAGTTGCCTCCCACCAGACTCCACTTCCAACATTGTGGATTACAACTGAACATTAAATTTGGATGGGGGCATAGATCCAAACCATATCAGCTGTCCTACATACAAGTTTTGCCAATTTATTCCCATCATTTCACCACACTCTTGAAAGTGTAAAGTATTATTGTTTTTAAAATGTTCACCAGTTCTATAAGCAAAAATACTACATTATCATTTCCATTTTCACCAAACTTTGTTTCATATATTTATGCTCATAGTTTTTAAGCCTATAGGAAAAGTAGGGGAAGAAGACAAGCAGAAATCCATGGGACTGCTTTTTTTAAATTTACCTTTACATTCTAGAAAGGTCACTGCTTGAGAGGAAAAATGAAATGTTTTATTGCTATGCCATTTTAAAAATATTCACTTCTTAGACTTCTTATAATCTATTAAAGGATAAATTAATTCTGTACTGTTTTTACCAGTTGGGTCTAATTTGTAATAATCTATGTTTCAAATTTCAACTCCTCAACTTTAATAATTTATTTAGACAGCCCTATGAGCTATGTCATTTTGCCCAAAATAACACACCCTAAACCATGCGATCAGATAATAAGTTAAGAAATTAGTATGCACTAATACACTGAAAATAGACATTCCGAGTCTGAAAAGCATTTGACCTAACAAAGGAGTGATATATTCATATATTCCATCATGACATTATGCGGTTTTCTTTCAAGCCTGAGTAATGATTACTTCATTTAACAGTTAGCAGTCAGCCTCTCCTACCACAGGCAGGTCCTAGTACACTCTCCTTATTGGCCAGGGAGAGAGTGATGGATGACAGCAGCTGCTGTCCTCAGTCAGTCGTGGGCTCTACCTTCAGTCTAAAAAATCATTGACTGAAATGTATCAGAGACCACTCAGCTGTTCAGTAAAGAGCCCACATGTAGGGCTGGCATCTTGTGTACCTACATATGAACTGAATCTATGTCCATTTTATAGAATAAACAGTGTCCAGTCCCATCCTCACCTCCCCACAAGCCATAAACCTAAAGCACAAACTAGGTCCTAGTGCTGCATGGATTTGTATGCAAACTTGTAATTTGTAGGCCAGCCCTGGTTCCTGGATGAAATTATTTTGCTGGCTAGGAAAAGCTAGGCAAAATGGTAAGGGTTCAACTAGGCATCCTGTAGCCAGGTCAGTAATGTGAATAGTGTTGTACAAACTGGTGTTTACAACACTTGCCAGGTGTGTCTTAGAAACACTGCATTCACTGAATCTGTGAAATAGAGTGTGAGTAATAAAGAAGTGGGACAGGAAAGAGGTAATATCCCATTGGTGCTGGGACCTCTTAGAGTCTCTGGAATGGGGAGATGAGTAAATTTTACACAGCTGCTTCTCTGAGAGTGCAGATTTTGGGGGGCGTATTTAACCTCAAGTTTTGATTTGATGACTATGTGTATACCGGCATATTTTCCTGGATTTGGGATCCATGTTGACCCTAGGGCACCTTCACTGAGCAGCTGACTGGTCTCCGTTGAGTATCAATAATCTCCAGAGGCTGAGCAAAGGAGCTGGGCTGACAGCAGCATCTGCCGTTCATCCATCATCTCTTTTGGCCAATAGAAATAAGGCATGGCTGGTGTGGCCTGGGAAGGCCCTCACTCTCCCTCTTCAGTGGCTGTGCCAGATGAAGAAGTCATTACTATTCAGGGCAGGAAAAGAAACGGAGGATGTCTGGAGGGAATAAAAGAATGAGAGAACAGGATACAGTCTGCCAATTGGTCACCGAGACACATTACATCCTCTGGGCACTTTTTCCAGATGCCTTGCATTTTTCAGTGTGCAGCCACTTTCCCAATCCCTTCACTAGGGGAGTTCAAGGTTTCAACATCCTTGCACAATGCAGTCTTTGGGAGAGTGATAGGGATGTCCTCAGAGAAGGAAAGCGATGTGGCAGCCTTGGAAGAAATTCAGTTTCCTCATTTTCTTGAGATTAATGCTGAATTCCCAGTGAGAAGCATTGGCCCTGAGGAGCCCCAAAATGTCATTTAAAGAAAGAGAAAAATTATGACACAAGCGATCATTCAATGCTTTTTTTTGTTTGTTTGTTTGTTTGTTTGAGATGAAGTCTCACTCTGTCACCCAGGCTGGAGTTCAGTGGCACAATCTCAGCTCACTGCAACCTCCGCCTCCCGGGTTCAAACGATTCTTCTGCCTCAGCCTCCTGAGTAGCTGGGATTACAGGCATGCACCACCACTCCCGGCTAATTTTTTGTATTTTTAGTAGAGACGGTGTTTCACCATGTTGGCCAGGCTGGTCTCGAACTCCTGACCTCGTGATCCACCTGCCTCGGCCTCCCAAAGTGCTGGGATTACAGGCGTGAGCCACCACGCCCGGCCTCAATGCTTCTTAAAATGCTGTCAACCTTACTGCGATTCTCTCTGCACTCAGGATGTGTGAGTGTCTTTCAGGGTTGCTCCTTACCACTATTTTCATAGTCTTATCTCTCAAAAGCCTGTGGTTATTAATAGTGATAATGATACTAACAATATCTTCCTTCTAAACAATGCACAACATTTACACAGCATTTTCCACATTCACAACTACATCTGAAACGCTAGGAAATAAGAATAATATGCGGTGGCATCCCCATTTTAGAGATGAAAACACAGAATCTCAATGAAAAAGAGATCCCAGGTAGCAGAGCTGAAAAGAAGGCCAAGGTGAAACTTGTCCTGAGATGTTATGTTTCCAAGTCCAGGGCTCTTTCTACATTCATGGCTGATATTCATCCCAGTCCATAACTCAAGTGACACCAGTCAACTGTGATCCAGAACTGGGGTCAAGGTGAAATACACAGAACGGGAGAAGTTCGTCTGGAGTGTCATGCCATCATTTCCATGAAGGAAGTCACATCCATGTGCATGTTGTGTGTGGAATAAAATTATAATTATAATTATAATCTTTCTACTCACCAGCTCACTGACTACTGAAATGGAGTATCTGGAAAATCTCAGTCCTTTTATGAACAACATCCCTCTCATTTGAGATTTGGTGTGCTTTTCTCAAATCCTTCAGAACTTGATTTATGCTGAGAAGATATGAGCTTCTCAGAGCTCTGTGCTTGGTCACACACGTGTGTGTGTGTGTGCATTTGTGTGTGTGTTTAAAAAGCAATAGAATTCACTTTACTAGACCATAGAGAACAAATAGTAGAATTAATGGAGAAAAACATTTAAACAACATTTAAATACGGCAAAGCAGAAAGAGCCAAAAAGCCATCTGTCCTCAAACTATTGCCAACTTCCAATAAATGCCATCTTTTCACTTTCCCTCCCTCAGGAGCCATACATTTAAGTGACCCTTTTTAAAAACCTTTTTCTCTTTGTATAAAAATGGAATATCTGACAACAAAACATTTTCCCCACTCTCTCAAAAATATGCAAGAAAAAAGGACTCCATTGCTAGCTTAAACCAAATAAAGTAAAAAGACATGACTAAACAGTATCTCATTATTTTGAGGATAATCTTTTTGCTGTTTTTACTTTCCACACCAATTAAGAGCTTTGGAGTAGACACTGAAGCTTGGACAGAGTTTTGCAGGCACTCAGAGTAACTCCTAGTGAACTTTAATTCATAAACCCTAGAGTGCATGACATGCCATAAAAACTCACAAAGCACACTAGTTAAGAAAGAACAATAATAATTCTTGATCTTTTTTAGATTAACTGTCACAAAATTAGGTATATTGAATGAGACCATTAAGAATGCATAAAATGGAAATTCCACTAAGATCCTAATTATTCTCCCTATGAGAAGCGCAGTGGAAGCTTTGGCTCTTTCCCTAACTTGGTCCTTTCTTCCATCCTCAAATACATTTTCCTCTCAAGTGACAGGAATTGAAACAAGAAACAGAAAGGAGTAGAAAAAAAAATAGAAATAAATAAAATACCATAGTCCTGAAGCAGACAGTCACCTGCTACAAGCAAAAATAAACCATAAAATATATTAAACCAATTGCATCATTTAGTCTCTTATTCAGGAGCAAGCAGGAGAATATATTTCTAATTTATTCCTTGACATATAATCCAAGATTGTCTTCATGCTTGATTCTTGAATAGGATTAAGTACAAGTCATACAGTAATGTCTGATCAATATCATCTGAATAGCTCATAGTAAAAAGAAAAGAAAAAGAATTCTAGCATTCAATATGCCCTTAATACAAATCACAATGGGACTATAAAAGTAAGAAAGCAATTCACAATATGAGATCATTTGCACATAAGGCAGTGGTTCGCAAACTTTATCATGCATCAGAAATACCTACAGGAATTATGAAAAGATTGCTGGGCCCACCTCCAGAGCTTCTGATTCAGTAGGTCTAGGATGGGGCCTAAGAATTTGCATTTCCAATAAGTTTTCAGATTATGTGAAAGCGGCTGGTATGGGGACTGCTCTTTGAGAATGACTGCTGTACAGAAGTTAAGATAATAGAAAATAATAAAGGGCCTTTGGCCTAGACCAAAGAAATTCATTAATGAGCTAAAGAATGCAGTTTCTGAATAGAGATCACTTTCCCTCAACAAATATTTAAGTGCCCACTGTAGGCTAGTAACTGTTCTAGATACTAGGCTAGTAACTGTTCTAGATACTAGAGATACCGTTGGGAACAAAACAGGCAGAGTCCTGTCCTCGTGCAGCTTAAGGTCTAGTGGGGAAGACGTGACATGCAAGTAGTCACAAGTGCTAGAGGTAGAAATCATGGGGCCAGGGTGCTGTTAGATCTTGTGTCCTCTTTGAGGAGCCCTTTGCACAAAGGCTTGAGTTAAGTGAGAGAGTGAGTTGTGATAAGGAAAACTTTAAGAGTGTTCCAAGCAGAGAAATAACAACATTCAAAGACAACGTGTTTTGCTATTGCTGTGATATGATTCACAGCCAACCTTCAAGATCAGCTTTAGCCAATGAAGCTATTTTTTTACAGGAAATTTATGTTCTCAATTGAAAGAACACAGAATATCACTTGCACATATTAAAAAGCATACATGCAATTTCTGGCACTGAAAAAAAAATTGAATAAGCAGCCAAACAATGGATTCAACAAAGAAATTAAATGTCAATATAGAATATTAGCGTAAACTGGGTGTGGTGGCTCATGCCTTTAATCCCAATGCTTTAGGAGGTCAAGGCAGGAGGATCATGTGAGCAAAGGAGGCGGAGGCTGCAGTAAACCATGATTGCACCACTGTACTCCAGCCTGGGTGACAGAGCAAGACCCTGGGGGTATTTTTTTCCTCGGGGGCGGGGGGGGGGGGGCGGGAAATAGGAAGAGAAAGAAAAAAGACTATTAGTGTAATGTTATTGAAAGAATATTATGTAAATATTGTTAAAACAAATGTCAGAACTGTGGGTATAATATATACAGAAAACAGTGGAATATATCTAGATTTAATAGAAAGGATTTCAAAATGCAGTGGTAGAATGGCCAAACATTTAAGGTAGATGAAAGATGGTCATCATAAAGCAAATGATCACTGTCTAGTGTGGAGAATTCAAAATGGGATTATTAGTTTAATGAGCACAAAAATGAAAGAAAATTTTCATAGATATAATTTGAAAAAGTAATTGTTAGTCATTTCAACTGGCCTGTACCAGGGATAAAAGTCATGTTGAAAATTCACATTGATTTCATGTACTTTTAAGCTACTAGAGAAGAAAACAAGAATATCACAATTAATTAGTATTTCCTTGGTTCTGAATTATGTGAAGAATGAGAAAATAAATTTAGGGATCAATTTTTAAAGTTTTAAAGGGGAAGCCTAAGATAATGACACTAACGTTGCTGGTGAAGAAAAACGTGTAGAAACCAGAATCTTAGCTGAAAACCAGAAAACATTCTTTCTGCCAGGTACAATGCATACTTTGAATTTGTTACTAGGAGACATAAACTCTACTGTGAAGATAATAAATCTGGGGAATAATTTTAACAACTACGTACAATATTTTCTGGATCTGCTCAAAGATAGAACATCTTGATTAAAAGAATGTGACTTTTAAACCACTCTCAAACACATGACAGGAATTTTGACAAAATGTTGTTAAAGCAATTAAACTTAATTTAGCCGAGATATGAGATGCACAAGGAGAGGTAAGCCAAACCACAGAAGATCCACAAAGAGTGAGTCATGGACATTGACAGGAAATGAACTAATTTTGAATTTGTGATAGCCACAGCTATTGGTATGAACTGTTGCTTGCTATTAATAATATTAGAAAATTTATCTTAAAAAAGATATAACTTTAGTAGTTCCACTTTTTAATAAATTTAATTTTTTAATTTAAAGACAAATGTTAAATTTAAAAATATAAAATACGTTCCAAAAGTAACATTCCAGTAAACTACAAGGAAGTTCAAACATGGGGGAAATCTACGTGACTGTGAAATTGATGATTCGCATATGAATAATTCTGAAATAAACTTCTATTTGTACTATTTTCTGGCCAATATAGATCAAGTTGTCATTGATCAATGTACTGCTATTTTTAAATTTTCTTTACAATATATTGCTATTAAAATTTCTGAAGGAAAAATAACTTAATAAGTACTGTTTGAGAACCAGATACTGCCATAAGAGATGATGACTGTCACAACCAAAGTGCTAGCAATTCATATGGTGAAATTAAAAATATCATCTAACATTGTCTGTAATAATTTTTCATATGCTAACCCATAAAGATGTTTAACCTGATTCATAAAGTTCATGGTTCATTTTCAAATCTAATATTCTTTCAAATTAAAACTAGTAAAAACTATCAAAGAACTACAATGACTCAAGAAAAGTTGTGTAGTTTGACATTATTAATAGAAAATAAATTACGTTAAAATCTTCGTGATAACAACCTAATTAGCAATTTTGCTGAAATAAAGGCAAGAAAAATCCATTTTGTCATTTTTGGCTATACTGTTACTCATCCAAACATCATCAGGGTTCTTAAATGTGTGCAATAACAATTAAACCCAGTTGTCTTTTATTTTTTGACAAATGTGAGTCCCATAAATATAGTTTCACACATTATTTTGTATTTATTGTTATGAAGTATATTTTTGAAGTAGGAAGTGGAACCTATTCTACTGAGCAGTTTCTTAGCTTGATTTTTAATTGTGAAATATTTAGACAAATGGTACATGGGTTGCCATTTGCCCTCTCATCCCAGTCCCCATATATGCTTTTACCCAACAGAGTAAGGAGACTCGGGCTTCAGATTCTTCCACCTCTGGAGCTGTTTTAGACTGAGGAATTTCATAACTAATCTTCCCAGGTCTTTGTCTTCTTTTTGTCCTCCAGATGCTGCTTCTCAGATCATCTAATGCATGTCCTTTCCTGCATTGCCACCAACACTCCAACTTATCCCATGCCCTGGGGCTTTTAAGTCTCCACCAGCCCTGGCTGCCTGAGAGGGGAAGGCAGTCAGATGGGACAGTAATACAAAGTGATGACTCCTAGAAGATGGAGAACCACATGTTTCCAAGATGAAGGGAAGCAGTAACTAGAGGAAGAGGAGGAAAAAGAGAGAAAAAGAGAATACTGGAATGATTTATATAACAAGGTACCAAAGGATTTAGGGAGAGTGGTAAGAATGATAGTAAGGAGATGAGAGAAGGGGTTAGCCATGAAGGAAATGATAGGCATTTCTTCTTCTGAGAAAAATATAAA
Source organism: Homo sapiens (assembly GCF_000001405.40). Taxonomy (NCBI): domain Eukaryota; kingdom Metazoa; phylum Chordata; class Mammalia; order Primates; family Hominidae; genus Homo; species Homo sapiens. The sequence continues at coordinate 117,239,316 of NC_000006.12, forward strand.
TAGACAGAGAGGCAGACAGATAGATAGAAGAAAGACAGATAAATGAATGAATAATTTTGAGATGTGGAAGATGAGATGGACTCAGAAATGCACTAAGGGAAATCATTTGCTTAGAGTAATAGTGTGAGGATTCATACCTTCCACAAATACTTATTGAGAGCATACTGTGGGCTCTGTGTTGCGTAAGGTCTTAGGGTAATAGTGGTTGGCAAAAGGAGATAGGGCCTCCTTCCTATGGAGCTTAAAAGCAATTGGAAAGCATAGAAATTGATCAAATATTCAAACCACTGAATATATTATTGTAACTTGAGTTCTGAGATAAGGTCAGGCTTCCATGAAAGGAAGATCAGTGTGGAAAGGTTGGAAAATGCAATTTCAAGTGCATCATAAGACAGAAACTCTAGAACTTAATAGGCAAGCAAAAGGAAAGCACAGGTAAGTGAAAGGATCAGCAATGTATCTGAAGGCAGCTCACATTCACTATGTGACTGGGAAGTAACCTGTAACATACTTTTATTCATGTATAAATAGTGGCTTAATTTTAAATCTTAGAAAATGAAAAATATAATACAAATGAAATATACAAAAATTAAAAAAACAAATGTTCTTCATCTGGGGAATGGATAAGCAAATTGTGGCACATCATTACAATAGAATACTACTCAACAATAAAAAGGAGCAAACGTTTAATTCACACAACGACTTAAATGAATCTCAAATATATATTGCTAATTGAAAGCAGCTACATCAAGAAAAGCTAGACATTGTATTCCATTTATACGGCATCCTAGAAAAAGCAAAACTACAATGACAGAGAATTGCCAAGGTGGTTGCCAAGGTCTGGGAATGAGAGATGGCAGGGGTTAACTACAGTCATACTTCATTTTATTGAACTTTGCTTTATTGTGCTTTGCAGATATTGCATTTTCTTTTAAACAAATTGAAGGTTTCTGGTGGCAACCCTGAATCAAGCAAATCTACCATTACCATTTTTCCAACAGCAGGTGTCTCTGTGTCACATTTTTGTAATTCTCTCAGTATTTCAAACTTTTTCATTATTATTATATCTATTAGGGTAATCTGTAATCAGTGATCTTTTTGATGTTCCTATTGTAATTGTTTTGGGGTGCCACAAACCATGCCTATATAAGATGGCAAACTTAATGGAAAAGTGTTGTGTGTGTTCTGACTGCTCCAACGACCAGCCATTCCCCCATCTCTCTCCCTCTCTTCAAGTCTCCCTATTATCTGAGACAAAACAATATTGAAATTAGGTCAGTTAATAACCCTACAATAGTCCCTAAGTGTTCAAGTGAAAGGAGGAGTCACATGTCTTTCACTTTCAATCAAAAGCTAGAAACGATTAAGTTTGGTGAAAAAAAAAGAAAGCTAGGCCCTTTGCATCAAACAGTTAGCCAAGTTATAAATTCAAAGGAAAAATTCCTGAAGGAAATTAAAAGTCCTACTCCAGTGAACACATGAATGAGAAGAAAAAGAAACAGCCTTACTGCAAAGATGGAGAAGTTTTGGTGATCTGGATAGAAGATCAAACCAACCACAACTTTCCCTTAGGCTAAAGCCAATCCAGAGCAAAGCCCTAACTCTCTTCAGTTCTGTGAAAGCTGAAAGAGGTGAAGAAAATGCAGAAGAAAAATTTTAGGCTAGCAAAGGATGGTTCATGAAGTTTAAGAAAATAATCTGTCTCCATAACACAAAAGTACAAGGAGAAGCAGCAAGTGCTGATGCAGAAGCTGCAGCAAGTTATCCAGAACATCTAGCTAAGATCATTGATAAAGTGGCTGCATGAAACGACAGACTTTCATTGTAAACAAAACAGCCTTATATTGGAAGAAAATGCCATCTAGGATTTTAATAGCTACAGAAGAGAAGTCAATGACTGGCTTTAAAGGTTCAAGGGACAGGCTGACTCCCTTGTTAGGGGCTAATGCAGCTGGTGGCTTTAAGTTGAAGGCAATGTTCATTTACCATTCCAAAAATCCTAGAGCCCTTAAGAATTATGCTAAATCTACTCTGCCTGTGTCCTATAAGTGGAAAAGCAAAGCCTCGGTTTCAGCATATCTATTTACAGCATGGTTTACTGAATATGTTAGGCCCATTGATGAGACCTACTGCTCAGAAAAAAAAAAAAAAAAGATTCCTTTCAAAATATTACTGCTCATTAACAATACATCTGGTCACCCAAGAGCTCTGATGAAGATGTGCAAGGAGATTATTGCTGTTTGCATGCCCACTAATACAGCATCCATTCCATAGTGGGTGAATCAAGGAATAATTTTGACTTTCAAGTCATTAATTAAGAAAAACATTTTGTGGCCAGGCACGGTGGCTCCCGCCTGTAATCCCAGCACTTTGGGAGGCCGAGGCGGGTGGATCACAAGGTCAGGAGATTGAGACCATCCTGACTAACACGGTGAAACCCCGTCTCTACTAAAAATACAGAAAAAAAAAATTAGCCGAGCATGGTGGCGGCCGCCTGTAGTCCCAGCTAATCGGGAGGCTGAGGCAGGCGAATGGTGTGAACACTGGAGGTGGAGCTTGCAGTGAGCCGAGATTGCGCCACCGCACTCCAGCCTGGGTGACAGAGCGAGATTCCGTCTCAAAAAAACAAAAAGAAAAAGAAAAGAAAAACATTTTGTAAAGCTGTAGCTACCATAGAGAGTGATACCTCTGATGGATCTGGGCAAAGTAAATTCAAAACCTTCTAGAAAGGATTCACCATTCTAGATGCCATTAAGAACATCCATGAATCTAGGAACAGGTCAAAATATCAACATTAACAGGAATTTGGAATAAGTTGATTCCAACCCTCATGGGTGATTTTGAGGGTCTCAAGACTTCAATAGGAGAGGAACTGAAGATGTGGTGGAAATAGGAAGGGAACTAGAATTAGAAGCGGAGCCTGAAAATGTCACTGAATTGCTGCAATGTCATGATGAAACTTGAATGGATTTGGAGTTGCTTATTAAGGTTAAGAAAAGGATGTCTTCCAATGGAATGTTACTCCTGATGAAGATGCTATGAACATTGTTAAAGTAACAACAAAGGGTTTAGAATATTATAGCCACCCATTGGATAAATCTGCAGCAGGGTTTGAGTGGGTTGACTCCAATTTTGAAAAAAGTTCTGCTGTGGGTAAAATACTATCAACAGCATTGCTTGCTGCAGAGAAATCTTTTGTGAAAAAGAGTCAATTGATGTGGCAAACTTCATTGTTTCCTTATTTTAAGAAATTGCCACAGATATCCCCAAACTTTCATCAATCACTACCTTGACTATTCAACAGCCATCAGCATCGAGGTAAGACTCTCTGCCAGCATAAAGATTATGATGGCTCAATAGATCATTAGCATTTTTCAACAACAAAATATTTTTAAATTAAGGCGTGTACATTTTTTAGACATAATATTATTACACACCTTATAGTATAGTGTAAACATAACTTTTACATGTACTGGGAAATCAGAAAACTTATGTGACAGTATTGCAGTATTCATTTATTGCAGTGATCTGGAACCAAATCCACAATATCTCTGAAGTATGCCTGTACAAAGCAGAGTGAGGGTTTTTTGTTGTTGTTGTTGTTGTTGTTTGTTTGTTTGTTTCTTTTGAGTGGTGAAATTGTTCTACATCTTGATTGTGGTAGGGGTTATACTTTTTTATGGCTTTGTCAAAATTAGCTATACACTGAAAAGAGTTAACTTTTCTGTATGCAAGCTATACCTTAATTTAAAAATTTTAATACCCCAAAAGAAAAGGGAAAGAAAGAAAATATTTTAAAATGTTGCAATACTGCAACATGGTAGGTAATTTTTCTCCAACTTCTTACATCTTCTATTTTTGACACTCTATTCGCTGCCTATATTTAGATAGGTCTTAACTGCAAGTTGGAAATCAAGAGTAGGTATAAGTAATTGTTGTATTTTCAGACTCTCTTGACAAACCTGAATAGTTAGACTGAAAATGCAGATGCAGGTGAGGTCACTCTTACATGGTTCACTTATTTATTCCGCTATATTTAAATTCCGAAGTGCACTTAAATCTCAAATTTAACCCCAGACAAGAAAGGCATCTCATTTGAAGCCTGTCTTGTTTACATAGAAATGGAATGTGTTAAGCAAAATGTTTTGAAAGTCCTTGTTATGAGACTGAAGAACATAAGTGAGCAGTTACTAGAAGTGGTAACCTAATCCTCTAACAATTGTAAAGGAGTTGAACTTTTACAATAATGGTTTTATGGGAAATGTTTCTCTGAATTTGTTGCAATCATAATCCACTGAAATAAATTGGTATGGGGACCCAATCTAACATCTGTGGGCTTCAACCACGCAATAGTTAAACAAGGAACACTTGCTCCTGAAGAAGATGCTGTGTCCCCTGAATTTCTGAGGACAATGTATTTGATGAGCTACTGTAAAGTAGATCTTCCTTTTCTATCAGCTGAGGATTGGAACACTTGAGGTATAATTGTCGTTCCCCTTTTCCTAAAAGCCCTGAAAATAAAACCCACCTAAAACCTAAAAACCTAAAACCTCACCCTCCTCAGCAAGAAAATCCAAAAAGTTTAACAAGCAGAATTTTTTTCTCAAATCGCTGGATACTTTCCGAGACTATTGATGAGTTAGAAAATGGTAAATTAATACCTCCCTTTTCCTCTGTATCTAACTATTATAAGCCTTCATATACAATCAGACCTCACTGTATAGATGTGAATTACTTCCATCATAAAGAAATGTGTAGGTGACAGAGGCTAGGAAAAGATGAATATACTTTCTCTGCTGCTATAATAAGCCCAAAATCTAATCTCTTAAAATGCCAATATTTAAATTTCCTATAAACAGGCAAATACAATGTCTTTAAAAATGACTTCAGGAATAGTTTCAGCTGCTTTGGTGTTGACCCCTGCAAGCAATAGTGCTAGAACATACATCATAAGCAACTTCTTTCAGAAAATAAAAAAGAGAAAACATTCCCAACTCTTAACATGAGGCTAGCATTGTCTAGGTAACAAAACAACCTAAGGATACTATAAGAAATGAAAATAACAGTACAGTTTCACTCATAAACATAGATGAAAAAATCCTATAAAAGACATTGCCAACCAAATAAAAAATGTATGGAAAAAAATGAGATATGACAATGATTGGTTAATATTAGAAAATCAATTAATGTAATTTACTGCATTAACAGATTAAGTAGAAAATCCATTGGGCCATCTCAATTGATGCAGAAAAATTGTTTGATAAAGCTCAACAGAGATTCATAATTAAAAATTAAATTTTACCAAACTAGTAACAGATGAAAACTTATTTTCCCTAATAAAGAACATCCACAAAAACTGAGAGAAAATTACATACTTAATGGTAAAATATTTGATACATTCAACTTAAGATTAGGAACAAGGCAAGAATGTTACCTAGGGGGAGGAGCCAAGATGGCCGAATAAGAACAGCTCCGGTCTACAGCTCCCAACGTGAGTGACGCAGAAGACGGTGATTTCTGCATTTCCATCTGAGGTACCAGGTTCATCTCACTAGGGAGTGCCAGACAGTGGGCGCAGGTCAGTGGGTGCGCACACCGTGCGCGAGCCGAAGCAGGGCGAGCCATTGCCTCACTTGGGAAGCGCAAGGGGTCAGGGAGTTCCCTTTCCGAGTCAAAAAAGGGGTGACGGACGGCACCTGGAAAATCGGGTCACTCCCACCCGAATACTGCGCTTTTCCGACGGGCTTAAAAAACGGCGCACCACGAGATTATATCCCACACCTGGCTTGGAGGGTCCTACGCCCACGGAGTCTCGCTGATTGCTAGCACAGCAGTCTGAGATCAATCTGCAAGGCGGCAGCGAGGCTGCGGGAGGGGAGCCCACCATTGCCCAGGCTTGATTAGGTAAACAAAGCAGCCAGGAAGCTCGAAATGGGCGGAGCCCACCACAGCTCAAGGAGGCCTGCCTGCCTCTATAGGCTCCACCTCTGGGGGCAGGGCACAGACAAACAAAAAGACAGCAGTAACCGCTGCAGACTTAAATGTCCCTGTCTGACAGCTTTGAAGACAGCAGTGGTTCTCCCAGCACGCAGCTGGAGATCTGAGAACGGGCAGACTGCCTCCTCAAGTGGCTCCCTGACCCCTGACCCCTGAGCAGCCTAACTGGGAGGCACCCCCCAGCAGGAGCACACTGACACCTCACACGGCAGGGTATTCCAACAGACCTGCAGCTGAGGGTCCTGTCTGTTAGAAGGAAAACTAACAAACAGAAGGGACATCCACACCAAAAACCCATCTGTACATCACCATCATCAAAGACCAAAAGTAGATAAAACCACAAAGATGGGGAAAAAACAGAACAGAAAAACTGGAAACTCTAAAAAGCAGAGCGCCTCTCCTCCTCCAAAGGAACGCAGTTCCTCACCAGCAACGGAACAAAGCTGGATGGAGAATGACTTTGACGAGCTGAGAGAAGAAGGCTTCAGATGATCAAATTACTCTGAGCTACGGGAGGATATTCAAACCAAAGGCAAAGAAGTTGAAAACTTTGAAAAAAAATTAGAAGAATGTATAACTACAGTAACCAATACAGAGAAGTGCTTAAAGGAGCTGATGGAGCTGAAAACCAAGGCTCGAGAACTACGTGAAGAATGCAGAAGCCTCAGGAGCCGATGCGATCAACTGGAAGAAAGAGTATCAGCAATGGAAGATGAAAGGAATGAAATGAAGCAAGAAGGGAAGTTTAGAGAAAAAAGAATAAAAAGAAATGAGCAAAGCCTCCAAGAAATATGGGACTATGTGAAAAGACCAAATCTACGTCTGATTGGGGTACCTGAAAGTGATGGGGAGAATGGAACCAAGTTGGAAAACACTCTGCAGGATATTATCCAGGAGAACTTCCCCAATCTAGCAAGGCAGGCCAACGTTCAGATTCAGGAAATACAGAGAACGCCACAAAGATACTCCTCGAGAAGAGCAACTCCAAGACACATAATTGTCAGATTCACCAAAGTTGAAATGAAGGAAAAAATGTTAAGGGCAGCCAGAGAGAAAGGTTGGCTTACCCTCAAAGGGAAGCCCATCAGACTAACAGTGGATCTCTCGGCAGAAACCCTACAAGCCAGAAGAGAGTGGGGGCCAATATTCAACATTCTTAAAGAAAAGAATTTTCAACCCAGAATTTCATATCCAGCCAAACTAAGCTTCATAAGCGAAGGAGAAATAAAATATTTTACAGACAAGCAAATGCTGAGAGATTTTATCACCACCAGGCCTGCCCTAAAAGAGCTCCTGAAGGAAGCGCTAAACATGGAAAGGAACAACCGGTACCAGCCACTGCAAAATCATGCCAAAATGTAAAGACCGTCGAGACTAGGAAGAAACTGCATCAACTAACGAGCAAAATAACCAGCTAACATCATAATGACAGGATCAAATTCACACATAACAACATTAACTTTAAATGTAAATGGACTAACTGCTCCAATTAAAAGACACAGACTGGCAAATTGGATAAAGAGTCAAGACCCATCAGTGTGCTGTATTCAGGAAACCCATCTCACCTGCAGAGACGCACATAGGCTCAAAATAAAAGGATGGAGGAAGATCTACCAAGCAAATGGAAAACAAAAAAAGGCAGGGGTTGCAATCCTAGTCTCTGATAAAACAGACTTTAAACCAACAAAGATCAAAAGAGACAAAGAAGGCCATTACATAATGGTAAAGGGATCAATTCAACAAGAAGAGCTAACTATCCTAAATATATATGCACCCAATACAGGAGCACCAAGATTCATAAAGCAAGTCCTGAGTGACCTACAAAGAGACTTAGACTCCCACACATTAATAATGGGAGACTTTAACACCCCACTGTTAACATTAGACAGATCAACAAGACAGAAAGTCATCAAGGATACCCAGGAATTGAACTCAGCTCTGCACCAAGGGGACCTAATAGACATCTACAGAACTCTCCACCCCAAATCAACAGAATATACATTTTTTTCAGCACCACACCACACCTATTCCAAAATTGACCACATACTTGGAAGTAAAGCTTTCCTCAGCAAATGTAAAAGAACAGAAATTATAACAAACTATCTCTCAGACCACAGTGCAATCAAACTAGAACTCAGGATTAAGAATCTCACTCAAAACCGCTCAACTACATGGAAACTGAACAACCTGCTCCTGAATGACTACTGGGTACATAACGAAATGAAGGCAGAAATAAAGATGTTCTTTGAAACCAATGAGAACAAAGACACAACATACCAGAATCTCTGGGACACATTTAAAGCAGTGTGTAGAGGGAAATTTATAGCACTAAATGCCCACAGGAGAAAGCAGGAAAGATCCAAAATTGACACCCTAACATCACAATTAAAAGAACTAGAAAAGCAAGAGCAAACACATTGAAAAGCTAGCAGAAGGCAAGAAATAACTAAGATCAGAGCAGAACTGAAGGAAATAGAGACACAAAAAACCCTTCAAAAAATGAATGAATCCAGGAGCTGGTTTTTTGAAAGGATCAACAAAATTGATAGACCGCTAGCAAGACTAATAAAGCAAAAAAGAGAGAAGAATCTAATAGATGCAATAAAAAATGATAAAGGGGATATCACCACCGATCCCACAGAAATACAAACTACCATAAGAGAATACTACAAAAACCTCTACGCAAATAAACTAGAAAATCTAGCAGCAATGGATAAATTCCTTGACACATACACTCTCCCAAGACTAAACCAGGAAGAAGTTGAATCTCTGAATAGACCAATAACAGGAGCTGAAATTGTGGCAATAATCAATAGCTTACCAACCAAGAAGAGTCCAGGACCAGATGGATTCATAGCTGAATTCTACCAGAGGTACAAGGAGGAACTGGTACCATTCCTTCTGAAACTATTCCAATCAATAGAAAAAGAGGGAATCCTCCCTAACTCACTTTATGAGGCCAGCATCATTCTGATACCAAAGCCAGGCAGAGACACAACAAAAAAAGAAAATTTTAGACCAATATCGTTGATGAACATTGATGCAAAAATCCTCAATAAAATACTGGCAAAACAAATCCAGCAGCACATCAAAAAGCTTATCCACCATGATCAAGTGGGCTTCATCCCTGGGATGCAAGGCTGGTTCAATATACACAAATCAATAAATGTAATCCAGCATATAAACAGAGCCAAAGACAAAAACCACATGATTATCTCAATAGATGCAGAAAAAGTCTTTGACAAAATTCAACAACCCTTCATGCTAAAAACTCTCAATAAATTAGGTATTGATGGGACGTATTTCAAAATAATAAGAGCTATCTATGACAAACCCACAGCCAATATCATACTGAATGGGCAAAAACTGGAAGCATTCCCTTTGAAAACTGGCACAAGACAGGGATGCCCTCTCTCACCACTCCTATTCAACATAGTGTTGGAAGTTCTGGCCAGGGCAATTAGGCAGGAGAAGGAAATAAAGGGTATTCAATTAGGAAAAGAGGAAGTCAAATTGTCCCTGTTTGCAGACGACATGATTGTATATCTAGAAAACCCCATTGTCTCAGCCCAAAATCTCCTTAAGCTGATAAGCAACTTCAGCAAAGTCTCAGGATACAAAATCAATGTACAAAAATCACAAGCATTCTTATACACCAACAACAGACAAACAGAGAGCCAAATCATGAGTGAACTGCCATTCACAATTGCTTCAAAGAGAATAAAATATCTAGGAATCCAACTTACAAGGGATGTGAACGACCTCTTCAAGGAGAACTACAAACCCCTGCTCAATGAAATAAAAGAGGATACAAACAAATGGAAGAACATTCCATGCTCATGGGTAGGAAGAATCAATATCGTGAAAATGGCCATACTGCCCAAGGTAATTTACAGATTCAATGTCATCCCCATCAAGCTACCAATGCCTTTCTTCACAGAATTGGAAAAAACTACTTTAAAGTTCATATGGAACCAAAAAAGAGCCCACATCACCAAGTCAATCCTAAGCCAAAAGAACAAAGCTGGAGGCATCACACTACCTGACTTCAAACTATACTACAAGTCTACAGTAACCAAAACAGCATGGTACTGGTACCAAAACAGAGATATAGATCAATGGAACAGAACAGAGCCCTCAGAAATAATGCCGCATATCTACAACTATCTGATCTTTGACAAACCTGAGAAAAACAAGCAATGGGGAAAGGATTCCCTATTTAATAAATGGTGCTGGGAAAACTGGCTAGCCATATGTAGAAAGGTGAAACTGGATCCCTTCCTTACACCTTATACAAAAATCAATTCAACATGGATTAAAGACTTAAACGTTAGACCTAAAACCATAAAAACCCTAGAAGAAAACCTAGGCATTACCATTCAGGACATAGGCATGGGCAACGACTTCATGTCTAAAACACCAAAAGCAATGGCAACAAAAGACAAAATTGACAAATGGGATCTAATTAAACTAAAGAGCTTCTGCACAGCAAAAGAAACTACCATCAGAGTGAACAGGCAACCTACAAAATGGAAGAAAATTTTCGCAACCTACTCACCTGACAAAGGGCTAATATCCAGAATCTACAATGAACTCAAACAAATTTACAAGAAAAAAACAAACAACCCCATCAAAAAGTGGGTGAAGGACATGAGCAGACACTTCTCAAAAGAAGACATTTATGCAGCCAAAAAACACATGAAAAAATGCTCATCATCACTGGCCATCAGAGAAATGCAAATCAAAATCACAATGAGATACCATCTCACACCAGTTAGAATGGCAATCATTAAAAAGTCAGGAAACAACAGGTGCTGGAGAGGATGTGGAGAAATAGGAACACTTTTACACTGTTGGTGGGACTGTAAACTAGTTCAACCATTGTGGAAGTCAGTGTGGCGATTCCTCAGGGATCTAGAACTGGAAATACCATTTGACCCAGCCATCCCATTACTGGGTATATACCCAAAGGACTATAAATCATGCTGCTATAAAGACACATGCACACGTATGTTTATTGCGGCATTATTCACAATAGCAAAGACTTGGAACCAACCCAAATGTCCAACAATGATAGACTGGATTAAGAAAATGTGGCACATATACACCATGGAATACTATGCAGCCATAAAAAATGATGAGTTCATGTCCTTTGTAGGGACATGGATGAAATTGGAAAACATCATTCTCGGTAAACTATCACAAGAACATAAAACCAAACACCGCATATTCTCACTCATAGGTGGGAATTGAACAATAAGATCACATGGACACAGGAAGGGGAATATCACACTCTGGAGACTGTTATGGGGTGGGGGGAGGGGGTAGGGATAGCATTGGGAGATATACCTAATGCTAGATGACGAGTTAGTGGGTGCAGTGCACCAGCATGGCACATGTATACATATGTAACTAACCTGCACAATGTGCACATGTACCCTAAAACTTAAAGTATAATAAAAAAAAGACAAAAAAAAAAAAGAATGTTACCTATTACCATTTCTATTCAACATTGTATTAGAGTTACCAGACAGTAAAGACAAGAAAAAGAAACAAAAGGTTTAAGTATGGGAAGAAAGGAAGTTACAAAGAGATTGAAAGAAAGAAAATTGTCACCATTTACAGATATTATTGTTCACATGGAATATATAAAAACTATATGTAAATTATTGGCCTTTAAAAGCAAGTTTAACAAAATAGCAGATACAAAAAATAATGATATGCAATTATGTCTTTCTTTACCAGCAACAGTAAATTAAAACATATAATTTCAAAAAGATAGTATTAACAAGAACAACAAAATATATAAAGTGCCTAGGAATACATCTTGAAAAACAATTTAAAAGACCTAAATGAATCAAGGGCTATTTCACATTCTTGCATTGAAAGACTCAACAGCAAAAATATGTCAGTTATTCCTAAAATGATATAGAGGATTTTTTGTAGAATGTAGCAAGATAATTAAAAATGTTTTATGATAATTCAATAATCCAAAAATAGCCAAGATACTCTAAGTATGAAGAACAAGGTTTGAAAACATATCCTACCACATATAAAGATCTATTATAAAGCTATACTAATTAAGACAGTATGGCATTGGTAAAGGAAGAAATAATCAAAGTAATCAATAGAAGACAGAGTCAGGAAACAAACCCATGCATATATAAAAACTTGGTTTTTCTCAGACAGTAAATTGCTGGAAAAAGAGTAAGCTAGTCAATAAATGCTGGGGTGATAGATTATATAGAAAAATATGAATCTCTACCTCACACTCTAATAAAAACCACTAGAAATTAATTTCTGGTAAGTTAGAGAAATAAATGTAAAAGGGAAAATTTTAAATGTTTAAAAGACAACATGTAACAATATTTTGTTATGGTTTCAGGAAAGTGAAGAATTTAATAAGCAAAGCATGACAACAAAACAACAAAGGAATAAATGGTAATTTTTCAACATTAAAATTAAGAGCTTCTGTTCATCAAAAGAAACCATGAAAGAGTGGAAAGGTGAGTCAAAAATAAGAGGAGATATTTACAGCACATATAACAAAAGATTAGTAACCAATATGTATGTAAAACTCCTATAAATCTACAAGAAAAAGATAAGCAACCAATTAGAAAAAAATGCACAAAATAAATAACAGACATTTCACAGAAGCAGAAACATTAATGGCTTATTGTCATCAGGAATCAGGGAAATGAAAATGAAAATAAGATTTCAATATACATATCACATATTGGCCAATTTAAAAATTGACAAGGCAGTGTGCTCGAAAAAAATACTTGGAAATAGGAATTTCTTCATCCTTTATCAGTAGAAATATAAATGAGTACAATTAGAAAAACACTGTGGTATTACTCAGTAAAGTTAAACCTGCATAAACCCTGTGACTAGCAGTTTCACTATCAGGTATATACTTTAGAGAACTTCTTGTACACATATGTACCAGGAGACATGTTCAAAGCTGCATTTTTTAATATCAAAAAGTTAAACAGCTCGAATGACCTTAACTATAGAATGAATAAACTGTAATAATGCTATTGATATGGTTTGGCTCTGTGTCCCCACCCAAATCTCATCTTGTAGCTCCCATAATTCCCACGTATTGTGGGAGGCCTGGTGGGAAATGACTGAATCAAGGGGGTGGGTCTTTCCCATGCTGTTCTCGTGACAATGAATAAGTCTCATGAGATCTGATGGTTTTAAAAACGGGAGTTTCCCAACATAAGCTTTCTCTTTGCCTGTGGCCATCCACATAAGATGTGACTTGCTCCTCCTTGCCTTCCACCATGATTGTGAGGCTTCCCAAGCCACATGGAACTCTGAGTTCTCCATTAAACCTCTTTCTTTTGTAAATTGCCCAGTCTCAGAGAAGTCTTTATCGGCAACATGAAAATGAACCGGTATTAGTATATAGTAAATTTTTGCAATAGATTATTAAACAGTAGTGAATAGAGCACAATTTATATATCAATATAGATGAATGTCAAAAACCCAAATTTGAGTGTAAGAAGCAGGTCACAGAACACCACATGCAGTATGAATCAATTTACATGTAATTAATAAAAGACAAAACTACACAATATGTTATTTAAGAATATTTATCACAAATGATAAAACTAGGAAAAATATGTAAGGAGCTATTTATTTAAAAATTCAGCAGCGCACCAGCATGGCACATGTATACATATGTAACTAACCTGCACAATGTGCACATGTACCCTAAAACTTAAAGTATAATAAAAAAAAAAGAAAAGAAAAAAAAAAAAAAAAATTCAGCTAGGCACAGTGGCTCACACCTGTAATCTCAGCTGCTAAGGAGGCTGAAAAGGAGAGATTCCTTTAGCCCAGGGGTTTGAGACCAGCCTGGGCAACATAACAAGACCCTGCCCTCTAGGTAGTGAGTGAGTTCTGTCCTCACGATAGTGAGTGAGTTCTCAAGAGATCTAGCCATTTAAAAGTGTGTGGCACCTCCCCCATCTCTCTCTCTTATTCTTGCTTTCGCCATGAGATGTTCCTGCTGCCTCTTCACCTTCTGCCATGATTGTAACATTCCTGAAGCCTCCCTAGAAGCTGAGCAGGGGTCAGCGCCACGCTTCCTATGAAGCCTGCAGAACCGTGAGTCAATTAAACCTCTTTTCCTTATAAATTACCCAGTCTCGGGTATTTCTTTCTAGCAATACAAGAGCAGAGTAATACAAGGGGTACATATGATATTTTGATACAAGCATAAATATGTAATCATCAAATCAGGGTAATTGAGATATCCACCACCTCAAATATTTATCATTTCTTTGTATTAGGAGCATTCCGGTTCCACTCTCTTAATTATGTGGAAATATGCAATAAGCTATTCTTAACTATAGTCACCCTATTGTGTTACCAAACACTAGACCTTATTCCTTCTACACAACTGTATTTTTGTGCGTCTTAAGCATCTCCTCTTTATCCTCCCCCTCCACCACCCTTCCCAGCCTCTGGTAACCATCATTCTACTCTCTATCTCCATGAATTTCAATTTTTTTAAGCTTTCACGTGACAGTAAGAACATGGAATATATTTGGTTTTTGCTATTACAAATAATGCTTCAAATGAATTTCTTGTACTTATTTTCCTATACACATATGTGTGAAATTCTCCGGAGTATATACTACCTAGAAATGAAATTGCTGACTTGAAGAATATGTGAATCTTTATAGTAATACTACACATTGTCAAAGTTCTTTCAAATTTGGCTATAACAATTTACATTTCTATCAAGTGTTTGAAATTTTCCTTTGCTCCATATCTTTGCCAAGATTTGGTATTGTTCAACTTCATGTCATTTTTTTCCAATCCAGGGGTTGTAAAAGTTATCTTATTGGTTTCACTTTCATTACTCTGGTTACCACTATTAGTAAGATTAATCAGTGTTTTTGTATTTAATAATTATCTAGTTTTCTCTTCTGCAAATTAATGGTTCATATTCTTTGCTATTTTTTCTAGTAGATTGTCTTTTTAATTTATTTGTAGGAATTCTTAGAAAGTCTGGATTCTAATTATTTGTTGGCAATATGCTTCACAAATATCTTCTCACAACATGACTTGTATTTTCATTTTTGTTGTGTATTTTATTAAACTGAAGTTTTAATTTTAACAAAGTCAAATTTACTAATTTTTTCCATTAATGCTCACCCTTTCTCTGATGTATTTTTTAAAGTATGTTCCTTACTTTGGGAGGCTGAGGCAGGCAGATCATGAGGTCAGGAGTTTGAGACCAGCCTGGCCAACATAGTGAAACCCCCGTCTCTACAAAAAATACAAAAAAAGTTGGCCTGGTGTGGTGGCAGATGCCTGTAATCCCAGCTACTCAGGAGGCTTAGGCAGGAGAATTGCTTGAACCCAGGAGGCAGAGGTTGCAGTGAGCCAAGATCACTACACTGCACACCACCCTGGGCGACAGAGCAAGACTCTGTCTCGGAAAAAAAAAAAGAAAAAAAAAAGGATGTTCCTACAGCATGTTGATAAGGATATATTCTTTATTTTCTTCAAGGTTTTAAGCTTTGTATTAAAATTTGCATTAAAATAAATCTAATGAATATATTTTTTGCACATGTTGTTAACATCAAATTTTATTTTTAAGTATGGAAAAACAATCATCCTAACACTATGTATTTGATAGCCTATCCTATTTCTGCTACTTTTAATATTACCTCTGCCTTTTCTTGTTTCTATGTTTATATACATCTGTTTCTAGGCTGTATATTCTTATTTCATTGGTCTATAATATGAATGTCATTTTGTATAAATTACTATGACTTTATAAATGTCTCAATCTCTTTGACTCTATAAATATCTCAATCTCTAAGGCAATTAAGAAGAAGCACAAAGGAGATATTTCATGCTTCTTAATTGTCTTAATTATTCTTAAGCCTTTGCTCTACTAAAGAAATTTTAGAATCAGCTTGTCAAGTCTGATGAAAAACCTCTTGTTGGTATGTTGATTGAATGAAATTGGATTTTTAAATTATTGATGGAAAATTGCTATTTTTATAATATTAACTGTTTCCATCCATAATGTGATATCTGTTTACACTTATTCAGGTCATTTATGTGGCCCTATATAATATTTCATAATTTGCTTTCATAATCTTGAACATATTTTATTATATTTATTTCTACATACATTGTAGTATTTGATTAGGATCTTTTCCTATTACATTTTCTAATTTATTATTACTTAGGTATATTAAGGTTACTAATTTTTTAAGTTGATCTCTTGAGTCTAGCAATCTTGCTGATCTCTGTTAGTAGTTTTATTACTATATCTACAAATTCTTTTAAGGTTTCTAAGTATATAATCATACCGCTAACAAATAAGTATATTTGGCTTCTTCCTTTCAAATGCTCGTGCCCTTTTCTCCCCTTTTGTCTTGTTAGATTGGCTAGGACCAACAAAATAATGTTTGTGAGAAGTAACTATAGTAGACATCTTTATCTTGTTTTAGTCTTCAGTGGGAAAGCTTCTAAAATTTATCCATTATGTATGTTTATGCAGAGTGTTGATGACTACACTTAATCAAATTAAGGAAGTTTCCATCTATTTGGATTTTCTTTTTTTTAAATTATTTTACTTTAAGTTCCAGATATAAGTGCAGAACGTGTAGGTTTGTTACATAGGTATATGTAAACCTGTATAGGTATATGTGTATACCCATATACATATACCTATACAAACCTGTATAGGTATATGTGTGCATTGGTTATTTTAATTTTCACAGTGAATTAGGTGAAATTTTATTGAATGCTTTTTCTACATTCATTGAGATCGTCATGTATTTTTTTCTCCCTTTATCTGCTAACGTGGTATGTTTCAATTGACAGAATTTCTGAACTTCAATTCTAGGATAAATCCCTCCTACCTGTATCTTTTTCTAAATTATACTGTGATATGGTTTGGCTCTGTGTCCCCACCCAAATCTCATCTCAAGTTGTAATCCCCAAGTGTCGACACACCTGGCGGGAGCTGACTGGAATATGGGGACAGTTTCTCCTTTGCTGTTCCCATGATAGTGAGTGAATTCTTATGAGAGCTGATGTTTTAAAAGTGTGTGGCAGTTCCGTCCCCAACTCCTGCCGCCATGTTAAGACGTGCCTGGCTTCCTCTTCGCCTTCTGCCATGATTGTATGTTTCCTGAGGCCTCCCCAGCCATGCAGAATTGTGAGTCAATTAAACCTTTTTTCTTTATAAATTACCCAGTCTCAGTAGTTCCTTGTAGCAGTGTGGAAATGGACTAATATAGGCTGAAATCTATTTAAGATTTTTTTCATCAATGTTTCCAACTGATCTGGTCAATAACCTCATTTTCTTATCATATCTTTGTCCAGTTTTGTTAGTAAGGCCATCTATTCTCTCAGACATTTTATTTAAAAAAGGATTTGGTAACATTTCTCTGTGGAACAATATGTATATGTTGTAGTTTGAATGAAATAATATGATTTTTAAATGCCTCATTATTTTGTATAAGATACTTCTAGTTGTCTACCCAATATCATTCTCCCTTCTTTCTTGTTGAGAGAACCCTGATTTGACATATACTTGTTTTGGGAGGTATCCTTACTTCCATTATTATTACTAAATAATAATAATGTCTTTTAGTATATAAGCAATTACTCCCTTATCTTCCCTGCTAACACTTTTCCATTTGCACCTGCCCCTCCCATCACCACATGCACATGTCTCAATCCACTACCTGTTCTTATGTGTGTATTTCAGAGCTCCTGCTCTGCTATGATAGCAGAGATAATGCAAATCCCAGTACAAAGTCAGAGGACCATCTAGCCCAGTTCTTGATCATGAGTCTATGGCTTTTTCCTCCTGCTTGTTCAGGGCAAAAGCTTTAATAAAGATATAGTCAGGGCAGCAAGTCAACAGCAATCATTTCACTCTCCTTGTAGGCATGAGAGCCCCAGAAAAGCCTTTCAGTAAGTGAGCCCAGCTCAGGACTTTTAGTCTTATTCCCCTGTAGGAGCCCAAAGCCTTATGGCCATCTTCCAACCCAGAGCCCAGCAAGCCCATGGCACCAACTCTGCTTATCACTTTGTGTCTTTTGGTTATGGTTTGAATGTGTTCATGTATGTTGGAAACTTAATCCCCAAAGCAACAGTGTTGAGAGATATGGAACTCTCAAAGGTGATTAGGTCATGAGGGCTCTGCACCCCTCCCGCCATGTCATACCTCTCACATGACATGGTGGAAGGCATCTCATGGTGAGAAAACATGTGAGAGCTGAGCTCATCCTTCATAAGGACATTTCTTCCATAACAGATTAATGACATTAATCTATTCATGAGTGCAGAGCCCCCGTGAATAGATGAATGCCATTATCAAAGGAGTAATGTCCTTATGAAGGAGGAGTTCAGCTCTCACAAGTTTTCTCACCATGTGATGCCTCTTGCTATGTCATGACAAAACAGGAAGGCCCTCACCAGATGTGTCCCCTCAACCTTGGACTTCCCAGCCTCCAGAACCACGAGCAAAATAAATTTCTGTTCATTATAATTACTCAGTCTGTGTTACTCTGTTGTAGCAGCCTAAAATTGGCTTTTGAATTTTTTGCCTCAAAATGTTTACCTAGTTTGGGGGTCTAGTCATGTTTTCTGGTTGTCTCTTTCTACATTTTATTTATTATTTCCATTTGCTTGAAACAAAATGGGTGAGTCTAATGGTAAATTTACTGTCAGCTCTGCAGGAAATGATTTTCAAATATTCTTTAGAATAAACAAAGTAACAAAATTTCTAACTAAGCTAAGAACCCTAATAAAATGTGTATTATTGCTCATTTTCTTCCAGAAATCTATTGTTTAAGCATTCACCTATCCTAGGCAGGAGGATTTGGGGGTCCTAATCACCAAAAAGGATGTTGTAATTAATAATGCTAGTAATTTCCTCTATTAAATAGGCTATATATTACTGCACATTGAAATATACATTAACTATATAATAGGATGAACATGAGAAAGTTCTAGTTTTGAAGACCCAACTTTACTAAATACAAGAATGGGTATCTTTTGCTCTTAGTCTCATGAAAGTTAGAAAGGTTGAACTTTTATTTCTCAAGGAGCAGATACTAGATATACATACCATGTTGACTCAAGCCCACAGGAAACACATGGACACTTTGGCTTCTGAAAATGGATACAAGAGACCTCAACTTCATTCTCTGAAGCTTGGAAGACATGGCTCATTTTTGAGTTACACTTCCCTGGAATTCTAAAGAATATCTGGCTATTACTGCCAGGTCTTTAATAATATGCCCCACAGAATTACTGGTTTTCCAGTAAAGTTTATAATATGCTATTCTTCAAGAAAGATCTCAGGTTGAAAATATCCCTCATGTCAGAAATGTTTGCAAACATTATATACTACTTTCAAATCTCAAATTTCAGAGTCTGGTGCCATAAACATCTGTAGAGATCATCTAGTCCAGTTTCTTTATTGCACAGATGAATAAACAGAGGGCTAAAAGGGTGACTCCATTTCTCACCATGGGTCCAAACCCAGTGTCTTGATATCCAGTTCATCAGACTTTCCATGGTATTCTTCAGGCTCCTACATTCTTAAGAAAGTAGCTAAGATAATTTCATCTGGTTGAAGCTGTAGGGCTTTCCCAGAGAAGGTAGGGCAATGTCCCATGAAATGAGACCAGTAGGCCGAGTTCCCAAAACATGTGACCTTTAGAGCTCTGGGCATCCAGGGATCAGGTCTGCCACTTTGTGTGCTTCAAAGGTGGCAATCAGCACCAGGTTTCCCTTTTTCCATTCCGCTTTTAAAACCTGGGGGTTCTCTCCAGTTCTCCAGTTACTCGCCTACATAACTATTTGACAACATGTGCTTTGACATGTCTTCTTTTTAACACCTACTATTGGGAACTTCCTTTCTGCTGAGGTAATTCTCCATAGCTTTGAGGTCTGCTACCCAAGGTAAAAAAGCGTATTTGTTTCTTTCTAACTTGTTGGTATGGTTGCCTCAATTTAGCACTTCGTTTTATTGCTTTTTAATTGTCAAATAAAAATTGTATATATTTATGTGTGTATACACAGTGGAATAACTAAGTCTAGCTAATTAACATATATATCAATCACCTCACATGCTTATGATTTTTTTAGAGGGTGAAAAAACTTAACATCCACTTCCTTAGCAATTTTTAAGTACAATTTATGAACTATAGTCACCATGATATACAATAGATTTCTTGAACTTATAACTCCTGTTTGTGGAATTTTGTGTCCTTCGACCAACATCTCTCAATCTCCCCACCCCCATAGCACTTCACTTTAAATGCGCAAATACGGCCTCTTTTTCTAAAAGCAATAGTTGTTTCATAATGGAGCTATTACGTTGTATTACTGGAAGGATGTTTTACCACATTCATTACCAAAAATAATAAAAGGCATTAATTGCCTGGTAATAGCCACTCCCTCATACACACAGGGGCAAAGTTATATAAATTGATACAGATTACAACCTTAATTTATTTTGCCACTGAATATCCCCAGAGAAAAAGAAAGCTCAGGGGTAAAAATATGTAGTCATTTTGAAGCACTTCAGAATTACTGTGTTCTTAAAACATTTCCAAATACCAATAAACATGACTAAGGTCATGGCTATATTCTGAGAACATGTATGTTTGAAGAAAGAATTAGCTATGCTTAGGAGTATAGGCATTAATTTACTAAATGGGAAGAACTTTTCTTAGTGAAAGCCTACTCTGAGACCTGAATTGCTCAGTATTATTTCTTATATGGTCATATTTAGCTGTTTTGTTTTTTGAATTATCTGGACAACTGACAAATTTCCACTCTGATTCACTGTGACAATAGACTGCATAGGTCATATAAAATGACATTTTTTAAAAATTTACATTGCAATGTTTTAAATTTGTTGG
Source organism: Homo sapiens (assembly GCF_000001405.40). NCBI lineage: Eukaryota > Metazoa > Chordata > Mammalia > Primates > Hominidae > Homo > Homo sapiens. Next base: position 117,260,240 of record NC_000006.12, read on the forward strand.
ATAATGCTGCGAGTTTAATTATTTTAAAAATTAGTTGTCTCATGCTTCTCCTAAAGAAAGATGAAACAATAATACCACCTGGGGAGGTTTAATTTCATAGTCCACAACTGGACTTTCATCTTCAAATATGATGTGAAACATTTATAGTATGAAGTTAAGAACAAAAATTAAAAGTATTTCAATTTAACGACTACTATTCACACTTCCTTTCTGCCAAGGTAACTCTCCATAGCTTTGAGGTCTGCTTTCCAATGTAAAAAGGACCTTTGTTTCTTTCTAATGTGTTGGTATGGTTGCCTCCATTCAGCACTTCGTTTTATTATTTTTAAGTGCCAAATAAATAAAACAAACAATGGCAGTGTAGCATTCCATGCTAAAAATTATTCCATGCATGCAAAGAAAAACTTCCTATGAGAATTGTTTAAAAGCTGTTTTAAGAGCTCTTGATACAAGTGACAGGACACCACACTCCACACTCAGATGGATATCTTCACCTTCAGTCTGTTATTGCTGTGGTCTCCTTTTAATCCCTTCAGCATCCTGCTGAAATCAAGTTTATAAACAGAAGTTTGAGAATGGATCAACACCAACACTGTCAAATATCTAAGTCAACAGTTTAAATCCTTTAAGTCTACTTCCACTTTCTGAATCTGTAAATTCCTCTATCTCCCTATATCTTACAAAAGTAGTTTCACAAATATGTTAGTTGTGAGGCTTTCTCCAAACTGTGTGTCTTTAAAGAAAAGCAAATGATAGCATCAGAAATTATAAGCAATTAGAGCTACTTTTCCAGGCAAAGCAGAGATGACAGGCAATTTCTTCCTATTAAGAAATAATTGATATGTGCTCTCAGACTTAGCTATGCATGTCCAAGTATATCTTATACAATGTAAATTTCCTTCTAATTTTTTCTCTTGTGAAAATATGACAAGGCAAAACATTTGACACACATCTATTTTAAGTGTCCCTTTTTTGCTATTTGTATGTTACCATTGTTAAAGGATTGGGTCACATGAATTGAATTTGTATAATCTTATCTTTATATAACCATTTCATAGAGACTCATTAAAAAGAACTCATTTCTAAAAAGATGAATACGGTTTTAGTTATATTCCCCAGTCTTAGAAATGGGCACAAATGTTAACATGAATACAAGATAAACTAAATTCAAAAGATTGCAATTATTTCACCAAAGCTAAAGTTGACATGTACATAACATAAAAATAGGGTTTTAAATATGTAAAGAAGGAAAAGTTCAACATTCTTTTAATAATCCTCTATATGTCAATAAAAGTAACTTTATCTATTCATTTGAACTGACTATAGAAGATTTTTACCTGGAAGCACTGTTAAGAGCTACTCAAAGTTTGTATGAAAATAACTGAACCATCTTTTACTTATTTTTTTCACTAAGTCAAACTGTAATTCCTCCCCACTTAGCTTTTTAGTGAGGTTTCAGGATGCATGGATTTCTCTATTTCCCCCTTTTTTTCTTTAAAATTAAATCACCATTCAGTCCATTACTACAGTATTATTCCTAACTAACAGATCATGCCTGAAAACCCTGGCTTTTACAGAAATGTTTTTAACTAATATTGTTAACAGCTTGAATCCACAAAATCTTCTCAGCTACTCTCCCAAATCCAAACACAACTCCTGTCAGTAAAACATGAAAAAAATGAGTTTGTGGGGGAAAATCTGTGAGGTTACCATTGTGTTTATCCCCCTCGGTTGGCAACATGAAATGCCAACTCATGATTTAAATAAACCACTGGCAACGAAGGGCCTGGCTGGCTGCAAGTCAGTTCTCCAAATCAGTTCTATTCAAGTATCCTTGCTAAGCAGTGTCTTTGCGGTTTTCAGAATAAGACGACACAAGTGACAGATAGATTCAGAGATAATGAAATCAGCTAGTTTACGAAAGTGAGAGGTAAACCTTTCTGAAGAGAAAACAGGTATTTCATTGAGTTGCTATCTTGAAACATTTACTTGTGCTAAAGTAATTTAATTTCACTTATTAACTTCAAGACTAAAGGTGTCTTTATTTTCACAGTATAGATGCTGTTAGAATTGCAGAATAGAACTAGGATATTAAAAAAGAAATTTTGGTGCAATTTACTTTCATATAGCTCTTTCCTAGCAGTTCAATAAATGGCCATTAATCGATCATAAAGTGAAATTCTTTTCAAAGAGAAGTTTTGATACTCCCTCTGCCCAGTTAAGGAGTTAAAAGCCAATTCCACGCAACTGGGAACAGTTTATCTCACTGGGGGCTTCGGGCCCAAATTCAGGGACATCTGTTTGTTTTTCAGTCTCTTCTTGAGGAAGAGGACTCCAGAGGGAAGGAAAGATAATTTTCTCAACCTGTAGCCCATTCCCAAGACTCTGAATCTAAATCTAACTTCTTCAACCTTGATAATGTGCTGGTGGTTTGAATGGCTGGGAGAGTAAAGGGGATCAAATTTAGCTGTGTTTTACTTTCCGCTTCAGCGTAGAAACAAGAGGCAATCTCATGCGATTGAGAAGTACCACCCTCCTGTAAATGACAACTTTTCAGACATAGAGAAAAGACGAAACATTCTCCAATCTTTGGGACGTGTTTTAAAACTCTGGGATGTTTGTTTTTCTTCCTTCACTGTGGATTTAGGGGGAATAAAATGGTTTCCTTCCTAAATTCTAGATTGATGCTCACTGACCCAATTCCTTGTGTTCCTTCGAACTCCTGTGCAGTCCATACCCTCGCTTAGCTTCAGTGAGATTTTTAAAATTGTTTCAAGTAAGAGGAGATTGAGTAATGTGAATGTAAAGCAGCCTTAGGCAACTAGAATAATGTTCTCTTCAATTTCTTCGTCTGAGATACGCAAAATCGTTCTTCCTGTAATCCTTTCCGAAAATAACTTTCTGTTGGGCCTTGTTGGACTTGGAGAGGTTGTCATGATTTTCTCTGGAAATTGCAAATAAATAAATAAATAAAAAGGTCTTCTAGTACTATAGCCATCGTAAAATTTAAAAATGTCAAAGTGACCGGGTACTGGGAATAGGAGGTAGCTACTGGAAGGTGAGCAAGGACAAAAGCAGGGTTTCCATGCATTGGTTGGACATGCTAGTGGAGCTTGCCTTCCGCCGCTTCCCACCCACCAACCCCCATTCCCCCTGCACAACACTGCCAAGCCCAGGCTGCTCGAAAAGGAGCCGGCTTCAGCCACCGATGTTCACGCCCAGAGATGTCCAAAACGGAACCTCCGTGTCCAAGGAGGGACTGCGGGACTTGCGCGAAAGTGGGGGACCGGACCCTCCGGGGCCACACCCGCCCGCCCCGTGGAGTCCCTGGTGCGATGGTTGCGTTGACACCTGTACTCCTGCGGGCCTGGGTGAAGCCGACCCAGCAGAAAGGGTGCGCAGCAGCGGCCAGCGAGACTGGGACCTGAACTCCCCATCTCCCGCACACAGAAGAGCGTACTGTGGCTCTTTGGATGAGGGTTTCCTCTCTTGCCCCAAAGAAAATGATGATAGGTGGTTGTACCTATCTTCAGAAACGCCTAGGGAGGGCACATTGGGGTGGAGGTGGGATGGATGTTCTGCTTCACCCTTGCGCCTGGATAATCAGAAGCTCCAGAAGCTGGCAGATTTCATCCAACAGGCAGCTTGGCCCCTAAAAAGAGGCTTGCATGGAAATGTACTAGAAGAGTGTCTTTATTTTAACTTTTCATTGATTAGAAAACTTTACATAGATTACATTGTTGTTAATTAAGGAAATTGTCGAATCGCTCAAGATGGCTCACCAGTTACAAGCATTTGGAGACACGGAGCCATTTCCCATCTATAAATTGGGCAACACCAAAACTGCAACCCTAAAACAATTTGGCTTAAAATACTCACTTTTAAAACACAAATAGATCTTCAAGGGTTCATTTATTCACAGTCTTATAGCCTGAGACTCTATAAAGACTTTCTGTTGTATTTAAGCTGGGGAATAACTAGGGTTTGAAATCCATGCTGCCTCTTTCTTGAGTCTAGACTCTTAATGCTCCCAACCTGTTCCCTTGGTCCCCCCAAGTCTGGCCCGCCTCTATTCCCGTAATGCCCCTTCCGCCACCTGACCCAGCCATGGAGATAGCCTTGTCTCAATGCATTCCTAAACTTATAGAACTGAAGACTCCACTGTTACACCCCCTTTCCAGAGGGCTTGGTGGGGGGTAGGCTTGAGAAGGATGGGTAGGGTCGCAGGAAGGAGGGCGAAGCCAGCAGACCTCTCAGGGAGGGCCGGAGAGAGAAAGGGGTGAAGGTTTTATAGTTGGAGTGCATATACTTCCAGCTCTCCAAAATGAAACATACCATCGCAGCTGGTATTACCGGCTGAATAGGCAGCAAAAGACCTCTCTGTGTACGGGTCCTAGTATGCTTCTTCTTAGCGCCAACGAGTCCTTGTCCCCAAAGTTGCCAAAACTTTAAAGGACCCCGGCCAAGGAGACCCCAGCATGAAAAGCCAGACATCCGAGGCCGGGTAAAGCCTCCTGGACTCCTCGAAAGCAGCTCACACCGGGAGCAGCCGGAAGCGGGCGCGATCTATGCGAAGCTAACGGGTTCCGGTGGAGAACATCAAAGAGAAAGGAGCAGGATCGAACTTTAGAGGGGCAGAAGGGCACGGCCCAAGAGAGCAGAATTGGGGTGTGGGACAGGCGGCGGGAGGACCAGGTTAGAGGGAGCGAAAGGAAGTGGATTAGAGGACAGCGGTTACAGGTTTCAGCCACTGCCATTTCCCCGCAGAGGTAGCTCTTCTGCGCCCTGGAGGGGTACCCGGACTCCCACATCCTGTCTGCCACGACCCGGACTCCCTAGGGGATTCCAAGGGACAGCACCGTCCTCCCCATACATCATCAGGAACCGAAAGCAGAGAATTTGCCCCACCTCGGCACTTCTGGAAGCACCCACTCAACTACAGTATGAGACAAGGGCTTTCCTAAGAGACCTTTCTCCAACTTTCTTTCTCTGCGTGTATGAGCCCGGATCCCTTCGTCCCCGCCTCCTTCTCTCTCTCTCTTTCTCTCTCTCTCCTATTTTGTCCTGGGAGATTCCTACTCGCGGTGCGAAGCCTCGGATCCGCTGGGAACCGCATAGTCTCCGGCACCCTTGGCCGCATGCTTGTCAGAGGTGGGCCCCGGGAAACACACTCGCTGCCCCTCCAACAAGCGTCCCTCGCTCCCCATTGGCCCCCCGGTCCCCGCCCCCCACCGCCCCCTCCCGCTCCGCAGCCCCCGAGTGGCGTCAGCACGCCCGCCGGGCATGGGCTTTAAATGCCCACTAGCGGGAGCTCAGGCGCTTCTGCCCTGGAGCGCGGTCGGGAGTAAAATCGCAGGAGTGGGAGGGTAGCGAGCCAGCTGGATTCCGAGCCGCGGAGCGCGCTGGCTTTGCTCCGCCTGATGACTCCAGAGCGCGGGTCCAAGCGCCGCCCATGCAGCACCCCTGAGCTCCGGGGAAGGAGAGTTAATGAAAAAACACTTAACCGTCTCCGCTGCGGAGAGTCATGAGCTGTCTGGATGTTATGTACCAAGTCTATGGTCCTCCGCAGCCCTACTTCGCAGCCGCCTACACCCCCTACCACCAGGTACGTGTCTCCTCTGGGGACTTTGGGAAGGAGTGCGCGCCCCCCGTTTGCGGCGGCATGGCCTGTACGCCAAGGTCTGCTGTGCCTCCGCGCGTCTCGGGCGTCCGACCACGACCGGCGCAGCCGGGATGCGGGGATTGCCGGAGCCGCCCCCAGTTGGTAGTGCAATTAGCTAACCCCTTTAGCTCGCCTGTTTGCTCTCGGGAAGCAGCTAAGCCCTGCTAATGTGAGCCTAGGTCTTCCCTGGAATAATCAGAGGAAGATGGCACGGGCTGGATTTTCTTCTTAGGGTCTGTCGGACTCCAGATTCTTCCAAGCCAGGTGCAGGTACCAGGAAATGCAGGCAAAGCTGACGCAGGAAAAACCAAACTTTGGTCCCAATGGTGAGAGTAACAACAAAACCAAAAGCGAAGGCCAGCCAGCCTCTTTCTGAGATGCAAGGGCCGGTGTTCTCATCCCTGCAAGTTTATCTCAGGAATAATTTCTTCCGTTTCAATTCTCTGGCGACCAGGGCAATTAATTCCAGATCCAGAGAATTCATTTCAAAGAGCACCGCGCAGTTTTATAATTTTTTCCTTTGCGAAGTTCTGGGAGCATTATCCGGAGTGCGAATGACCCGGCAGAGGCGAGCCTGATAGACAATACTTTGCCTTTCTCCAGCCTGAGTAGGTGAATGGGGAAGCCCTGCTTCCAACAAACACTTTAAGAAGACCACTCAACCCGGGTTCTGCAAACTCTTCAAGTTCCATTTAATTCTGCCAGTTTCTCTTGTCTTCAGGCTGCGTCTGTTTGAACCATTTTCCTTCCATTTCCTCAGCTGAGGTAGCAGAAACTGAGGACAGTAGTGCAGGAAAAGAATGAAATCATACACCTGGGAGGCTGTAGGGGTCCCCTCCAGGTTGGAAAGTGAGAGCTTGGTCACCTGCTTTGGGGAAATTGAAATACACCCCAATGCCCCAGTGGATGCTTTTGCTAATTTTGCCTGCAAATTTAAAATGTCTATTCGAAAATTTCCCGATAAATTAATGATGGACCGGATAGGGTTCACTTTTTGTTTTCTTACCTCCTCTTCTCTTTTAAACTTCACAACTTGCAGTTTGTTTTGCCTCAGTGTTAATTTTAAGAATCACCAGAGTTCCTCTTGTAGGGAAGGTGGCATTTAGGAAGTGGTGATATTGCTAAATCTTACATCGTTTTGTCCCCAATTATTTCAAACCTTTTGGCTCCAGCTTCTGAAATGTACTTCTTCCCAGGGTGGGACTATGGCAAGCAAAGAGGAGAGAGGTGGATTGGTTTTCTGACTGGCCCTTTCTTCTCCCAGACCCCGAACCAATCTATTGCATGAAGATCTCTGTTCATTTTTGTATGACTCGGGCCGCCTCTTCAAGGCCATCTCTGCCTGCAGAATGCTTTAACACTTCATTCAGTCCATTGCTCATTTCTAAGAAAATGTTCACAGAAGCTGCGCCTGCTTTTTAAAATCACTATGAGACATGCCGATTTACCCCACCTCACAGCCAGGATCTTAACTTTCTTCTGTCTGCTCCTTTTTATCATTTCCTCAATGTGTGTGGAGATGATGGGGGTGGAAATACTCGTAATCCACTGGTCTTTCGTTATTAAAGAGAAGATCTGTTTAAAAACTGATATAGGGATAATAAAAAAAAAATCAACTTGCATTTATTAAAATGATCCGTGTTTCCCCAGTCATGTTACCCCAGATTTTTACCCCACACAATTCATTACTAAATGTAATTATTTCAAACTTTTTGTGGCATTTCTTCCTTTACATTCCTGTTGCTTTCCTTCACACATTCCTAGTTTCAGGGAGTGGATTTTGTAGGGGTAGGGGGTTGCCCCCCGCTCCTATTTCATCAGGAGGATGTTTATCCTGTATCCTGTGCTTCTGCCCTGGATTCTCAGGCAAGGAACAGTCAGGCTCTATCTGGACTTGGGTGCCCTTTACCCTTGGAGTCTGATTTTAAAAATATATCTGCCCTGAGCCCAGCTATGAGGTCAAACTCAGCTCTAAACCTAGCTGCTTAGGTGTCTCCTGAAACCTTCACCCAGACATTTTAGGAGAAATTTTCTAGGAGTCAGAGGGACCAAGGACAGCAATCTTCCTTTAAGGAAGCCCGTCCTTGCTTGGGTGCAGGTTGGGAGGCCTGCTAACTATGTTGCCCCGCTATTGCTAGTTTTATGCTAACAGCACAAGGCTTAAGCCCATATGCCAGTTTCCCCATAAATACCTTAGAGATTAGGATGAGGGAATCAGTCTGAACCGAATTTGCCATCGCTTTTGAAATTGATATCTCTGTTCTTTCTCTCTCTGAACAGAAACTAGCCTATTATTCCAAAATGCAGGAAGCGCAGGAGTGCAATGCCAGCCCCAGCAGCAGTGGCAGCGGCAGCTCCTCATTTTCCAGCCAAACCCCAGCCAGTATAAAAGAGGAAGAAGGCAGCCCAGAGAAAGAGCGCCCACCAGAGGCAGAGTACATCAACTCCCGCTGCGTCCTCTTCACTTATTTCCAGGGGGACATCAGCTCCGTGGTGGATGAACATTTCAGCAGGGCCCTGAGCCAACCCAGCAGCTACTCTCCTAGCTGTACCAGCAGCAAAGCACCAAGGAGCTCTGGGCCCTGGCGAGGTGAGTATAGGGCCCTGCTGGGAAGGACCCATAGGGGGTCCTCTCAGCCTGGGGTTCACCTACAGGAGCCTAAAAACATGCAGCTGAAAAGAATATTAGGTGTCAGAGAAGGTGTGCAGAGGAGCATTTGGAAAGGGTAAGGAAAACGCAGGGGTAAAGGGCATGGATATAAGAAAAAACTCCTTGGAAAAAACACTATCCTTGGAATTGGAAGACCTAGGTTTGTGTGTTGGTTCCACCACTTCCTAGCAATATAACCTTGGGCAAGTCTCAACCTCTTTGAGGTCACTCTATTTACTGCTCTCTTAAAGTAGAATAACACTTACCCTCCTAACCCCAGAGAAGGCTGTAAGACTCCAACAAGAAAATGGATGCAAATATGCCGTCAAAAACGTGAGGTTTCCAGCACCCTCCCAAACCAGTGAGTGAAGGAGCTTCACTCTAAAGAGCACTTTCCCAATCTGCCAACATTTTCCCAGAGGAAACAGTTCTAGAGCTCCATGCAAGCAAAACCTGTTTGAGAATGTCTCCTAAAACCTACCTTTGCCTTTCACCAGGCTCCAATTGCTTGAGAAATCTTGAAGCAGAAGCGTCTCAATAGCAAGTAAAATAACAAAGAAACAAAAATTTAGATACAGCCAGAACACCTCTAAGAGTTTTCCCAAAACACATCCCCTTTTTATTTTTCTACCTTCCCCCACAAAGCACTGCTTTTTTCTACCCTAGGACAATTATTTGTTGGACAACTCAACTAAATCTCCCTTCTATTCTGAAATCTCAACTTCCCTTTATTACCAACAAAACAAAGGTGGGGGAACCATTAAGTAAACTTGGCTCACTAAGCTGTATTTGATGTGTACCAAGCTGAGAAAGGGGGACTTTGTTGTAAAAACAAAAACAAATTTTCATTTGTCTTTGGGAGGGAAATTACAACCTTCACCCCCTTTTTTCCCCCTTAAGAGACGCTGGCAGTTTGCATAAGGCTTGCCCTTAGACAAGATCCAAAAAACATTCATTTTAAATACAGAACATTCTTTTTATTCTCTGCCTAAATATGTTTAACAGGAAGACTCTTCACCACTTAGAATGCATTTTCAAATCATTTAAAATTCTCTAGTTTATCGTGCAGATGCCTTCCACAGAGGAGGTGTTCCATAAAGGTTCCATGAATTAAATATCTGTCTTTCTCTCCCTTCTTACTAATGGCAACAAATTTGATCTAAACGCTGTTCTCTTAAAATGCTGTCACGGGCTAGGAACCAACAGTGACACTGACAATAGTAATAATAATTATTATTATCCCTGGCGTCCTCGTTTTGATACAAAAGTTAATGAAAACTTAGGATAAAAGACCTGTCTATTCGTGTCCTTCTGTGCAAATAATAGAGCTGCCCTTTAATGCGACTAGTTTACTCTTTTGCTTGAGTTTTTGGAGAAAAATATTTGAAAGAAGGTTTCTAGAAAGAAAACTAACAATAGCAAGACTTCAAAATATGTCGATGGACTTTCAGTCTGTCAGAGACGTTAGGTGGTGGGGGGCACATTTTCTGGAGCAAGAAGGCTGAAACGCGAGAGGGGGTAGTGAGATCACTAGGCGGCCGACCAAGAGTGGGAAGAGGTATCGTTAGCTTGGGGAGAGGTTAAGGCTAGGAAAGGGAGGCCGTGCTGCGCTGAGTCGCGGGAAGCTCCTTGAGCTTCAAGGACTTGAGTCGGGGAGGGAGTCTCTCCGCTCTTGCTACTCTACCCGCCACTTGGTTTCCGCACTGAGGACTCGGCTGCGAAATGGGAGGAAGCAGGCCTCCTTTTCGTGGGTTCCCAGAAGCCCCCATTTTGCAGTTCCCCCACCTCGCTTTCACAGGTTGCAGCCCCCTTAGAAAAACGCCGCTGCAGAGGCGGGGGCTGCCCATCAGCCCCGGCCATGGCTAGCCAGCCCTGTGCCCGCCCGGCGCCTTCGTCTCTCGGGCGGGACGTGCAGGTCGGCGCTGAGTCCAGCCGCAGTGACACGCACCTCTTTTCCTTTCCTCCACTCCGCCTCCCCGGCCGGCCTACAGACTGCTCCTTCCCGATGAGCCAGCGCAGCTTCCCCGCCTCCTTCTGGAATAGCGCGTACCAGGCGCCAGTGCCCCCGCCGCTGGGCAGCCCTCTGGCCACCGCGCACTCGGAGCTGCCCTTCGCCGCCGCCGACCCCTACTCGCCCGCCGCGCTGCATGGCCACCTGCACCAGGGCGCCACGGAGCCCTGGCACCACGCGCACCCGCACCACGCGCACCCGCATCACCCCTACGCCCTGGGCGGCGCCCTCGGCGCCCAGGCCGCCCCCTACCCGCGCCCCGCCGCCGTGCACGAAGTCTACGCGCCGCACTTCGACCCGCGCTATGGGCCGCTGCTGATGCCAGCCGCCTCGGGGCGCCCGGCCCGCCTCGCAACCGCCCCGGCGCCCGCGCCCGGCAGTCCTCCCTGCGAGCTCTCCGGCAAAGGCGAGCCGGCGGGCGCCGCGTGGGCCGGGCCCGGGGGACCCTTCGCGAGCCCCTCGGGGGACGTGGCCCAGGGTCTGGGCCTCAGCGTGGACTCAGGTAAGCAGAGGAAGAAGTTTGGTCTCCGCGGAGCCGCTCGGCCCCGTACCCGACCCTGGGCTGTGCCTAGACCCCTTAATCCTCCTTGGAGACCTTGAATTCTGTGGCCCAAGGATCTGCATGCCACGGTCGTGTTTCCACTGATACATGGCCCTGTGCCATGCGTGTAGGCGGGATGAGAAAGTAGGACCCTACCCTAACCTGGCTGGTAAATGTTACAGAGGACTTTTAAAATAATAATAATAATAATAATAATAATGATAATAATAATAATAATAATAATAAAATTTAGTGGAAAAGTTCTAGCTCTGCGCTGTTCAATACTGTAGCCGCTAGCCACTTGGGGCTACTGAGCACTTGGCACGTGGTGAGGCCGAATTAAGATGTGCTGTCAGTGTATAATACACACTGGATTTCCAAACCTTTGTGCAGAAAAAGAATGTAAAATTCATCTCGTTAATACTTTTACATTGATTACATGTTGAAATATTTTCAACACATTGCATATCGATTATAAAAAGTTTCATGTTTCTTTTTACTTTTTTTCCAATTCTGGCTACTAGAATATTTAGAATTATGCTTATGGCTCCCATTGTATTTCTATTGGACAGCGGTGATCTAGAGTAGCTGCTGAGAGTACAATTTAAAATCTTCTGTGGCTTGGGGGATCTTGTCACCTAGTGATAGTTGTAAGGAAAGAAAAATGTGATCCTGGTATCAAGTTAATTGCCAAATAAAATAGATCTCTTAAAAATGTAAATCTTAAAGAATATTTTAAAATGACAATCCTAAGTCTTTGGCTTAAAGTATTTGCAACGTACAGTCTAATAAGGGCTTGCTTTTTTGCCTTCTTTTCTTATTTTTAGGGCAAATGAAAGAAATAGTTATATAATAAGTGCAATCACTGGCTTTATAGTCTGCCCACTGCCCCTTTCCTCAAGTGATTTGACTTTTCGGTTTGCTTTGCTTTTACTTTCAGTCACCGCCCCCCTCCCCACCCCGCCCCCAACTTTAGGTGAAGTCTGTGACTTTCACAATAAAACAGTGGTGTTTTGTCCTTCTTTCCTTAAATATCTTGTGCCTTCCCTCCCCCATTCCTTCTTTCTCCCTCCCTTTGTCTTCCTCCTCCTCCTCTTCTTCTTTGTTCTCCTCCTTCTCCTTCTCCTTCTTCTTCTCTCTCTCCCTCTCCCTCTCTTTCCCTCCCTCTCCACCTCCTCTCTCTTTTATCTTCTCTCTATTTTCAGGTTTGCAGCCTCAGGACAAAAGCAAGGATGTGTACTGGTTTTAGACCGCCCACCTTCTTCCCTGTAGGTCTCTGCATAGTGCAATTGATGGCACTCAGAGCTGAAATGGAGTGGGTTTGTAACAGCTTCTGATCTTGGTTTGCAGCTCGTCGTTATTCCCTCTGTGGTGCATCCCTCCTGAGCTGATCTGCTGACCCAGGGTTTCCCCTTCCCCTTCCCTTCTGACCAGCCTTGGAGGCTCAGCATCTGTGCCTCTCACTCCGTGGATGAGGACATGGGGGAAGGCAGAGACTTCAGACTTCTCAGTGTGTTGGGAAAACCAAAAACCACAACTACAGAAATTCATCTAAAAATAAGTCCTGCTGCTGAAAGAGCAAATCCAAAGACTGAGTTATGTTTAATGACTTTTGGCCGAATCACTGGAAATATCTGTGGTGAGATTGCTGAGTCAGGTGATGTGATATCATAAGCTTTCTTGGAACGGGGGAAAGAAAATGAAACTTTTTGGTGTGAATATTTTTTATGCTGATGTGAATTATTTTGTTAGGTAGTGTGATTATAGCACTACTACTGTCAGATTTTAAATTGTATGTGTACTTGCATCTAAGACTGTGGTAGAGAAGTAAAGAGAAGTCAATTCCTTCTTCCTCACCTCTCAGCCTCCAGATCCCTTCCTGCCCATCCCTTCCCTACAATGCCCACTCCAGACGCAAAGATACACTTTTTTCCTTTGGACTGTGAACATGGAAGCCTCAGCCTGAATGTGAGTGGCAAGTGGCTTATCTGGAGCCACCTGCCCAAGTCTTACTAAAATGCAGCTGTTGTTAGACAACTGTTGAAAACTCCAGAAATACATCACCCAAGGTGGCAGTTCTCAGTATTTGGCAGAACAATTGCAATTGCACTGGGTATATTATATATATATATGTATGCATATATATCATATTTTTTACAAGGAACATTTTATGATGAAAGAAGAAACCCTTCTCTGCCTTCTCTCCCACGAATTCTGTCCCTGTATCCTCTGGATGTAAAAAGCAAGGAGAGACCCCAACTGTCTCCATGGAGAAGAACTAGGAATCACCACAAGGGGAAGAAATGTACATGAAGTCTCCATTACCTCGAATTTTTTTCTCAGTCTCACTGGTTGTGATTTGGTCACTTTAGTGTTGGGACAGGGGAAAGGGTCTGTGCGTGGGCAAAGCTGAAGGTGATGAGGAAGAAGAGACGAACATTAAAGATGTCTATTTACTATGAGCTCACTGTGTTGTTTCATAAAAAGAAAATAAATAACTTAGTTTTTTTCTAGTAGAATAAAATAACACAGTAGTATGATTTGATGTCAGTAATATTACATATATATAGATAGATAGATATAGATAGATAGATAGATCTTTCTGTGTTTCCACCGTGTTTGCTGTGCTATGAATCTGTTAGCTGTTTCCATCTCACATCAACCTTGGAGAACGAGAAGTTAGGTACCCCTGTCTGTTTTACAGATGAGAAAATTGTGGCCTACAGAGGCCAAGGGCTTGCCTGTTAACATTCAGAAGTTAGAAGCAAAGATGGTACAAAAAGCACTACCTGGTACAGATTTATTATTTTCCAGAAAAGATTTATTGTTACATGTTTAATTCTAGACTCAAGACAGTAGAGTCATCAGTTAAAAGTGTTTTTGAAATATTGGCTATTTTATATTTTAATAAGCTAGGCTAAGAAACCAAATCTCTCACTAGGCAAAAAAGATTTTTAAGAAAGAAACTGGTAGTTTTTCCCCTTGTTTCCTCTTGATACCAAAGTTATTTCTGTTCTTTCACAAAAGTGCCCAGTAGAGAGATTTTGTGTGCTGCTCAGATTACCCTTGTACCTTGTTAACACATAAAAATATTAGTTCAAATCTTGATCTTCATTATAACATGAGAGGCGAATATAATTTATCTTGGATAAGTCTCAAGAATTGGAAGCAGTTAAGGGATCTAACTCACAGCATGAGCTTGGCAGAGTTCCCCATACCCTCTTTCTGTCATTTGGCTACCTGTGAAGTACATATGATCATTCCAGGAATATGGTTTGCACTCTGATGGAAGGTACTCTATGATTATGTGCATCACATGTGATAACAATAATCATAATCATAACTAATGTTAATTGTTTATCACGTACTGGGCACTGATCTCTATAGATTAACTCATTTAAACCTCACAACAATTCTGTATGCTATTTATTACGATGTTCTCCTTCTTACCTATTAGAAAACTCAGGCACACAGAGGAGAAATTATTTGCCCAGTCATGAAGCTCGTCAGTGGCAGAGTCAGGCTGCAAATCCAGGTAGCCCCCGTGCAGGGCTGCACTGTTATTCGCTGTGTGACTGCTTGTCCAGTTCTGATTTGTCTCTTTGATCTTCAACGTTGGGCTTATTTTCTCCACAATAGATGCATAAAGAAAGGAAAAAAGTCAGAGAAGCACAGATTGATGATGCTTTGGTAGAATTTACAGAAGCCCAAGTCTTAAAGGAACTGTCGTAGGACATTGTCCAAACTCCATCAAATGACACTACTTAGACCATTCAGTCAGGTACAGCTCTCTATTCTTCTCCAGGAGGGAATTATTATTGCTTCTCTTATTCACTTCAGTATTTAACAGCCTTCACCACTCTGAAATTCTTCACACCCAACCTAATCAAGCTGTGTAAGAGTTAGCCTGAGGTTTGGACATTGAAGCAATAACTAAAATTAACTTTGGACTTCTCTGTGGATTGTTTTAATCCATGTTCCACTGGCATGAATCCCTGGTATATTCAAGTGTAAATAAAATGCATTAAGCCCCAGTGTGCTTTTCAGAATTTGCTACTAAATATACTGTTGAAGAAAGCATGGCAGTGCATTCTCTGCTGGACATCTCCACATATTCCCCACCGGAAGAGGTTGTTTACCTGTACCCCACCTGCGTTAACACTCACAAGATCTGTGATCAGAACCCACAGGGAACATTTTCCCACCCACAAGGTTCTGATTACTGAAACTTCTCTCCTAAGCTACATCTGACCTGAATATCAGGTTGCTGGTAAGGAGACTCATTCACTGGAATTGGCCTTTGGGGCGGTCCTGAACAGACCGTCCAGACTGCTGAGCCAGTCCAGGCTCCAGCGACCTGGCACGTATGACACGCGAACCACAGCGTTTCCCTCCATTCCACACCTTCCTAAGGTAGAAATGCAAGATGACCTAGATCCATAATGATTTGGTTCTGTGTAATAAGAGCATCAAAGAGAACTTTGGAGAAATGGTAGCCCCAACTGACATTCTGCAGGCTTACTTCAAGTCACACAAAATATGAACTCTCATACCTGTCTTGCTAATAGTAGTCAAACCATGCAGATTTGAAAAGATTCTAGCAGTTGAAAAAAGGACATCAAGGAAATGTGGGATGGCATGAGGAAAGGCAAACATGACATTTTTACATATGTTATACCTGGTCAGGGGGCTCAGAGAAAGGTTACATTCTCCTCTAATCACCCCCATTGGCACTAGTGTCCTCTTTGCCCACGGCTTTCCCTTTGCACTTGGCCTAGGTTGAAGGAGAGGTGATGAAAAGGAAAGAGACGGCTCTCCACCACCAAGTAATCCTTTTGCCGATTGCACTCTGGCTGAGAATTCGGTCACCCAGCTACAGGGAATTCTATCTGTTCTATTCCTTCAGTGTAAAAAGAGTTGCCATCCCGTCTCATTTCCCCTTTGAAGTTCTATTTAAATGCATGGCAAATTCTAGCAATATCTTAAGATTGATTTGGGTCTGGATGGGAGATGGTGGGTGTTGAGACTCAGAAACCCTGACTGAACACTTCTCTTTTCACTCTTTCTGGGTAAGTACTGTATTTTCTGTGCCCTTCTGCATCTGGAAAAAGCAACTCTTTAGGTAACTTTAATTTTCATTTTGCTTAGAATCAAAAAGCCTGCATTTTTGTGCAGGCATGCACATATTCTGTCAAAGTAAAGAAGCTCTTTTTTTAAGCACTTAGTGATCAATTACTTTGGAGTTGGAGGGGATAAAAAATAAATAGAACTTAAACAAACTGCTTTCATGTAAATGCTATGTCCATACATTGAATTTATTAATGTAATTCATTAGGATGTCATCTAAGCATGGAAGAAAAATGGAAAGATATGTGAAAATACTTTAAAAATAAATGAAACTGAAAAACCTAAGATCACTTTGTAAAATTGCCTTAACAGTTTGTTGACAATTCACCTGCAAATAGTTCACATTTTTATTGTGCTTGCCAAGCTGTTTTCTCTGTATATTTCATTTTTTCTTACTAGACTTTTAAGATTTATTATATATTCCTAAAATCTGGAGTAAAGGAATAAATATTAGACAGTATCATTATTACCATTGCTGTCTGTATGTAACTGAAATTGTGACATTTATACAAGCAGCAGGGTTAAGCAAACGTAAATTTCACATTTCCTAAATACCAATTCTTGCTTATTGCCTATAAATATAAAACTCTAAAAAGACAAATATGGTATCTGCAAAATAGAATCTATCCACAAATATAACACACACGCACACGCGCGCGCGCACACACACACACACAGATGCAGACCTAGAGAGAAATCAGAGACATTATGCCCTCAGACAGGCACAGGCACAAATGATTATTCTCACTTGACAGACCAACTGTACTTCTCTTTCCTTGTATTTCACTCCAGCCCCAGAGGGCTGGATCAAGAAAGAGATACTTGATAGCTGCTGTTTCCGTGGTTGAAATATTTGTGAAGTTAACGCATAATCTGAAAGCAGAAGCTAATAAATTATAGGGTGCTAATTGGAGCTAGAATGGAGCTGTCAATCATGTTATCCTAAACACAGAGAGACCCTCATAACCTAAAAAGGCAATGCAGCCTCCAAAAACAGCTCCCATTTGTTTCCAGCCATGACCTCCAAATATCACGTCCAGGCAAGGAGTGGCCACTGACAAGTGTCGGCAGAGGTGATTCTGCTAATCCAAGTTGACTTTAAGAGACAGGCAAATTTTCTTTTCTAGGGAAAAGAGTAAGATATTTTGCCGAAGAATTAATTTTTAATCTTTAGAGAAATACATACATTATGTATGTGTGTGTGTATATATATATATATATACACCTTATTAGAATGTATGTGTATATATATATATATATATATATACCTTACTAGAATAATTATTACTTTGGTAAAGCATGTGACCCTTCATTTGGAATTTTTCACTTTAAAATTACTGAGTTAACTCAGTAGGAGAAAAATCTGAAGTTCTCCACAACGCAGTGTCAGATCTACCTCAAATTATAGTATTTCTGTGAGTTTCCGGTGTATTCTTGTGAAACTAAGTTCCTCTAAAACAAAAATGGAGACATCCAAATTTGCTCTGCCTTGCTGGAATTCAGTTATTTCACCTAGAAAAGCAGCAGCAGCATATTTCCTATTCCTTTGTTTTGTCCTTAGACTCAGTAAGCGCTACTTCTGCTTATCTCCAAGTGTTTCAAAATGGCTACAATGGCTTTGCTCAAACTATCCTCTCATAATTGTTTCCACTTTCTATCAAAAATGTATAAATGAATAAATATATTATGATTACATGTAAGAAATTTAGGTTAAAGGTAAACTAAACTTTCAACAATGAAATTAAAGAATTAAAACTTTTTTATTCCTAATCAATATTTGCACCACTCTAAATGATCTATAGGCAATTAGAAATTTTTACCAACGTGTATTTTTGGAGTACATACTTTAATCTCTACCGTATTTACAACTAGAAAAATATTCTATTTATGTTATAATTTGGTAGCTTCTTTAGAATACTTCAAATAAAAATTCTTTTCACTCAGAAACAAAAATTAAGGATCTTAAAATTCTAAGCACACACTTGCTAGAAACAACAGCTATGATTGGGATCATTGATGAGAGTGTCCCAAACTCATTTCTTTTCCTGCTGGTTCTCAAACTATAGTGTTGCTCTTATTTTTGGCAACTACATTATTGGCCCTTTGGCAATGATGGTATTATCAAGAAATGGGATAAAAAAATGAGTTATTGTTAAATTTATTTTTACCGGTACAACCCTATTTCACGTTTTCTTCTTCTAAGAGTATTTTACCCAATGTATAATCTGTTATACCCAATGTATAAGTGATTGGATTTTTTCCCTCTAGTATCAAATGACTTTTTTCCCATTGTACCAGCTTTTTTATGGAATTTCCTGATATCTTTAGAAGCACTGCCTGAAGGTGCTGTATTAGTAGTATTCCACCTTGCTTTGTGGAGTGTGAAATCCCGTTTTTACCTCAGGCAGTTTCTTCTCTACACTCAGAAACTGACAATAGGTCGCTGACAGACAGATATTGGTAAGAAACATAGAGAACAGGGCTTATGATGTTTGTTCTTCCTTGTTCAAACACTTCTTTTAAAAACATATTATTCACTTATATTTTTTAAAGGGCATAAGAAATGATCTAGGGAAAAGGCCTACCCCCAGAGGGAAAACAACTATGAAGTTATATTCAATTGGAATTGCTGAGATGAAAAATTATTCACAATTTTTTACTTAACAGTTCCAAACTATTTAGTTAATAAATTAAAACAGTAACATCAGACACCATCATCTCACATTGAAACTTGGGATGTCTGGTCATTTGATGTTTAAGGAATGGTGTCATTATAGATAAGACTGGAAATTTTATAAATTTATCGTGGAATACTGCCATCTCTTATTTTTGCTTGAGATATAAAGTATTGAAACTAAAAAAGAAAAATAAACAATGTTTCACAGTCATAATATATACTCATGCTGCCAATTAATGTAAGCTTTGGGTCTTAAGAGAATGAGGCAGAAAGTACAGGTACCACTGAATCTTCCTGTGTCACAGAACAGCAACAAGGGCAACACATTAAATATTAAAATAAAATAAATTATACAATTTAACAGTATATATTTTTCACATCATAAAAGCTTCTGGCTACATTTTCTACTGTTATTTTAGGGTGCATATTTAGTTTTTCTTCTTTATCAGAGGAGGTTCTAATTTGAACTCCATTACACACCCTTTGTTCTCATTGTCCTTATTGTAAACAGAAAAACTCTATAAGTGACACTAAAAACGTTTTGCATGATAGCTTTTAGTGTACTGATCTATTTATTGTGCTTACCTATCCTTTGTCTACATATCGATTATCAGATGAACTTAGAGCTATCTTGTCTAAGTTTTCAGGAGGATATCAAGCTCACCATTGGGTAAGACCTCAGCCCACTGGTACACAAGAAGTTAACCAGAGTACCTAAACACAATTGTTCCGGTTGACTGTTCCCCTGAGCAGTCTGCAACATTTTCTCTTATATTCCACAGAAGGTCCTTGTGAATTCCTACCTCCCAGCAGATCAGAAAACCTTCACCCTCATTGCCATCTTATTCAAATGCTATCTGTTCTTCAAGTCTAGATTAGTTCTGTCTCTTCTACAAAACCTTGTCTCCCCACCACACCGCAGTATATGGTCTCACCCTTAGGGAACTCTTTCACCTAATGTCTGTGCCACTTATTTGGCATTTACGTAGCAATAACATTTCATGACACAAATTTAGGAGTTCTGAGATTGCAGTAGTCCTACAGAACATTCTGTTGACACTTGACTTACAGTATTCTTTAACCTTAGCTAGATATTAAGTACATTGAGCAGCTACCACCAATTATTATGAAAAAACACAGTGTATTAAAATATTTTATTATATGTAAACAAATTTTAAAATATAGGTTGATTTGAAGTTTAGAGTACAAGTTAGAAAAAGAAAAACTGGCTGGAAGCCTGTTTCATTAAAGAAAGTCCTCTTACTAAAAGTAGTGGAGAGAAATTCTATCACATTTCATAGGAGCCAGTTAGTATTATACATCCTTTTCCTGCCCCTATATCCTGAGCCTCAATCTCTGTCTTCTGCTCAAAGGTATCATTTCGACAGTTCTCTTCATCTTGCATCATTTCTTTTCCCTCTCTATTGAATTGCTCCCGTTAATAAACACAGGCTGCAATATTTCCTGTCTTTAAAAATGCACACAAACCCAAGACAAAACCTCCCTTGACCCATCTTCTTCCAGTTGCTACCTCACCTCTCTGTTCCCTTTAAATGGAAAAATGCCTTAAATGAGTCATCTTTGTTCTCTCCCTTTACTTTTTAATTTTCTCCTGTACCTATTTTAATTTAGCTTCCCCTACACACAAACTTGCCAAGGGCAACCGTTAGCTCCATATGTTTAAACTTTAAGAGCAATTATCATAAGTAGTCTTTTAAATTGTCCCATCAATAGGATGATATATCAGTTTGGATCCTCCGAGAAGCAAATGCCAAGACACATACCACGCACTTGAAGCCTTATTAATATATTCTAGCAAATATACTACATCTGGTATAGCAACTGTAGCTGAGGCCATTATTGGAGTTAACTTGTGGTATTCTACACTCATTCTCCAAGATCTATCCAGTTTTGGCAGGAGCCCTAGTGAATTAAATGGAGATACGATAGAAGCCATGAACCCTGAAACCTTTAGATCTTTAATAGTGGTACTAATCACTGTCATCCCCCTGAGATTTGTGTTGTTTTTGATTTACAATTTGTGTTGAGGGAGGGGAAGGAAAAGGGGGCCAGTTTTAAAGGTTTCCACTTGGCCTTCCACACTATGGTATCTTTTGCCACACAGGCCAAAGATTCAGTGAGGGGGTTACGCCAATCACAAAGTATGTTGATCCCAATTACACATTTAAAGAGTAGGAAAATGACCACTGGGTGGGGCTGTGGCCCGAGTGGACACATTGTAGGTTAGGTTTTAGCCAGAATGCAATTTAATACCTGCTCCCATAAGCCCCATTTTAACAGAGGGACTATGATAATGCATCAGGTTTCTGGATGCCCATATCAACTCAGACCCTGTATCCAAGTGTCTGAAATGTCTGGGAATTCCCGCTTCCTTCAGTTGTACAGTCACTGGAGTAAGTGGCCATAGTTGCCGTTGCAGTATATGCCTGTGATGATGTTGCAGGGTCCTTCCACTGTCAGTCAATGAGTTGCAAATCCAAAAATTGGCTCAGGTCCGGGAATTGAGCAAGGATCATGATTTTTATCAGAAAGACCACGTTAGCCCCCTGTTTCTTTAATTTTGTTTTTATGATCATTAACTTTGGGTGTCACATTTTTGCCTTTGTGATAGTTAATTTTAGGTGTCAACTTAACTGGATTAAGAGATACCCAGATAGCTGGTAACATATTATTTCTGTATATGTCTGAAAGGGTGTTTCTGAAAGAGATTGATATTTGAATCAGTGGACTAAGTAAGAAACATCTTTCTGTATTGAATGTGGATGGGCATCATCCAGTTGACTGGGTGCCTGGATAGAACAAAAAGGCAGAGGAAAAGCTAATTTGCTCTTACTCTTTCTGCTGCTGCTGGGACACCCATATTCTCCTTCCCTTGGCCACTAGAACTCCAGGTTCTCTGGCCTTCAGACTCAGGAACTTGCACCAGTTGCTCCCCTCAGGTTCTCAGGCTTTTGGCCTCAGAAAGAGCATTACACCATTGGCTCCCCTGGTTCTCAGGCCTTCAGACTTGGACTGAGTCAGGCTACTAAATTCCCTGGATTTCCAACTTGCAGGTGGCAAATCGCGGGACTTCTCTGTCTCCATAATCATGAGAACCAATCCCCTTAATAAGTCCCCTGTCTATCTATCTATCTATCTATCTATCTATCTATCTATCTATCTATCATCTACCTATCATCTCTATCTGTCATATATCTATCTATCATCTATTTATATATCCTATCAGTTTTATTTCTCTTAAGAACCCTGATTAATAAAGCCTTCTACTGATTTTGGATGTTAAGGACTGGCTGTCCATTTATTTTGCCCTAGGGATACATGCTTTGATATGGTTTGGCTGTATCCCCCACCCAGATCTCATCTTGAATTGTAGTTCCCATAATCCCCATGTGTCATGGGAGGGACTTGGTGGGAAGTAATTGAGTCATGGGAATGGTTACCCTAATGCTGTTCTCGTGATAGTGAGTGAGTTCTCACGAGATCTGATGGTTTTATAAGGGGCTTTTCCCCTTTGCTCAGCGCTTCTCCTTCCTGCCATTGTGTGAAGAAGGACATGTTTGTTTCCACTTCTGCCATGATTGTTAAGTTTCCTGAGGCCTCCCCAGCTCTGCAGAACTGTGAGTCAATTAAACCTCTTTCCTTTATAAATTACCCAGTCTCAGGTATTTCTTCACAGCAGTGAGAAGAAACTAATACATGCTTTATTAACTATCTCCACAATATCTATGGTCAAGCCCCTTTGGCTTCCTCTCTGTCATTAGTGATAAGGGTCCCTGGCTTCTGGTGGTCAAGTGCAGCCATCTGGCCTCTATTACTTTAGGCCCGCATTGTGACCATGGATGTTAACAAGCTCAGCTCTGGATCTGCCTCTCCTGCCAAAAGCTCTGCCTGCAGAGGAGACCATCACTGAGCTTCTTCGTGATGCTTGTGAGGCTCCTTTCATCAGCACAT
Organism: Homo sapiens; assembly: GCF_000001405.40. Taxonomy (NCBI): domain Eukaryota; kingdom Metazoa; phylum Chordata; class Mammalia; order Primates; family Hominidae; genus Homo; species Homo sapiens. Next base: position 117,282,880 of record NC_000006.12, read on the forward strand.
TCCTGATGACCTTGATGAATGCTGCATCCTCTGGTGGGTCTTCTGGCTTCACATTATATGTCCACTTCAGCATTCCCACTCCTTAGCCTTTTAATTCCTTACTCTACCTTTTGACAGGGAAACTCAGAAAGGGCCTTTGTTGTCTCCTGGCTTCTGAAGCCACCCTAGCCACAAATTTGCCTCATCTCCATTGGTCTTTTCCAGAATGTTAAATCTCATGTCCCAGGAAAATCTCACCCAGTGAATGAATTCTTGCTTACCCAGTCTTACCTTCCCATCCCCTTGACCTTCAGAATGCAATGCCAGCATTATCCCCCCCACCCCTGCCAGTGCATGTTAGCTAATTCTTGGAGCTCCTATGGGATGTAATCTCTTTCCTTCCTTATCAGATCCAGCATATCCCTAGTCAAGTTATACTGGGATTTATCCAGCATAGTTATCAACCTGGCTGTCAGGAAAGATGAATGTGGTTCCTGAGGGCACATCAGTTGCCTGGTTGAGAAGAGGCCTCTGTCACATTTTCCTCTACAGAGAAAGTGCTGGCTCTTACTTTGGAGGGGTGGGCCACCTCTACAAGCTCTGAGGGATCAGAAGGGTCTGCTGAGCCAAAATCTTTGAGGTATTTATCTAAATACCTTTATTCTGTGTTTCAGGGCACCAGGTTTTCTCAACAGACCCACCTTGAATGAGCACTTAAACGTCTCAAGCTCTGCAGCACTATAGAATGCTGAGTTTGCTCCTCACCTATATGTATATTTTTTATTTATTATGTCTCCTCTTCCAACTACAATGCTGGAATGTAACCTCCATCAAGGCAGAGACTTTGCTTTGTTTAATGCTCTATTTTTAGCACCTGTAACAATACTTTCTGCATTTTAGGCACTCTATTAAATGAGTAAATGAATGAATGTGAAGATCTACAAAGGAGGGGTAAACTCTAATAGATCCACCCTAAGTGATTTTATGCAGCCATCAGGAACCCTCCCAAAATATTTTTAATAATTAGAGGTAAAGCTTATGTAATAATGTTAAGTGAAAAAAACTAGGAGAGGTACAACTACAACTATTCCAGCCATGAAAATAAGCTCCTATTGGGGAGAAAAAACTGGAAGGAAACATCCTAAATTATTCACAGTAGTGTTTGGGGAGTATATTTCGGCCCCTTAATTCTTCTGGTTGTATGTGAAGAAGCCCGAAAGAATCAGGATAGGTCATCTGATTCAGGCTCCCTGTAACCCTGACCAGCTGCCAAAAGGAAAGTTGGACAGGCTTCTTTTTACCAAGGAGTATCAAAGAGAAGTCAAGGACACCCTAACATCCATCCTACATTCATAGAAGCTATTCTGAGGGTAAAAGGTGGGTTTGGGATAGGGCAGAAACTGAGAATGCTAAAAATAAATGTTTTTTTCCTTTAGCATATGTTCACTATTACTTCAAGGGCTTCAAGAAGAAGTTTGGTCCTCACTTATGTCTGATATTAACTTCAAGGCAGTTGCCCAACTTCTATAATCTGTCTAGGTCTCAACTGATAACTCATTATTGAAAGAATCCTCATGAGTCCCCAGTGGCATTAGATCAATTTTCTGGTATCCCTGGTATGAGCCATAAGCAAGGACTTGTCCTGTAATAGGCTGGAAGTAGATGATGAGAAAATCTATTTATCAATCCATTAAAAACAAATACCTACTTTGGCATGGAGACTATATAAAGGAATAAAAGACACCATCCTATCTTCATAAAGCTTGCAATTTATTTGAGTAGGTAAAATGCATAGAAATAGAATGGAAAAAACTTGCAGTTACTGCCAATGAGATTTAAAGACAGTAAGGGCAAAAGTAATTCTGGGAAGGAACAGGGTTAGGGGCAGGCCTTTCCAAAGAGTTGGAATATGAGCTGGTTATAAAAGTTGAGTGAGATTTAGTAAGCAGAAAAGAATAGGCCAAGAGAGTCCAATAGGAAAGTGAAAGCCAACATAGGTAAGAAATGTAGAGTGCATCTGGGCCCAGAAACAGACTTTTTCTCAAGAACATTTGGAGTAAACCATTTTAATCAGAATTATATCAACATATTTATTTTATCTAGATAAATATTTCCTCAATTGGCAGTGTTAAACCATAAACAACATAGCATTTGCTTCCAACCCTATATCGCATTTCAACTTATTTAAATATTTTTCTTATGGATTATTTCTTTTCCTTGAACAATTTTAAATGAAGGTTAGATTCATTGATCAGCTTTTTCATATAAACTCTTTCCAGTTGTAGCTTCTGTCTTTGTGAGTTATTACTTCTCTCAAGTCTTCCTAGGTCACATTTGCAGATTTAAAAAAAAATATCAGCAGGGTGCAGTGGCTCACGCCTGTAATCCCAGCACTTTTGGGAGGCCACGGCAGGCAGATCACCTGAGGCTGGCATTTTGAGACCAGCCTGATCAACATGGAGAAACCCCATCTCTACTAAGAATACAAAATTGCCAGGCGTGGCAGTGGGCGCCTGTAATCCCAGCCACTCGGGAGGCTGAGACAGGAGAGAATCGCTTGAACCTGGGAGGCGGAGGTAGCAGTGAGCCAAGATCATGCCATTGCACTTCAGCCTGGGCAACAAGAACAAAACTCCGTCTCAAAAAAAAAAAAAAAAATCAATAAGATTTTGTTCTTATGCTAATTTTTTGTGAATAATATATTTAAACAAGAGCCGTTTTTAGCCACTGTCAATTTTTTCCTTTTGATTATAAGATCTATTTTTTCTAGAATTAACTTCCAATTGTAGTACTACAATTTCAGAATTAACCAACTAACTATACTTTATCAAATTATTTTTATCTATAATCCATTTTACACATGACATTTTTAGCCACTATTTTATTTTGAATTAAATATTTCTACCACTATTATTTATCTTGAATTATAAAAAATACTGCTAATTTGCACTTATTTCTTAGCTGAAACATGAAAGTTTTGTAGGCTGTTCCCCTCAGATATCCTATACATTCTCTATTGCCCAAATTGTAATGCAAATGTACTATACGGCAAATCTAATTCTTCTATACACTTCTGATGTCTTTTTGTATCTTCCAGAGTTAAAGGTCCATGCCACTGTCAGAGCAAAAACCTGACTGCAAGCAACAGAAACTGACTCTGGCTGGTTTAAAAGATAAGTGTTTATTAAAGGGATATGGGGATAACTCTCAGAACCTTGGAGAAGACTTGAGAGCAGACAGCAGAACGGGTCTAGCCTGGCTGCCCAAACTATCAGAGGCACCAGGCTCTAGACTAGCTCTGCTGACTCTCCTGGCCTTGGACTCTTGATGCCACCTCTAGCACCAGTGTCCCCTTTGTGCCAGGAGCCAGATTGATATGGGTTGGCTGTGTCCCCACCCAAATCTTATCTTGAATTGTAGCTGTCATAATCCCAATGTATGTGGGAGGGACCCAGTGGGAAGTAATTGAGTCATGGTGGATTTTCTCATGCTGTTCTTGTGATAGTGAGTAAGTCTCAGGAGATCTGCTGGTTTTATAAAGGGCAGTTCCCTTGCACATGCTCTCTTGCCTGCTGCCATGTAAGACATGCCTTTACTCCTCCTTCATCTTCCACCATGATTGTGAGGCCTCACCAGCCATGTGGAACTGTGATTCCATTAAATCTCTTTTTCTTTATAAATTACCCAGTCTCAGGTATTTCTTCATAGCAGTATGAAAATGGACTAACACACAGACTATTGCAGTTGGCACCATCACCAGAGAAGACTTCCCGTGGTCTCTGATTCTTTGCATCCCTAGGTCTCAATTAGAAGCCTGGCGCAGGTGGGTGGGTGGGTCTTAGTGGTGAGGGCTGGGTCACATGCCTGCCTTCTTACTGCAAGAGACACTGGGGGAGCGAATGGAACACAGTTCCCACCCAGATTATAAAGGCAGAGGAATTACCCAGCACAGGAAGGGGCTTCATATCATGGCATAACAAAAAGAATGGCAAATGCCCATTAGACGATGAGAAGATCAGAGACAAAATATCCTGCCTTATTCAGCAGAATATCAGATGTGGCAGAGTGACCACAAATCCTGGACCTTAACTTGGGGGCTGTTCACCATAGAACTAACACATTCACTTCTCTGTGTTCCTTGCCAATCATCTGTGCAGGCTCTCAGGTAGTAGGCAAATTAAAAGATTAACTAAACTATCCAAGGTGGAAGTGGATACATGATCTTCTTCCACAGCAGATTTTAGCAAATGCTATAATCAAAATGTTCTTCTCTATATCTAGCAAATTTCCTGAATACTGCAACTGAATAACACACAGAATGGCTTCACTGGTGTTGCTGTTAGAGCAATTGTGGCTTTAAGATTTAAATGGACAACTGCAAAATGTATATATTGGTTTTAAGTTAAGGTGTTTCTCTGAAGAGCTTTTTTATATAATAGTTCTCATTTAGGTATTTATTTTTTCATATGGTTGTTAAAAATCACACAGCTTGAATTAACATTGTATAATCATTTATATTTAATTTTAAGCATAATTTGATACAAAATGTAATCTTAAGTATTTTATACATAAAATAGATATGGCAAATAGCAATCTTTATACTAGTTAATTTCCATAATAGCACACAAGTCAGAGTGATTTTATACAACTGAAGATTACAGAATGCAAAACTTCAGGACTTAAAAGATCTTCACAGTCTTATTTTCAACATGACTGAATCTACTGTTGTAAGCCTCAAAACTACAAAATATTTTACAGTAGTGATTAAAGACAATATATATCGGCTAGGCATGGTGGCTCACACCTGTAATCCAGCACTTTGGGAGGCCAAGGCAGGTGGATCCCGAGGTCAGGAGTTCTAGACCAGCCTGGCCAATATGGTGAAACCTCATCTCTACTAAAAATACAAAAATTAGCCGGGCGTGGTGGCACACGCCTGTAATCCCAGCTACTTAGGAGGCTGAGGCACGAGAATTGCTTGAACCCAGGAGGTGGAGTTTGCAGTGCCGAGATCGTGCCATTGAACTCCAGCCTGGGCAACAGAGCAAGACTTCGTCTCAAAAAAAAAAAAAAAAAATTAAAAAAAGATAATATATATATCATTGCAGTAACAGCTTTCCAAGTGATTTCTCAAGTCACAGGTGCTGGTTTCTTCTGTATGTGTGAAATTATTTCTCATTTCCTTGGTCCCATTTGAGATTATCTGTAGTTCAGTTGACCCCCCTGAGCCTACTCCTTAGCCTCTTCTTTATATCGCTGAACACACCTATTCTGTCTCTAAACATGTGGCCAAGATATTTTTATTACAGCCCAAACTGAAAGGTGGGTAAGAGCCTAAAGCACCTCAAGGGAGAAGGGAGAGCAGTGTTTCCCTTCCAGACTTCTGAGTCTTCCTAAGCTTTCCACATGCTTAGTGTTCATCTCATAATTCTACTGAAAGTCAGGCAGCTGGTATGGGGATTGCTACAACTGAAACCAAATGGCTCTCAGAACCAAGATTAGAAATCAGGAACGTTGCATTGTTTATTTGGAGTTATAGACCACCATGACATTTATCATTCTAGCAGAGTTTTCTTTCAGTAACTACTGAATGAGAGTGTTTATCTCAACTCTCTATTTCCCAAACAACGCTATTAATCAGACCCATCTCCATATCCACTGTGAGTGAGACAGGCATAGTTCAGGCCTTCAGGCTTGCCAGAAGGGCAGTAAGCCACTTGTTTTTCTTGGCAGAAATCTTTGTCTGCATGTGGTTCCTTCTCTTCTTTCCTCAGACCACAAGATTCAGATTCCTGGGAGCCTAGAGGACCCTCAGACTTTTCTTCACCTTGGCCACATTCTGTAGCAAGTACCATATAGTTTAACCCTTCTCGGTTCTTCGTTTCCATTAAAGCAACTGGCATAATGTCATCTGAATTCAAACAAATCACATCGCCATCTTCACCTGTGAAAAAAATATGAATGTTATTCTAGCATGTATTTAATTATTTATTTGTAATAATATACAAGCTATATCAGAATTATAGCAACACCAACTTTACACATTTGTTCAGCAAACATTTATGAAGACTACTAAGTGTTGGGAATACAAAGACAAATAAAACATGCTTCTTGTCCTTGAGGCTGCTGCAGTCTAGCAGGGAAGCAGACCATATAGATCTGCTATATGTATATATATGTCACCTATAGAAGGTGACATGCACTTTAATAAAGGAATATTTTTAAATGTAGTAGGAGCACAGGGGTGATTAACTCTGCCTTAACAAGCGGAGCAAGTCGTGGTCTTTGTGATAGGACTTAATTGGCCCTTAGAGGGCCCTTTTTGTCTAAAGTATGTACTTTTTTATACTTCCACAGCAACTGAAATATCTAATTTTAAAGATTGGTTTTTCTAGATTTAGTAATTTTGCTAAATTAATTGCTTAATGTAATATTTACTGATGACTACTACATTCCAAGCCTGTGTTCTAGTTATTGATGGATATAGCAATGAATGAAAAACATTTCTACATTCAGCCCTGACACACATCCAGGTTTGATTTATTTTTAATGAACTTCAATTGAAATATGAGGAAAATACCATAATTTCAAAAGACTAAGGGAGGTACCAGTGTACCTATTTTTCCCAATAAAAATTTAATGGATCTACCTATTTATTAAGTTTAACACCTGAACTACAAAGCTTATTTTATAAGAACGTATGAACTACATCCCTTCTCCCCATATCATTAGGTATGCATCTCCTTTTTGCAGACCCTCCGAACTGCTGAAGAACAAGATAGCCAAGCTACAGGTTCACAGGCTCTTTGGTATCATCTAATTTTCCTCTTCATTGTTCAAACATCATTATAGCATATTTCAAAACACATGAATAGTTAGATGTGTTGTAAAATTATCTCCCTAATAGAAAGAACTTCATCAGATGCCAAGTTTGGTTAGTACCTGGGTGTTGAACACCTGTGGAAGGTATTCAACACCTGTGGAAGGTATTCAACTGTTATGATTATTGCCAATATGCACTAATAGTCATTAAGATGCCCATAAGAATAACTTGGTATATGTAATAATAGCAATGGAAAATATTTTTAAATGTTAGGAAAAAATAAGATATTTAACTTTAAGTAGTACAGTAATCCAATAATTGGGGAAATTAGGATGTTCTTAATAGGCTTAAAGAAATCAGTCTAAAGGAAAGTTTAGAATTTCAACAAAAACTTAAATCTACAATATAGTCTACCCACTCATATCAGCTATTTCATTGTCATACATTTAATCCATGAATGAGCATATTGGAAAACTTCCTACTAAAACATGATTTTAATTTTTTAAACTTTTTTGCTTATTGAATTTTCTGAAAAATAATATTTTATATGAGGCAAATAAATTCTTTTTGCAAATTCTGTTGTTATGTGTCAAAGAAAAATCATTAGCTAACTACTTTATTGGTTTATAGTACTTGTAGCAATATTTAGTAACTTGACCCTGGCAAGCTTTCAGCAATTAGTACATCTTCTTGTTGCAAAAAGAGCTTACAAGAGACTGCGATAGTAGAGATAGGTTGTCTTATTTGTTTGCTTTTGTTTAAAAATTATTTAATAAGTAGTCTATGGGTCAGATCTTAAGGCAGATATCCTCAACAAAGATAGCATGCACTGGGCAACCTCTTTAAGAGAGAAATATTAAAATAAAGACTTCCAAGTAAGACGGGGTATTTACAGACTAGACATATGCCGGCTGACTGGCTATGTTTAGAACAGCAGAGGAGCATTTAGATTTGTTTCCTGTAGAACTCTCTGGGACTGATGAGGTGATGTTTACACAAATGTTTGGATGAAGTCACTGGGATATTTTTACTAGATGCCCAGATATGTTACTAATCTTCTCTCTCTATCCCCTTTCCACCCCATTAGGTCAGTAGGACCACAGGATAGGCATGGTATTATTGCTCCCTGTTTTTCTAAGCACCCCCACTTCTTTGCTTTAAAAAGTCCTTTCAATAGCTTTTCTTCTCTACGTACATATCTCCAACAACAACAATGAAGACAGTCATTTTATTGCTTTGCTAAATATGCCCACCAGTCTGCAAAGCAGTAAGCTATTATTAAACACATTATTTTTTATTGAAAAAATAATTAAGTTTAGGTTTGCCTTGAAAGGTCTGTTGCACTATTTCTATCCTTTGCAGATATGCAAACTCCGCCTTTAATTCAGTTTTTTCTCTCTTCCCTGCCTTTCTTGCTCAGTCACAAACTCAATTATCAATTTAGTGATTTCCACATCTCTTTTCATTCCTTATCTTCAGGATTTACATTCATTGTAAATAACAGAACAGCAATTTCTCTTTTCCTAAAATTTTATTTCTGTCATGGCCCAGAAATGCTTGTTTCTTTCTAAATTGTTATAGTTTGATGATATTCCCTGTTAAATTCTTCCTGCATCATTACTTTGAATATTTGTCTGCTTCTCTATTGTTGGGAATATTACTTAGAATTTTAATTCTTTCTGCCAACAACTTGGTACCTAAATAGATTTGGTATAACCAGAAAAAAATGGTGTATATTTTCTAGCAGGTCATAAGTAATCATTGCTTTCATTATACCTAGCTGTGCAGTACACTATTGGTAACATAACTGGGGATATTGTTTGGGCCATTTCCCTACTACAGCCAGGGATTTGTGAAGGCTGAGAGGAAAGGCTCAACAATGGAGACAAACTCTAGCCCTATTTCAGCAGTATGATTATGAGCAAGTCACTAAACCTCAGTTTTCTCATCTGTAAAATGGTGATATAGTAATATCCGCTTCATAAGGCTGTTATAAAGATTTAATGAGTTAACCTACATAGCACAGTGAGTGGCACATGGAAAAGTACTAAAATAAAATTAGCTACTATTCTAATTAAAAGCCTTTCACAGAGGTATTTTACTCTTTATATTGAGTGTGAGCATTGTTTCTTACCTATCTCTGCCTCATAGATGAACTATGCAATGCAAAATGGTGAAAAGATTTTCTCAAGGGTCCGTGGAGACTTCAAGTAGAACCTAAGGTGAAGCTAAGCTCTCAGGCCTGCTAACACCCATTATGGCAACCTCTGTGACATTTTTTTTTTCTTTTCATTTCTTTTTTTTTTGAGATGGAGTCTCACTCTGTCGCCCAGGCTGGAGTGCAGTGGTGCGATCTCGGCTCACTGCAAGCTCTGCCTCCCAGGTTCACGCCATTCTCCTACCTCAGCCTCTCTAGTAGTTGGGAATACAGGCGCCCACCACCATGCCCAGCTAATTTTTTCTATTTTTTAGTAGAGACGCGGTTTCACCATGTTAGCCAGGATGGTCTCGATCTTCTGACCTTGTGATCTGCCCGCCTTGGCCTCCCAAAGTGCTGGGATTACAGGTATGAGCCACAGCGCCTGGCCCTCTGTGACTTTTATAATGTATCTTTGCACATTAGAAGGAAAGGATTCCATGAGCAAAGAGTTGAATTTTAGAATACAAGTCAACTGCAAAATCTGTGCAACCCTCTGGATTGCTTTACCTCTCTGCAGCATTTGTTCACTCTTTCCTTTCTAAGCCTCTCTCCTCTGGATTTCCATAACAACACTCCCTATGGCTTTCCTCTTCCCTTTCTGGCTGCTCCTCCCCATGTCCACCATCTTTGTAAGCCCCTCCTATACCGGCTGCTCTCTGGGTTCCACCCACTTGTCACTCTCTTCTTATTTCATACACTCTACTTTAATGACCTAGTCTGCACCCTGGACTTCAACCATCTATATTTACAGGACAGACCTTTCAACTGAGTATGAACCCATATCTTGACTGTGTCCTGGACTTCTCCGCTTAGATATGCCAAGCCAACTCAAACCAAACATATGCAAAACTGTTCCTCTTCCTATGTTCCTCATCTCCAGGAATAGCGTTGATTTTTACCAACTTTCTCCTTTCTCTTTTTTACGCACTTAGTTGCCAAGTCCGATAGCATCTACCTCTGTGGTAACTCCGGACTCTTTTTTGTTCTCTCTACACCTGTTACCATTCATTAATTCAGCTTTCATTACTTTTCATTCCTTACTTTTGATTAGTGTGACCAATAACCCTCCAATTTTATCACTTGCCACATTCTCATGTATAATAAACAAAGTGCAGTTCTATGAATACCTCATTCTCTATTATTCCCTGCCTTTCTACATGCTGCTTCTTCTATCCTGAAATACATAGGATACCTCAGCTTCTCTTTTTCATACCTAAGCTTCTAAGTAGGTCTCAGCTTAGATGTAACCTCCTCCCAATGGTTTTTCTTGACTCTCCCTCTGCCATAGTGTAGACTTGGCATCCTTCCTCTGGACTCCCACAGAACATGGATTTCTTCTCAATAACAACATAGAATGCTCATTTCCTGGATTCTGGCAGAAGATGTAATACAAAATCATCTTCTCACCAAATCCTTAAAAATAAGCTTATTTGTAAGAAAAAAATGCTGGAGAACCTACTACAGAATCTACAGCCCATGAATTCCTTTAGATTACCTAAATTTAGTATCTGAATCCAGATAGTATATATACAAACATACATAAATGAGCATTTCTGTAAATGGCTATATATGCACATACAATATCTGCAAATATATAACCAAATTGTTAGCTCTGGCTAGCACTGGGGAGTGAGATAAGGATGAATTAGGAAACTTTTACTTTTTAGACTGCTTAAGTAATTTTATATTTTTTATAATAAACATAAATTACTTTTACAATAAAGATCTTTAAAATGTAGATACAATTATAAAATAATACAGCAAGAACAGTTACTGAGATTACTGGAAAAGTTACAAGAAAAATAGAAAGGAATCAGAAGTCATTTTTATGGTTGTAAAATAACATAAAAATTGTTTTTAAACTTTTAAGAAGGTCATGATTGTGTTAATTAATAAAGTCTATAAAATTATAGTCACAAAGAATTTGAGCCTTATCTGTCAAAAAATTTGAGCCTTATTTGTTGCTTTTAATGATAAGAGCACGCTAATATCCCTGATGAACACAGATGCAAAAATTCTCAACAAAATACTGGCAAGCCAAACCCAAGAGCACATGAAAAAGATAGCACACTATGATCAAGTAAGATTTATCCCAGGTATGCAAGGATAGTTCAACAAATGTGTATATGTTGAAGACACATGATACATTACATCAACAGACTGAAAGACAAAAACCATATGATCATATCAGCAGAGGCAGAAAAGGCATTTGACAAGATTTAGCATTCTTTCATAATAAAAGCTCTCAAAAAATTAGGCATGGAAGGAACATATCTCAAAATAATAGAGGTTATATATGACAAATCCATAGCCAACATTGTACTAAATGGAGGAAAGTTGAAAACATTTTCTCTAATAACTAGAACAAGACAAGGATGGCCATTTTCACCACTCTTATTCAACATAGTACTGTAAGTCCTAGCCAGAGCAACCAGGCAGGGGAAAGAAAATAAAAAGGCATCTCATAAAAGGCATTCACAGATAATATTATCTTATATCTAGAAAAACCTAAAGATTCCACAAAATGTGTCTTCAACATATACACATATGTTGAACTATCCTTGCATCCCAGGGATAAATCTTACTTGATCATAGTATACTATCTTTTTCATGTGTTCTTGGATTTGGCTTGCCAGTATTTTGTTGAGAACTTTTGCATCTGTGTTCATCAGGGATATTAGCGTGCTCTTATCATTGAAACTCTGAGATTTGATAAATAAATTCAGTAAAGTTTCAGGATACAAAATTAATGTACAAAAATTCAGTGCATTTCTATATACCAAAAATAATCTAGCTGATAATTAAATCAAGAAGGCAATGCCATTTACAAGAGCCACATAAAGAATGAAACACCTAGGAATATATTAACCAAGGAGATGAAAATTCTCTACAAGGGAAACTACAAAACACTGATGAAAGAAATTGTAGGAGGCACAAACAAATGGAAAAATATTCCATGCTCAAGGATTGGAAGAATCAATATTGTTAAAATGGCCATACTGCCCAAAGTTGTCTACAAATTCAATGCAATCCCTATCAAAATACCAATGACATTCTTCACAGAAATAGAAAAAAATCTGAAAATTTATATAGAACCACAAAAGACTCGGAATAGCCAAAGCTATCCTAAGCAAAAGGAACAAAACTCAAAGAATCACATTACTGGATTCAAATTATACTACAGACCTATAGTAACCAAAACAGCATAGTGCTGGCATAAAAACTCACACATAGATCAAAGGTACATATACAGAATGGAATACATAAAAAAGAACAGAATAAAGAACACAGAAATAAATTCACACACCTACAGTGAATTCATGTTTTACAAAGATGCCAAGAACATCTACTGGGGAAAAGACAGTCTCTTCAATAAATGCTGCTGTGAAAACTGGATATCCATATGTAGAAGAATAAAACTAGACCCCTATCTCTCTACATATACAAAAATCAAATAAAAATGGATTGAAGATTTAAATCTAAGACTTCAAACCATGAAACTACTACAAGAAAATACTGGGGAAAATCTCCAGGACATTGGTTGGGGCAAAAATTTCTTGAGCAACACCCCACAAGCACAGGCAGTCAAAGCAAAAATGGACAAATGGGATCACATCAAATTTAAAAAGCTTCTTCACAGCAAAGGAAACAATCAACAAAGTGAAGGGACAATCCACAGAATGGAAGAAAATATTTGCAAACTACCCATCTGACAAGGGGTTAATAACCAGAATACATAGGGAGCTCAAATAACTCGATAGGAAAAAAGCTAATAGTCTGATCAAAAAATGGGCAAAAGATTTGAATAGACATTTCTAATAAAAAGAAATACAAATGGCAAACAGACATGTGAAAAAGTGCTCAACATCATTGATCATCACAGAAATGCAAACCAAAACTACATTGAGATATCATCTCAGTCAAGTTAAAATGGCTTACATTGAAAAGACAGGCAAGACAAATGCTAGCAAGGATGTGGAGAAAGAGAATCCTCATACACTGTTGGTGGGAATGTAAATTAGTACAACCACTAAGAAGAACAGTTTGGAGGTTCCTCAAACAACTGAAAATAGATCTGCCATTTGATTCAGCAATCCCACTGCTGTACATATGCCCAAAAGAAAGGAAATCAGTACATCAAAGAGATATCTGCACTCCTATGTTTATTGCAGTACTGTTTACAATAGCTAAGATTTGGAAGCAACCTAAGTGTCCATCTGTAGATAAATGGATAGGCCAGGCTCAGTTGCTCACGCCTGTAATCCCAGCACTTTGGGAGGCAGAGGTAGGCGGATCACTTGAGGTCAGGAATTCTAGACCAGCCTGGCCAACATGGTGAAACCCAGTCTCTACTAAAAAAAATACAAAAATTAGCCAGGCGTGGTGGCACGTGCCTGTAGTCCCAGCTACTCGGAATGCCGAGGCATAAGAATCGCTTGAAACTGAAAGGGGGAGGTTGCAGTGAGCCGAGATCATGCCATTGCTTTCTGGTCTGAGGGACAGAGTGAGACTGTCTCAAAAAAAAAAATAGACAAATGGATAAAGAAAATGTGGTATATGCATATAGTACAGTGGAGTACTATTCAGCTATAAAAAGAATGAGATCCTGTCATTTCCAAGAATATGTATGGAACTGGAGATCATTATGTTAAGTGAAATAAGCCAGGCACAGAAAGATAAATATCTCATGTTCTCATTTCTTTGTGAAATATAAAAATCAAAACGATTGAACCCATGGAGACAGAGAGTAGAAGGATGGTTACCAGAAACTGGGAAGGGTAGTAAGGGACAGGGTGGGGGAGTTGGGGATGGTTATTGGGTACAAAAAAGAGAAAGAATGAATAAGACTAAATATTTGATAGCACAATAGGGTAACTATAGTCAATAATAATTTAATTGTACATTTTAAAATAACTATAAGTAAAAAATTGGTTTGTAACACAAAGGATAAATGCTTGAGGGGTGGATACTCCATTCTCCATGATGTGATTATTACACATTACATGCCTGTATCAAAACATCTCATGTACCCTGTAAATATAGACATCTACTATGTACCCACAAAAATTAAAAATAAATTTAAAAAATAATACTACAAGGCTATAGTAATCAAACAGTATGGTACTGGTATAAAAATAAACATATAGTTTAATGGAACAGAATCCAGAATCCAGAAATAAAGCCACATATTTATAGCCAACTGATCTTTTGCAAAGTCAACAAGAACACATACTGGGGAGAAAAACACCCCTTTCAATAAATGGTGCTGGGGAAATTGGATATATGCAGAAGAATGAAACTGGACCCTTACCCTCACCATATACAAAAATTAACTCAAAGATGGATTAAAGACTTACATGTAATAAATGAAACTGTGAAAATACTAGAAGAAAGCCTAAGGAAAACTCTTCTGGATATTGATCTAGGCAAATAATTCATGACTTAGACACTGAAAGCACAGGCAACATGAACAAAAATAGACAAATGTGACTTAATTAAGCTAAAAAGCTTGTGCAGAAAAAGAAATAATCAGTGGAATAAACAGACAATCTGCAGAATGGGAGAAAATATTTGCAAAGTATTCACTCAACAGGGGTCTAATATCCAGAATATACAAGGAATTCAAACACTCAACAACAACAAACAAGCAAATAATCCCATTAAAAAGTGAGCAAAGGATGTGAATAGATGTTTTATCAAAAGAAGACATACAACTGACCAACAGGTATATGGAAAAATGCCCAAAATCCCTAATCATCGGCGAAATGCAAATTAAAATAATAATAAGATATCATCCTCCCCGAGTCAGAATGGCCATTACTAAAAAGTCAAAAATAATAGATGTTGGCGAGGATGCAGACAAAGAGGAACAGTTACATGCTGTTGGTGGGAATGTAAATTAATACAACTTTTACGGAAAACAGTATGGAGATTTCTCAAAAAGCTAAAAATATGATCTAGCAATCAATCCAGCAATTCCATTACTAGGTATCTATCCAAAGGAAAAGAAATCATTATATCAAAAACATACTTACACTCATATGTTTATCACAGTACTACTCATAATAGCAAAGGTATGAGATCAACCTAGTATCTATCTATGGATGACTGGATAATGAAAATGTGTTATAGACAATGAAATACTATTCAGCCACTAAAAAGGAATGAAATCATGTATTTTGTAGCAACATGGATGAAACTGGAGGCAATTATCTTAAATGAAACAAGACAAACACAGAAAGAAATATCACATGTTCTCACTCATCAGTAGGATTGAAACAATGTGTACACATAGACTAGAGTATGAAATGATAGACAATGAAAACTTGAAAGGGTAAGGGTGTGGGAGAGTGAATAAGAAATTACTTAATGGGTACAAGGTACAATATTCAGGTGATAGATACCCTAAAAGCCCTGACTTCATTACTAAACAATCTTGTACTCCATAAATTTATTTTAAAAAAAAGAGGAGTGATATAGTTAAGAAAATGTGCTTTCAGTGCCAAGCAAGCAAAACCATGTTTTGCCTGTCTTTCAGATATGTCTATATTCAATTCAACCCAGTTACTGATGTTTTTCTATCTTAGGAACAAAAGATTTAATTTTATGTATTGGCAAACCGCTCTGCATGATTGTTCCTCTAAAGTTTCCATATGTGAAGTTATGACAAATAAGAACCAGGCCATGCTGGAGCAGATTAAAATGGCTTGAGCAAAACATTATTATTAAATAGTGAACTGGTGACACCAATATTTCCTATGGATATAGATGTAGTCTTATGACAAGGACAACTTTCAGTATCACCAGTTAAAGCTAGTTTACTACTAAACTTGGCAAACAAAATTAAAGAAACTGATTCTAGCTTCCAAGAGAAAGAAATACTCTCACCTCTTGTTTTTCTTTAAAGCAGACAAATGGAAGACATTAAATACAGGTGCTTACACTATGCCTTGCCCCCAGATCAGTAAGTGTTGAAATAATTTTTTTAATTATCAAAATTTTATTCAGAGAAATGTCTCATTAAGTAAATGCTTAGAAAATGACAAGGCCTTAATAGTACCTAGAATGGCTTAAGGGTATGTTTGCCTAATCCTATGTGATCTTCACATAGGCAAGTATATATATAGAGAGCCCCCCAAAAGGATGGAGTTGCTGTGCCAGTTATAATTCCCAAGTGTTCTGCCATTGGCATTCTAAGAATCAGCTCTGTCCAGGATGATAGTGAGTAGAAACAATGTGAGACTATTAACAAGGTTTACTCTAATGAGGGTTATGACGCATGGCCAAGGCATGTGCAGCCCTTTCCAATCTGTCGCTTGGCAGTTTGTGTTGAAGAAGTTACATGATCAGAGTTTTATGCTCATATAATGGATCCAAAGTCACCCAAAATATGTAGTAAGACGCATAGACAAGTAGATGTCTGTCCATGGGCTTCTTGTTTTTATCTGCTATTAGTCAAGTGCATCACTCAAGGTGAAGGTCTCATGTGAGGGTGATCTCACTTCAACATCTGCCACCCACTGATCACCAGGGTTGATTCAGCTGATGTCTGGCTATGCGGGTGTCCCCTTTCTCCACTGTTCCACGTGTAGCCCTCCTCAAGTTGAAAACTTGGTTGAAGAGTATGACCTTCCCTGATAGGAAAGGACCATTCTTTAATAAAGGTGTGCAAGTAGCTCTGCAAGCTCTCAAGGTAAAGGTGTCTCCTGCACTGCCAGTCTTATAGTCAATCACTGCAAATAGCAAGAAGCCTAATTTCTGCGAGATTCTAAGTTGCGATCCATCTTGCCAGTTTCGTTTGTAAGCAAGGACGTCTGCATTTAAATAAACAAAGGGCCTTGCAAACTTTTAATAACAAGAAGTTCTAGATAAGCTGAAGGAGAAATATTTTAAATTCATTTTTCTGCAGCCAATTAGGCATACATAACAGTAAATGTGACTTTAGAAATGAATTAAGTGACTACTGTATTTTAAGTCTCTTTACATTTAAGTAAAAGGCTTAGTCTGTCCATTATAGTAGAATGGTTCCAGAATATTATTATCTTTTTTTTTTTTTTTTGAGATGGAGTCTCACCCTGTCGCCCAGGCTGGAGTGCAGTGGCACGATCTCGGCTCACTGCAAGCTCCACCTCCCGGGTTCATGCCATTCTCCTGCCTCAGCCTCCCGAGTAGCTGGAACTACAGGCGCCCGCCACCAGGACAGGCTTTTTTTTTTTTTTTTTTTTTTTTTTTGTATTTTTTTTGTATTTTTAGTAGAGATGGGGTTTCACTGTGTTAGCCAGGATGCTCTTGATCTCCTGACCTCATGATCCGCCCGCCTCGGCCTCCCAAACTGCTGGGATTACAGGCGTGAGCCACCGCACCCGGCACAGAATATTATTAACTTAATCACCAAATACTGAAGTCATAGAATCAGACTAGATCTTAGCAAGACCTGATCCACTACAATAATCATAGCAAAATTACTCATCAGAAGCAAAGGATTAGATATATACATAGCAACATGGACAGACCTTAAAAATACAGTGCTTAATGAAAACAGAAAGAAAAATGCATTCATTCATTAAAAAAATACACATTTTGCAGGAAAACATACAAATGAAAAGATACACACTAAAGACGTTAGAATAGTTGCCTGACAGGGAGGGAGGAAGTTGAAGAGGAGAGGAATATGGGGATAAAATGGCTAAACAAACAAACAAGACAGGAGCCCTGCATAGGCCAATGATGATAATGTACCGTAAGCAAAGAGTCTATAATTAACTCTGTACTTGAGGTCCAAACTGGTGTGTGGGGGGAGAAGAGAAGGAGAACAGACCTTATGAAAATGTAGTCTAACATGTTAATTCTCCTCCTTACTGTCATAGATTATAAATCCAGGGGCCATAGAACTATCCTTTATTTTTTCAATTTAGTGCATAATACAAATAATTTTCAAAGAGGAATGCAATAAACACTTAATTATGATGACAAAGGTGCCAGTATATTATTCTTTTTGCCTACCCCAAAATGCTTTCTGTGTACATTCCATTTTAACTTTGTTCAGTTCACAGTGCAGCGAAAACTAGAAAATTCTGAAGAATCAAACTTACCTTCAAAGCTTTCATTTATGACTCCACTGTTGTTTGCTTCATCTCTGGACTTATAAATGCTATTTAAGAAAAAATTTCTGAATAACTGAAGTTGGTCCTGAATTCTATGAAAAGTAGGTCTTTGGTCGGGTTCTTGAGCCCAGCACTGGGTCATTAAATTCCACCTAAATATATGGGGAAAGATGGGAAAGTAAATAGCAATTGGATATAATTACTGATAACCCAGGTAGGGTCATTTTAGAAAGGAAAGAATCTGAGTTATTGCCAGTTTTCCTTAATTAATATAAGTGAATCAAAACAAAGGCTTTGATTTCTTATTTAAGAGTGGCTTTTAACATTACTACGTTTATTAGATAACACCTTTCTTTTGAAAAGCTGACATTATTTTAACAGTTATTATTCCAAATAAATAGATGGATAAGTAGATGGTGGGAAAATATCTACTCAACACTCAACTACTCAAGGTGAAGGTCTCCTGTGAGGGTGATCTGGCTTCAACATCTACCACCCATTGATCACCAGGGTTGATTCAGCTGATGTCTGGCTATACAGGTGTCCCTTTCCTCCAGTGTTCCATGCGTAACCCTCCTGAAGTTGAAAACTTGGTTGGAGAGGATGACCTTCCCTGATAGAAGAGGACCATTCTTTAATCAAGGGTGTTCAAGTAGCTCTCTAAGCTCTCAAGGTAAAGGTCTCACCTGCACTGTCAGTCTTATAGTCAATCATAATGTATCAACACATAAAGAAACTAATAGCTATAAAAATTGTTGAAGAGGCTGACATTTAAAAGATTTACTCCATTCCACACAGATATTTAGTGACAGAACTAGAAGCAGCAATCAGATTTGATGCCAGTGTTTTACTGTTCATTATAGTCAGGTTGAGTTCCCTAGACATTCACAGCTGGTTAATTAAACATTATCTTTTCCTTAATGGTTGTCCAAGAAATATCTGTGCAGCACTCTTAAGTAGTATTCATTCATTCACTCAGCAAAGATGTTGGACACTTGTTTTATACCAGCAGTATATCAGGAGCTAGGGACATGGCCATGTGACTCTTGTCCTCATAGATGATATGTATAGTAATTATAAGAGAAAGGCAAAATTCATCACACCTCAACTCATATAAGCAGAAAAATTGTAAGTATTTTATATTGTTTATAATTAACTAGGTCTTTTTCAGAGTCCCTACCTAGCATAAGAAAAGAAACTTCATTTAGTACAATGTTGTTTATAACTTAGTCCCACTATTTTAAACAATCTTTTTAAGTAATATTCAGTCTTTTCTGGATAATAACCCAACCTCTCTTATTTTCAGGCCATCCCCACTCCCTCTGCCTTCCTGTCTAAGGTAGTGTCAGGATATATGTTGAGTACGAGGCTTATGTGACTTCTAGAGGCATGGTGAAGAATCCTTTGAACCCCACTGTGCCCTCCATATCTTTGATAGTCTCAGTGGCTAATCCAGAATTCAATAAGGAGTGACTTATCTGATCCAGCCTAGGCATCAGCCCCTATTGGCAATCTGTGAATTATTTACCTATTCTTTTGACGCTTCCCCACTACAGTGGTCCAAACTTGTCTATCTCTAGCTGTAGGATTCTTAGATGCTATCAAGCCCTGTAGATGCTCTCAAGGCCCAGGGAATCCATTCCTGTTTCTGCTGTAGGCCCACAGGGTGCTACTTGGCAGAATCTCTAGCTCTCAACAAAATGTTCACCCAATATAGGAAACAAAGGAAGTTTGGAAGCATAAGCTAGACCTTTCTGTCTGGACAAGTCATTCTACCTTCTTGACAATGCTGGGTCTCCCATGTCAAAGTGAGGGTCCTCCACTCAATGATCTCTTTGTAATTCTCCCAAACTAGGGGTGACTGAGCAGTTGGCTTTGGTGGTACCCATCTCTTCTAATTGAAGCCTACAGAGGAGGTTTCCAAACCCAGATATCCAGTATCTTCACCCTCCCGCCTCTATCAAGTTCTCTTCTTTCTTCACTTCCCCAGGGCTTGGAAGGAATGAGGGCTCTATTCACTGCCTTTTTTAATTTGACTATCCTTATATAAAATTGTATGTTTTTACACAGACAATTAAAATCTAGTACTTAAAACATTAACAAGGAGCTAAAGGACTGTAGATGCTCTCTATATTCCAAGCCTGGTTTTCAAGCCTACTGACTTATTATAAACAAGTACTTGCTCTCATTTTTTACTTTCTGGAGCTATATGGCAGATCAGGATCAGGGAGAGAGAACTGATAAAGAAACAGATTGGGAGGTACTTAAAATATTAGTACTACTATATGAACAAATATACAATCACAAATTATAAGTTCTTTGCAAAGTTATAAAGAAAACAAACACGAGTTCTAATAGACATGAAACAGTTTTGGAAAGTTGCTTACAGAAGGCCCCTCTCCAGAGGTGACATTTAAGCCAAAGAACTTTGTAAGAAAATAAGATACTACTCATGGGAATAGGGTGTGGATGGGAGTCAGGGAACTACAAGTGGGGAAAGCATGTGTAAAGTCCTAAATTTGGAAAGAGCTTGGCACATTTTAGAACCTGAAAGAAAGCCAGTGTCACTGAAGTGTGGTCATTGAGGGGAAAGGATGAGATGAGATCAGAGGAGGGAAGCGAGATCATGCAGGTCTCACAGGGCAGGCAAGGAGTTGGATTTTACAACACTACAAGGGGAAGCTTTTCAAGATTTTTAAGCGGACATAATCTTTACATTTTTTAAGGATTATTCTAGCAGATATGTGGACTATAAATTATAAAGGGGCAGGTTGGAAACTATTAAAGAAGACTAGATGAGAGATAATGATGGTGTGGACTGAGGTAATGCCTGTGGAGCTAGAACAAGATTATAATCACTAGGTAACGATGGCCCAGAAATCATTATAGGTATTGTATTTAAAATAGCTAGTATCCATTTGGGGAATTATAATGCAATCTCCATTCCATTATAATATGGCATACAAACTCCACTTCCATTTATTTCGTTTCCTAACAAGCACCTCAGGTCAGAGTTGGTACACCATATCAGAATAAATGGTATCAAGGAAAACCAATATTGGACTGTTTCAATGTATTGATCTGATGACTTCACATGTATTACAAGCAATTTACATAATGGGTATACAGTGCCAAGCTTGGCTCTATTTTTTAAAATTAGAATCATATCTGAGAAATAACCAAAAGACAACCTAATCTTTTACATAGTTCTCTATAACCTGTGCCATTTAGAAATGGGGATGATACAAAGATGTCAATGAAGGATCATTAGCCTTTGAAATGAGATATTATAATCGATGTCAGATCACAGAATTTAAAAAATAAAGTAGAGTTTTGATGATTAATCTAACAGTTGTCCTCAGAGTTGAGAGGAAAAAGTGAAGCATTTTATTTTTGAAAATAAAGCTGTGATTCAAAAATATTGCCAAGGCATAGAGAGAATCTCTCAAGGTTGGTCATATTTCAGTTAGGAGGTTTTTACAGTTGTCCCTCCTTATCAGTTTTGCTTTCTATGGTTTCAGTTAGTTGAGGTTAACCATGGTCCAAAAATATTTAAAGGAAAATTCCAGAAATGAACAGTTCATAAGTTTTAAATTGTATGCCATTCTGAGTAGTGTAATGAAACATGAAACTGAGACATGAAACTATCCCTTTGTCCAGCATATCTATGCTGTATATGCTACCTACCCATTAGTTGACTAGGTTGTCAGATCAAGAAAACATAGTGTATATAAGGTTGGGTATTGATACGATTTGGCCCTGCGTCCCCACCCAAATCTCATGTAGAATTGTATCACCAGTGTTGGAGGAGGGGCCTGGTGGGAGGTGACTGAATCATGGGGGCAGATTTCCACCTTGCTGCTTTGGTGATAAGAGTTCTTATGAGATCTGGTTGTTTAAAAGTGTAGCACCTCCTTGTTTCTTCCTCTTGCTCCCTCTTTGCCTCCTGTTCTGGCCATGGGAAAGACTGTGCCTGCTTCCCCTTCACCCTCTGCCATGATTGTAAGCTTCCTGAGGCCTCCTGAGCCGTGCTTCCTGTAGAGCCTGTGGAACCATGAGCCAATTAAACCTCTTTTCTTTATAAATTACCCAGGTTCTTTATAAATTACCCAGCTTCTTTATAAGTTACCAGTTCCTGATAGTAGTGTGAGAATGAACTAATACAGGTATTATTCTTGGCTTCAGGCATCCACTGGGGGCCTTGGAACATATCTCCCACAAAAAAGGGCTATTGCCATACTTACTTATAACCTGCTTTATTCTGCAAAAAAATCAAGATACTTAGTGAGATTATTTAGAAGGAGAGAAAGAAAAAGAAGAAGGAAGAGGAGGCCCGGGAAGAGGAAGGTGGGGGAAAAAGAAACCATCCTTACAGCTGCCACTTAGCCACTTGCACATCACTCACTCATTCTACCTCCAAAAGTTCAGCCTCTTGTTTAATCTATAAAATCCACTTAAGCAGAAATTAGAAATTCCTATTTTTTTCAATTATGGAGGCTTAAATTTACATTTAATCCAATCATTACTCTGTACTTAATTTTCTGATGACAAACACATTTGACCTGTTAATATATAAACCCTTTCTGTTCCACCATGTAGGGACAAATGAGGACTAAGAAAAGAGGAGCTATATAAGCAACAGTCATCTAAAAGTAAAGAATAAAACTTCGGTTCTCAAATAGCAATAAACTGGCAATGGAATGAAATGAAGAGGCTTTTAATAATCCTAAATGTATTTCTTATATCTTGTAAGTAAATTAACAATGAAAACTATAGTCTTGGCATGGAGGATCTTCCCTTACAAATATGTCCTTGTCACCATTCTATATCATGCAGTGTATACTCGCACCAAGTTATAGTTACAAATATTCAAACATATTACTCTAAACAAATTTGCAGGTCCTTCAAGTTTGTTAAAATTTACCTGGGCTGGTTGTTTTGGCTCCAGAAAAATACTCATTATACTTGAAGTATCTCATTTGGCTAAGTAGAGGTTCCAATTCCTCCACTCACCATGCAAACTCTTTACAACTCTTCTCCTCAAGTTTTTTTTTTTTTTTTTTTCAAAATAGCACAGGACTCATTAGCTATATCCAATGTTAGCCTCTATGCATATTAAAGACTTTGAATTCACAAAGCAATTGAACTTCAATACATGAAAACGTCATAGTATTTTTCAGTATTAAAGGGAAAAGTTTCTACAGGTATTTAAACAAAGTACATAAAATACAGCCTTCAAGATTTTCCTTACTTATTATACCTAATCCTGGAGAGATCCGATTAGTATCTAGGTGTACATATTTTTTTAAGATGTAAAAATAACATGGTGAACCTCTGTGTTCTCCCACGGTTGCCTCCCACACCTGAGGGACTCTCCAGTAATTCCAGTTGCCACTGTGATATATCTGTTATAAAACCCCAGAAAGCTCTCACTTGAAGTAGATTGCCCTTTGATCCCATTTCTTCTCAGGAGTGGTGTGGTTGTTGTGCAAACTAAAAACTGAAGAGAATCCTGATGGCTGGGCTTTCTATCGTACATCTCAGGCTATGGAGAGAAGGGCAGGAATGCTCTGAACCTGGCATTCCATTAATAGCTGAGTACAGCATAGCTATCTATGGGCTCACCTGACCTGGAGTGCATCCAGGTGCTGAGTATTTAAGCAGTAAATGGAAGGTGTAGCAGGGCTCAGTGCAGACTTTCAAACCCCTAAGCTGGGCCTGTGATCTCAGAAAACTGCTTCAAATAAATATCAGTTCCCTCTGTACTCTAAGGAGAGTAGTTAATCTTTATCATGACAACTTAAGGCCATGGCCAGATTGAATGGTATTGCTGAGATCTCCATTTCCTAGCCCAGCTTGTTTTCCTGGTTGGCAACGGATCTTTAACCCTTCCCAGGGCTTGTTAGAGTCCTGCAGCACTTGGAGGGCTTGATGCATGGCTTATTTTTATTAATGATGTTCAAATGAACTTCAAAACCACCAATGGAAAATTTTCATTTCAAATAAACTATATTTTTATTAAAACAATGGCAATCCAATCAATAAATTATTCAAGATAAAACTGTATAGAATATTATATTTTTCCACTCATAATCAGGAATACTTTTCTAGCACTGCTCCTTCCTCCTTCTAGTTGCATTTTTTATACCTTTAGATAGAGCAAAGTTCAACTTGTCTACCTTTTTCTGCTCCACAATACAGCAATTTGTTATTAACCCCCCTGCCCCAAACAAAATAATCAAACACATCAGTCAAAACTGATAGTTTAGTGATCAATTTCAAAGCTGCCTATCCAAAAATATTGCATGATTGTGACGAGGCACGTTAACCCTTGGGGAGAGAGTGGCATAAGCCAGATAACATTCTAACAGCACAAGGAAAATTTTGTGCAACTGAAATTCTGGCAAAAATTTCTGAGTGTTTGACAGAGGTGTAAGAGATGCAAAACAGTGATTAGTTTGTAAATATTTAATTAAAATTTATTTTGTATTTAGGTATCCTGGGCTTTTTTCTTAAACCCTACATGAAAGGTTTTCAAATTTTGTATAATTTCTTATCCTTAATTTATATAATTTTTCCCCATTTCCCCCCAAAATGATTATGAATCATTTTTTATGCACTACTATCAAATTTGGTCAGATGTGTGTGTATCTGATCTCCCTGTAAACATCGCAGAGACTATTAAGTTAAATCAGAAACAAGCGGTAATTCCAATCTTCTTCTAGCTGGAAGATTTAAATAATACAAAAACATTCACCAGTAGAACATCTAACCAAGGTGCCCAGCTCTTAATCATCTTTTGGCTCAAGTCTGAATAATCCTCTAAATAACACAGCATAGTCAAGGCAGTACAACCATGGTGTGCATCCGCATACTGCTAATTCCTTTTGCACTTGCCTGTACCACACAGTTTAGCACTTTATTACATGTTGGCTTGGCATCCAACTGCTCTCTGTGGGTGTCTTTTCATTCAAAACACATTCTGAGATGCTGAAGAGCTGTGTCCCTGGTTTAAACACCTCTGTAATCCATACAATCCTTGGCATGCTATGGTGCACATGGAGAGTTCATACTTATTTGCTCTTTTAGGAACTTCTTGGGTAAGACAATTCTTGGAAAAAGTTGTCAAGACTTAATATTTCTGCTGATACTTTCCACAAGGAGGCAGATTAATACTCAGAATAAAAACCTTTTTCCTTATAATTTGACTAAAATTCACTCACTCTTCTGAGAAATCACTATTGGAATTCAATAATGGCCAGGATTCGCTAAAGTTACAATACTTAGTCATTTTTTGTTATGTTCATAAACAGGTCACAACCTGTATAATTTTTAGTAATACTATTTCTTATTAGTCAATGTCAGCTATATCAACAAAGGGAATCCAACTTTTTAACAATATATTCCCATTTAGTATAATATTTTAATATGTAGATTAAGATACTAGTCAAATCATATCTCCCAAAATAAAAGGCATATGTGTGTGTATACTCTCTCTCTCACACACACACACATACACTCGGAGTGCTTTTATTAGAATTCACTTAACCAGAAGTATTTTACTTAACCAGAAGTATTTTACTCTCCAAAATTTTGTTTCTCAGTGAAATATCATGTGTATATACAATTAAAAAGAAGCCATAATATATTCACAAATTGACACAATGAATTGATATTTTATGTGGGGTATACAATATTTAAGTTCCAGTTCTTATTTTAACAATTTAACAAACTATATCAAGAGGCCTAAGATTGTATGTGCACATGTTTTTGTTTGGGGGATACATATGTTAACATAATTAACTTACAGATCATCAGGACAATTTCTTGGTGGCTCCAGTCTCCCTCCTGTTTGCACATAGTTTAACACATCAAGGTTGGAATGAGCTGGATAAGGCTGATGACCAAGAGTTAAAATCTCCCAAATCAGAATTCCAAAAGACCTAAGAATAGTAGAGGGTTTGCTTTAATTATACTTATTACAAACACCAGGTTTACAGTAGTTTCTCCAACAACATTTTTCCTGGGGCTAGCAGGGTCTACTTTGTCAGTGTATTATTGGCCTCATAAAAGGCAAACGGCAGATATAAAAGCAGGCTGACAAGAAAAAGTAGAACAAGACACTGCGTATGAGCAAATACTTCAAAGGTGATAGGAAGGCTTGGAGGAGGCACACATGTGCACACACAGAGACAGACTCATATGCATGCTCACATGCATGCACATCCACGCACATATACACATATGCACACACAGAAACAGACACACATGCACATGCATGCACACACAGAAACACGTGCACACACATACATGCATATATACATGTATACACACAACTCATACTCTGTTTCTCTCCCTGACTGAATCCCCACTGTAGGCCTCCATTATCTAAGAATTTCAGAGCATTGACATGCAGACACACCAAAGGGTGAGCACAAAAACATTTCAGCATTTTCCTCCCAAGTTTGCAGGGGATAAAGTGCCAGTAAACATTGAGAGGGAAGGCATGAATAAAAATTGGCAGCACTGAGAAATTTTATCTCATTCGTAATTTTGCCTAGGGCCAGCCCAACTTAAAAGTCATTGAACAAACTTTTACATTTTGAGCTGTTCTATTCAAAAGTTGGAGTCAACAAACAAAAATAAGGGGCATCATTCAAATAATAAAGGGATGTCCAAATCTCCCCAGTGTCCTAATCTTTTAGGATACTTTTAAATCCATGATTTAAAGTTTACTGATAAATTAATGACCAAACATTCCCAAATAGTAGGTATTTGGGCACACACTTGGACATTAATTCCTAAGTACCAATTCCTATTAGTCATAGGCTTTTACATCTTTGGAATGTAATAAAATATTTGAATGAAATGTATCTATTTCATAACAAAACTGATTCAGGGAGGAGCATAAACTGCTGAGACCCAGGAATAGTACCACCTTGACCACCAACTCTCACTTTAGCTTGAGGCAAATCACTTAATCTCTCTGGTCTTCTGTTTTCTCACATTAAAAAAGCAAGATTAGATGTCCTTTTAAAATCCCCTCTAATGTTTGATGATTCTGTCAGCATTACTCTGTGTCCCGTTAAACTTACCATACATCAGATTGAGTAGTGAAGATTCCATCCATCAAACTTTCTGGAGCCATCCACCGAACTGGGAGCAGGCCTTCCCCTCTCTTTCTATAGTAATCATTTTTATAGATGTCTCTGGCGAGTCCAAAGTCTCCAATCTTCACTATCCGTGGACTGGTATAGTCTTTCACGGAAACAAGGCAATTTCTAGCTGCCAGATCCCTGTGGCAGAAGTTATATTTAATAATAATAATAATAACAACAATAAAGTTCCAGAAATCAAAGAAGTAGCCCTAGTAGGTCTGTAAAGAAGAGAAACTATTTTTTTTTTTTTTACTTTAAGTTCTGGATTACATGTGCTGAACATGAAGTTTGTTACATAGGTATACATGTGCCATGGTGGTTTGCTGCACCTATCAACCTGTCATCTAGATTTTAAGCCCTGCCTGCATTAGGTATTTCTCCTAATGCTCTCCCTTCCCTTGCCCCCAACCCCAGACAGGCCCTGGTGTATGATGTTCCCCTCCCTGTGTCCATGTGTTCTCATTGTTCAACTCCCACTTATGAGTGAGAACCTGCTTTGGTTTTCTGTTCCTGTGTTAGTTTGCTGAGGATAATGGTTTCCAGCTTCATCCATGTTCCCTCAAAGGACATGAACTCATTCTTTTTTATGGCTGCATAGTATTTCATGGTGTATATGTGCCACATTTTCTTTACCCAGTCTATCATCGATGGGCATTTGCGTTGGTTCCAAGTCTTTGCTATTGAAAATAGTGATGCAATAAACATACATGTGCATGTGTCTTTACAGTAGAATGATTTATAAGAGAGACTTTTAATAGAAATTATTGCTAGTTTGAAGGAATTAAAATGTTTAATTATCTTGTGTGCTTTACCTGCACTACAGGTGATTATTGTGCCAATATCCGTAATAACCCTGTATCCAGAAGAGAATTGTACCTGTGAATGAAATGCATCCGTTCCAAGTAGACACAGCCTTTTGAAATATCTACACACAGGTCTACAAGGTCAACCAAGGTGAGTAAAGGACCATAAAACTGTAAGAAATGAAAGAAAAATTACAGGTAGTTATCTAGTTTGCATGAAATATATACATATATGTGTGAATATAAGTGGATACATGTATATGCATATGCATGTATGTATCTGATGTTTTAAAGGGATTTTTAGTTATGATTATAAGAATTCAAACAAAGAGGAAAACAAATTTATATGTTTCCTACGCAAATATACATAAAAAATGACAGCTATGTTTAGTAAGTAGAGGCAATATGGAATCTTTATTGGAAAGACCTCCAGGTGTCAGGTCAGACAGATCGAGATGTGAAACCTAGTTCTGCTACTTACTAGTTGTGTGAACTTGCTTAAGTTACTTAACTCACTAAGCAAATTTCTCATGTGTAAAATGGGCAATAATACTGACCTTGCAAAATTCAAGTAAGTTACATATATGGCTGGTCGATAACAGGCACTTAATAAACAGTTGCTGCTCTCATAAGTAGTCAAAATGATCATTTAAGTGCTAGCTGGTTTAATTATTGACCCAATGGCACTCTGTCTTGCCAGTCATGATAATGGGCTTGTTTCTCATACGAGCCCCATGCAAATTGTTAGCAATACCCTATTTCAAAGTTTCAAATTACTCCTCTCATCTAAGAGAGTGAGTACAAACATACACTTGAGCCTGTACTGGTTGCAATGATTTCTACATGAAAAGAAGCCAGTTGAAGTTTTTATTAGTACCATACTGGGAAAATTCAAAGTTCCTGCCCTGAAGCTATATTACATTGTCTGTCCCTTTCCATTGTCCTGCAATTACCCTGGTTCAAGCTTTTGTCATCCCTAATTTGATGCATTCAAAAATTTCCCTTGTCTCCAGCCTCCTGTGCTTTTTCATTAGCTTGATTTGTTGTGACCCCCTTCCTGTAGAGTCCATTATGAATTCCTGAGCACAGCCTCCACAGCACCCCCAGGCTGCACCAGCCTTTCTACAAGTCTATTAATTTCCTACTGTTTCTCCTCTCTCAATCTGTGCTTCCGTTACACTGGTCCGATTGCAGTTCCTTATACCTACTCTGCATTTCTCAGCCTCTCTTCTTTATTCCTGCTATCATTTTTTCTCCTGGAATGTGCTCCTGTTTCTTGATTTCCATGGACAGCCTTAGCTGAGTATCTCAAATGATTCCAAACCTCCAAGTCCCTCAATTCCTTAAAAACAAATGCTCTTAAGTGGTGTTCTCCCTACCTCCCCTGACACGTTTATCTCTTGCTCCCAAACTAGGAATAATCCTGATGTTCTGGGGCTCACTATTGCCATGGTTCTGCTCAGCCACACCTAGGGCTAATAACTAGGCTATGACCTTACTCCCAAATCAATATCCTCCAACCCTATTATCATGGCCCGTATCTGAGTCCCTGCTGGATGTCTTGAATGGTTCACTGGTTCCTGTGTACATGGAACCCTGCTCTGCTCTTGACAAAACCTACTCTACCTGTGAAGACTTTCTCTAGGCCTAGGATCCTACTCCCTAATTTCAGTCTGGTGGCTAGTGCCCTGTTCCCTGCTGACAGATTTTCATAATGCTGCCTGCCTGCTTGGATCTCTGACTATTCTCTCTTTCTGATATCCCATGTATCAACCTGTTGGGATACCTCATCACTGCATGTTGGGTTTCCTTGACTCTAGATGCTACTCTGGACTACCACCTGTCATCTCTTGTTAAACCCTTCAGATAGATTAAACTTTGATCTCAATCTATCCCTAGTCAAAGCCTTTCATAACTCAGTGGGAAAGTATAGTTCAGCTACTGTTCTACCTCCTGCTTTGGTTGTGTCTGAATCAGAAGACCTCTTCCATGAAGCCCTCTCAGGTTTCCTCAGTTGGAAATCACTCCTTCCTCTGGGCTTCTGCAGTATATTCTCCACTGCACTCTAATGAGTCCACCTACTTCCTACTTTAAGTGGATTATTTAGGTATCTGTAGACTTGTGTCTGTAGACTTACAACCTACCATGTAGCAAGTTCCTTGAGTGCAAGAACTACATCCTTCACCGTTGTATAGCAAACACCCAGGAAAAATTTGGTGAATTTAATGTTATCTGGAAGGCAGCACATTTACTACATATTTGTATTACTTTGACAGTTTTTTGTTTGTTTGTTTCGCTTTTTTCTATCTTAATACAATCCTTTTAACAAAAGTTAAGGCTAGGTGTGGTATCTCATGCCTGTAATCCCAGGACTGTGGGAGGCCAAGGCAGGCAGATTACTTGAGGTCATCAGGAGTTCGAGACCAGCCTGACCAACATGGTGAAATTTTGTCTCTACTACAAAAAATATACAAAAATTAGCTGGGTATGGTGGCATATGTCTGTAGTCCCAACTACTCAGGAGGCTGAGGCAAGAGAATTACTTGAACCTGGGAGGCAGAGGTTGCAGTGAGCCAAGATCACGCCACTGCACTTCAACCTGGGCCACAGAGAAAGACTCTGTCCAAAAAAAAAAAAAAGTTAAAAGGAGACTTAGGAAGCTTTTGATTCAATATTCCATTTTGTAGATAAAGAAACTGAGTCCTCAGAACAAAGGACTAGACTAAGCTTTCCGGGCCTAGCTGCAGTCAATTCTTAGGCATTCAACCCAATAAAATAGTCCTTGAATGCAGGGAGAAAGAGAAAAAGGCCTCTGCTGGTTCTTCTGAGATAGTGCCTCTGAGCACTCCATGTGGGGAGAGGCTGGCCTCAAAAGAAGTCAGCAGGAGGGAGAGTAGCATTTGTGATGGCTCCCATAGGCCTCAGGCCTTCATTCTGCCTTCAGCACCTAACGATGTCTCTATGGTTGCAGCGAAGGAGACGAAGCCCTGGAAGCTGTTTTTGGCAACCACCAGGAAAGGCTGCGGAACAGCTGAAGTGCATGTGAGAACCAATCTTTATAAGCATTAGGATCCTGGGTGACTCAAAACGATCTGGAAAAAGTAGATCCACTTTTTTTTTCAGTCCATCCTTTTTCATCCTCTCTTCACTTTTCATACCCCCAGCCCCACCACAAAACAAGACAAATCTACAAATAAAATTTATTGTTTAAGATGAGGGATTGAATGTGCGCATTTTTAGTTCCACTCTCTCCCCAAACCTTACTAACATGGCAGTATAGTGAAAATTTTCATAATTTCACAAGGGCAAATCAACTGTCATGAGAACTGACATGGCAGACAAAGCATTCTGGAAGAGGGAAAGCAGATGGAGGAGTGGTAATTTAGCAGAGCCAAGAGAGATGAAAGCTGACTGCCTACAGAAAGAAAAGGCAAGAATTGAGCTGTTTTTCACTATGGAAGCTCATAGTCTCCAGAATGGGAGGCAGCAGGTATCCCTGAATACAGGGACAAGAAGAAGGACTGAAAGCAAAAAGAACGTTTAGGTTATTTAAGGCCTAACTAAATCATAGATTCTTCTACCACAGATGAAGGCTTTTGTCTATAGAAAACAAACAAATAAAAACAACAGAAACCTGAACCAGAACAACTCCAAGTTCAGAGATACTACCAGTCACACTGAGGCACTGTACTGAAATGCAGAGAATTAAAATTAAATGAGAGTCCACATACTGAGCCTTGAGACCTCCAGCCCCCTCTAAACGCTCTGAGTTGATGCATCAGGCATTTACTGTCCAGAGGAGAAACGAGCAATTTCCTCCCTGGTTAAACTGGCATATGTCAGGGAAAAGATTCAGTTACTGACATTGGAGGACCCCCAGTGGAAGAGCAGGGTCCCACCTAACACCAAAAGGAAGCTTCCTTGGACACATAGGTTCCCATCATTTTGTTAGGCCTCACGATTAAATATGAAACCAGCCAAGAATACTAAACATTTGAGAAAGATTCTCACATTGAATCAGATTCCAAAACAAAGAGGAACAAGGAAGCCAAGACAATGCAGGAAGCAAATTAACACTCTTTGAAAAGCATAATTAATACCCTAAAAGAAGATGAGTAAAATTTTGCATCTATGAACAAAACCAGAATATTATTTTAAAAAGCAGTCAAAATACAAGAACAAGACTGTGAAAAATTAAAATATGTTAACAAAAATTTTTAATTCTACAAAAAGATTGGGGACAAAGTTGAGGAAGTCTATCACAATAGAAGGCAAAATGACAAAAGCTAGAAAATAGGAGAGAGCAGCTAATAGAATGAGAAGATGAAACAAAGCAGTCCGTTATAACAGGATTTCTAGAACAAAGAAATAGAGGGAATAAGGAATTCTATTCATTATCAAAGAGACAATGAAAAAAAATCCTGGAACTGAAGGGAATGATTAGCAAAGCAACTGTTACTTTACTATGAGTAAAGAGTACCACAGATAAAATTTTCCTCAAATTTTTGAAGGGGAGGAGGCAAAAAACAGACCACTGATAATAAGCTCAGGAATCAGAGTGGCATAAGAATTCTTATTGGCAATTGTAGAAGCGAGGAAAGAAAGATGTAGTGGCTTTATCTGTTAGATAAAGAGTTTTCAACCTAAAAGTCCAACCAAATTATCAACCAAGTGTGAGGGAAGAATAAAGGACGTTTTCTCAAAAATTAAAAAAAAGCAGATTTTTGCTGCACATGCATACTTTCTCTTCTAAAACAAACAAAAAGTCATGAGATACATGGAAAAAGTCCCACATGGACAAGAATTGAGGAAGATTCCCAGGTTGAATGTGAAGGAAACCCTAGAACAGCAGCTGTGTAGCTAGCCTAGAGCACAAGCATCCACACTGCTTCCAGGAAGGAAGTGTCCAAGAAAAAATTAAGTACTAGATTGTCTGATACTGTTAGCCATATTGAGAAAAGTGTTACAATTCAGTTGGGGAGTTTACGTATATAAAAACTAAAATGAAAACAAGAGATATTTATTAAACTAGCCTGAGAAAAAAACTTACATTAATAACATTTGGATAATTCAGCTCTAAAAATAATAATAATAACTAAATAGTTCTAATAATGCAAACCTGGAAGGATGGTTTATCTGCAAAATTGTGATAATTGTCAGAGGATGAGGCAAGCAAAGTTTTCCTGTGTGTAGCGTGGTGAGGGATGGACAGGTATATTATGAGGAAGTCTAAGAGAGTTAAATCCTCATCTTCCATACTGGGCAATCAATTTACCCCAAATTGAAAAATCAACATGTGTCAGTATGAGCAGACTATTTAGGAACTTGGCGGTAAATACCACAAGATACATGCGGGGCCTGAGAGGTAGGAATGAGGCAGTGCACAGGGCTCCTGTTTTTCACTATATGCTTTGTCACACATTTTAATTTTTTAGCCATATGATGTTTATTTTGATATAAAAATTTTTTTAATCCACCAGATTTAAACTTTGCTGACTTGTCTTATCTTACGTGTTCTCATCTAAGGTATAAGGTAGATTCCTACAGGTAGTCACCCCCAGTCCTGTCCGCCATTCCACAGTATTTCCAGGGTTCATAATGTGCTGTGCACTGCTCCAGGCACTGGGGATACAAGAGAAGAAGGACTGCGGCTGCGTTTTGCAGGCAGAGTTTGTTAGCATGGATGTAGGGAAAGAGAAAGCAAGGAAGTAGATGGGTGGAGTAGGAGAGGACGTACGAAATCAAGAGCTCCGTTTGGGGCAAAATATGTTTGAGATACCTACTAAAATCCAAAAAGATATGTCAACTAGAGAGGGACATACAAGTCTGGTACTCAGTAAAGACATCAAGACTGGAAATATAATTTGGGACAGACAGGCATATAGATTAAGTACAGAGATATGCCTTTCCAACTCCACGCTATCCCTGTGCTCCAGAAAAACATGATTCTGGCAATGAGGGTCATGTTCTCCCATTAAATACTAAAAACAGGCTCGGGCTCACATGACCAGAAAGTGCCAGAATGTTAGCCCAGGGTTCTGATTGTCAAAAGCTAATGTGAAGGAAACAGAATAATTCTTTCCATGTAAGTCTTCTAAGGTTTTACCACTGCAGCCTATTAAATTTAAAGAAAATTAATAGGGAATTATAGGGCATTTGCATTATGAAACCAATATTATGGATCCCAACTGCCTACCGTTGCCATCCGGGCTTTACGCAAATAAGTAAGAAGGTCTCCTCCCTCCATCAGTTCCAGGATAATGTATTGGGGTTCATTCAGCAGACAAACTCCAAGCTGCTTCAGAATGTTGGGATGATTAAATTTGCTGAAAGGTGGAAAGACACAGGCTGGATGATATGACAGAAGCAGGAGTCCTAGCCGAGGGTCTTTATGGAGTACAGCAATTCTTTATCAATAGTTTCCTTCAAAACCCCTGACTTAGTGTCTCTAACACTTCGTTTTCCAACTCCTGGTCTTTGTGCTTACCTTAAAGAGGTAATATGGCAACCCCTAGTGGCCATGAGTATGGATAAAATAGGTTGGTTTTTAGAAGGAATAACATTTGTATTAAGCATATTTTGGAAAAGAAAGTAATTTTGACTAGTAGCGTCCTTGAAAAGATATTTAAAAACATTGGGTTTTGGGTCATTACAGGTATGAAATATATCCTCTCCCTTTCAGGAAAACAACTCAGAAATGCGGGTTTGGCTACACAGTTTTCTCAAGACATCAAACCAAGTAAGTCCCAACCTAATAATTGGAACCCACAGCTTGAGACCCAATCAACCACTGCCTCAAGTCTTCCCATTAAGATGTGCTTGAGCAGTTTTTATGACCACAAACTCAAACTGATAGACAAGTTTACTAAGACAAAGGATATTTTCACTGACATTATAGCATTTGAGAGAACTCTCTCTTACTGGGTATACTTGACCATTATCACACATTTAGATGAATACAAGCATGTCAAAAGCCAAACAGCTTCAGAATTCATTTGCAAAACATGCTCCTTATTGAAGATAAAAGAAAGGAGAACCTTTTGTCTGAGGATTGCCTGTACCCAGGCTCAGAAGATTGGCCTCTATAGACTACTTGCTCTGCAGATGTAGTTCCATTTAAACGTTTCAACCATGTTGTTTTAGTCATGATCCGTTAAGTCATGTCATTTTGGGTGTTAAAAATAAGTCAAGCGGACTTAAAACTTCTTACCCATACCAGGAGAAAATTATTTCAGAGCTACCTCATCAGA
This sequence comes from Homo sapiens, assembly GCF_000001405.40. NCBI lineage: Eukaryota > Metazoa > Chordata > Mammalia > Primates > Hominidae > Homo > Homo sapiens. The sequence continues at coordinate 117,318,197 of NC_000006.12, forward strand.
TGTGCCTCCTTCAGGAATTCAATCTTCTCCTGGTCTGTGGAACCCTTCTTCAAAGTCTATACAACATAAAAACAAGTCAGGAATCAGTATAGCAGACATTTCTGTGAGCTCAGTGGGTTAATGGAGATTGTTCTGTTTGTTCTGTAATATCTACCCTGAAAGCTGGAAACAGATCGTAGATAAAACATGTGCATGTATTCTACAAACCCTTCAAATGTTACCTCCTGTTATTGCTAGTAGAAGAATATGCAAAATAAGAGGTCTAGTAATGTTTACACAATATTCCTCCAAAAGGTAGAAATTTTAAGAGACCAAGTTTTGTTGTTTAGGCCAATTTCTTAATTTTCAAAATTTTCTTTTCAATATGTTTTCTCCATCTCCTTGCTTTCGATTTATTTCTTGGAGGCCAGGTTCCCAGTCCCAAGCAATTGATCAAAGCTAATCATGAAAATTGTATTCTAAAATTCTCCAGCCTCCCTTGGAAATTGGGGTGGTCATATAACTCGGTGATGGTCAATGGCATATAAGAGAAAAACTGCTGAGGCGGGAAGGGAGCTTTGAAGAAGACTTTGCCTTCCTGAACATGTACATCTCACACCATCTTTCCTCCTCTCCCTGGCCCGAATGAAGATGTGATGCTTGCTTCTTTGTCAGCCATCTTGGAACAATGAGGCAGCAAGCATGAACAACAGCCAAGAAAATTTCAGAGATACTGGCTCTGACCTGACACACTATCCTGAACCAAAGCCAGCAGTCATCTTGTTACATGAGAGAAATAAACATTTGTTTAAAACAGTCAAGGTGGGAGTAAATTAAAGAACTTTTAAATGACATCATTTAGAAGCAGAGAGAATTTTGCCAACTTTTCTAGTTGTATAGCTCACTCTCAAAGCAATAAATCTCTAATAAGCAGAGATCAGGATATTGCTCAATTACATAAAAGATTCATCCTCCCTTTATCAAAAGAAAGTTTTTGCAAAAATATGAGTATATCAAGTGCTTCCTTAAAAATACATTAAGTATACTATGATAAATAATCATGTAGTCAGAGACTGACAAACTACAGCCTGTGGGCCAAATCCAGCCTGTCACCTCTTTTTGTATAGCCTATGATCTGAAAATGGCTTTTCCATTTTTAAATGGTTGAAAAAGTCAAAAGAATATTACTATTTCATGACATATGAAAATAATATAAAATTCAAATTTCAGTGTTCATAAGTAAAGTTTTATTGGTACACAGCCACACTCATTTATTTACATATTGTCTATGACAATACAATGGCAGAGTCTGTATGGTCAGCAAGCCTAAAATACTTACTATCTGCCCAGTTAAGAAAAGGTTTGCTGACCCTTGGTCTAGTACCTTAAGAATGTGTTTCACAACTCCAGTTCTCTTATGGCATGTTTGAAGAAAAATGATTGCCTGATAGGTCTTAGCTAATTAGTAGCCTTAGAGGTAATGCAAACCCTGGAGATTGTTGATTACAAACAATGTTCCTATGTAGGAAATGATTTTTTTTAAATGTGATTTCTGTAGCTATGGATAGGCTTCGACATTCAACCAGTCCTCTTTTCAACAAAGAGCACTCAACTTTTATTATAATTATATCCAGGTCAATCTTTGTAGATATGGTGATATAATGTGTCAAGGAGTTCGAAGATTCACATTACCTTCACTGCTACTTTGATTTCTCCACTTCCAACTCCTAAGATGTCCACTGCTGTTCCTTCATACACTTCTCCAAAGGCTCCACTTCCCAGCAAGAGACGCAGAGTCAGTTTTTCCCGAGGGAAGGCAGGAAGATTTTCAATCTCCTCTTGGGTTGGAAGAGTACTGTAAAATAGCAACATTTTTGTCTCCCCACCCTCCACATATATAGGGTGTACAAGTTTGTGTTGGTATTGGTATTTGTGTTTGAGAGAGAAAGAAATATCTCATGGCTTTGCAGTATTGTGTGTTTTATGTGACACGGTGATGTGGAACTTTGGGTTCCTAATTACTTTACTTTACTATTCTACAACCTTTTACCCAGACAGAGCATGATGGTCCACTTCTAGGCACCTTAATTTTGATAAAAATATATATGTGTATGCATTGCCTCAACACTTTTATTGTAGCTTGTTGAGTCAAAGTTAGTAGGTATTAACTTCTTCAGATTGCCAATTTGTATAAAAAGCTACTGCAAATTAGTAATAAATGCATCTGGGTTTATAAGCTTTTCTCTTAGCTATTTCACACATGTGACATCTTACGTAAAACAAAATTTACTATGACCAAAAAAATCAACCCCATCACCATAAGGTTAACTTTAAAAAGCCAAGTTTCTCACTTGGAATACTACAAGGGGGGAAAATGCTGCTATGTTAAAAATGCTTTCAATTTTTAATAGAGAATCTTGAGTAGCAGATATGCTGAGTATTTGCTCAAAGGAAAGTCACCTCTAAACAGCTGATTTAGATCACCTTTGTGTCTACTTCAAATCCTTTGTTTTTACACCTTGCATTATAAATTTCTGAAAGCAAGGCCTATGATCATTTAATTCCTTTTTGCATAGATCCTAATATAATGAACCTTTGCATAAGACACTTGAATATTTTCCTTAATTATGACGGCAACAAAAGTTCAAAACTCATCTATCTTAAGAAGGTTTTGTGGGCAATCATCACACAACTTCTGAAATGGAGTAAGATTGACTTAAGGCTGACCACGTAACACAAGGCTCTCAAAACTCCTCTCCTCTCAAACACTGCCTCCAGGTCAACCAACCATGTTACCATCTATTCTCTTCAATGTAATATTTTTCTCCTTCTTTCATTTGTTTTTGAGCTACATGACAAAATACTGGAAACTAATGGATTTTTCTGTATTTTTCTTAAAACCACATAATTTTCCATCCATCCCAGGTCACATTTGAGAGTGGAAGAGGAAGTTATTAATAATTATGCCAGAAAAACTGGTATAAACCATGACTGTCTTGGGCAATGCGGAATTCATAGGCACTCTCCTTACTGTTGCCCACCCTTTGCCTAGGTGCTCCATAATGATGGCCAAAGCTACATACTGTATTGCATAGCAGGCATTAGCCAGGCCTACTCCGGCTGCCAGACCTCGCAGCTCAGCCAACTCTTTGTCTTCGTTTATAAGCACTGTCACCCCTTCCTTGGCACTTTTTTGATTCTTTAATCTTCTATGCCAGACTATAAAGGAAAAAATGACATAATTTACAAAATAAAATATTGCTTCTTTTTTCCTTTAGGAAATGTTAACAGTGCATTTGAAGTGTTTTTATGCAAGAACACTATCAGTAGAATAGTTATAGAAGTTTTCATAATTTGATTTTAAAATATCTTATAAAAAACTAATTAAATCCAGGTAAAAAGCCATATATAAGTACACAAATCATACTACACCATTTTTAATCTCACTTCTTAAAATTTAATGTATTTCTTACTGTTGTTATAAACAAATTAAAGTATCTTAATATTAAAACTTATTTGTCAAAATCACCCATAAACGAGTCAAAATAAACCAAAACAAACATAATTATTAGTGAAACAAATTCATTTTTGAGTTCAGTCACATCCAGGTTATATTCCTCAGTAGAAAAGAAAATGCTTTCAGTATAATGGCAATTTTTTTTTTTTTTTTTTTTGCAGAGTACAAGAGTGTTTATCATTGTTGTTCATATACACATACTCGAATATGTAGAAAAAGTATTGGAACGAAGCTTACCAAATGTTAGCAGTGGTCTGCCCTAGTTGTAGAATCATGAGTAATTTGTACTGTCTTCCTTATATAATAAGCAGTATTAGTTTTATAATAATAAAATTTTTTTAATATTAAAATACAATTATGTCAATAGGATTGTCATCTGTACTGGACTATTGGCTCAGAAGTTGAAAGCAGCAAGCATGCTTTGAGAGATGATCATTAAAATTTGAACTTAATTTCACAGTAGCTTCTATGTTCAAGAAGTTAGAGTTTTATTCACATGAAATTCAATTTGAAGGGCTACACAGTGAAAGATCACAAGTACCTTTTGCTAAATTAATTTTTCCAACTTGAAATGTTCTCACCACCTCGCTTCACTTTTAAAGGCCCAATGTAAGCCCACATCCTCAATGATGCCTTCTGAAACCTCAGCAACCTCTACTAATCTTTCATATCTGAACTTGAAAGACTAATTGCGCCTCTCTGTGAGTGCTTATCCTATGCACTGTCTTACTTATTTCATCTATTTTTGTCTTTTGTTATTATTTAACACATATCTTGCTATTTGTCTTCCCACACAGGCATGTCTTAACTCCCTCATTAAATGGCAAGCTCCTGAGGTCAGCAGTTGTATTTTACAGGTTTACATTTTCCCCTACTCCCAGCAGAAGGCTAATGTTATGCATTAGATATGACTGCTCAGAAGCAAAGGCTGTCAACACTCATTTTAAAAATTGTCTAATTTTATGTTTATAACTGATGAGTGCCCTCAGCACAATACAAATTTTAAAATAATTGTGACTGTTTTGTTATTTTAATTACTCAATCTTTTCTCATGCACACACACGCTCTTACTAGTAAAACCACATGCACTGCTGCTAAAAGCAAAGAACCGAATTAGCTTAGCTAGACTCAAAAATTCGTGAATTTCAAACAGAATAAAGACCTTTAAGTCCTGAGAAAGTCAGATATCCATAGGATGTCTTGGAAGCACAATAGGTTGTCTGAAATTATCTCATGTTCATCCACTAGAGTTATGGGTTTAAACAATGGTGATGTACAAGAAAGCAAGCAAAGGTCAGCTGAAGGATTCTTCATGTAATTCTCCTTCCCAGTAGGAAAGCAGACAAGCAGTCAAGCCTATATGCCAACTGCCAAATATACTGCAGTCATATGCGTAAGTCTGGAGGGGCTGGCTTAGTGGCACAAACATCAGCTGTGCAATACTTAGACTCTCTGGAACCACAGGTTAAAATCCTGGCAGGGTCAGCTGAAATTTTTAGCTTTCCAAGTTTGCTGAAGGAGTTTCACATATTGTCTGGGTGGAATCTTTGAAAAAAATCTCAAATCGAGCTTCAAAGTGCTCTCATAAAGATTGTGACTCCAATCACTTTGCAGAAAGAATAAAGACTTAGAACACAGTAAAGTGTTGGCTGTCTTTATCCTGAGAGTTCAACTTTATGTTTGTGACTTTTCCATCAACTTTCCCTTGTAACTTACCCCTACTTGTGAACAAAACAAGCCACAACTTTCTTAATATGTGTTTGAGTGTTCTTTTCTGGTAAGAATCATGCCCTTCTTTTAATGATTCAGTGTGTTGGGGACTCTCAATATTAGCAATAGATAGGGGTCCATATATCTTATAAGCAAACTCGGACAGTTTGGGGAATGAAAGAAAGTGCTATTATTATTTGTGCTGAAACAGAAATAAACAAGAATGTATGATCACTGTGATAACTCTAAAAGTCCAATCAGTACTTGACCATTCCCTTTGAGGTTTTTACTGCATTTTATTATCATTAAAGTAAATCTTCTTAGAAAAAAAATAGCTTTCTATCTACCTAACCTAATTTTTCTGCCTTCCTGGTCATTTATAAATGAGCAGGGATTTGAAATAAGCAGATCAGATGTCTGAAAGCAAGAGTCGATCCCACAAGCCAGAAATGGATCTTCTGCAAAAGAGGCCCTACTCATTCCAAACCAGCCTGTCTGCTTAGAAACCAAAACTATCCCAATCAAAGATTGTCACTGGCCTCCCATTAATTCTATACTTTTTTCTGTACCCAGGGTTATTTTTCTTTTATTTATTTTAAACCATAAGCCACAAAACATTTGTATGCAGCCAATCAGAAATAAATACTGTTTTAAAGAAACCTAAAAGTTGGTGCCCTTGCAAGTAGTTTTATCTAAAGTATAACATGAAATGTACATGTATATTTTCCATAAAATAGTTATGCCTAGATCAGAAAACAATTCACAGAAGTTAGTGGTTATAAATGTATAGCCAAAGGTAACAATGTAAATTTTATTAACTTAATCAGGCAATATTTCATGTGGGAGATTAGATCAACTAAGAGATAAATCAATCAGGTATGATTAAGTAAACAGTTTGTTGCCTATTTTAAAAATTCTATTATACTTACCAAAGGTCAGTGGGATTGTAACAACCAGAAATATTCCAACTATAATAGTAAGTATGAAACTTGTTTCTGGTATCCAAAAATCATCTAATAATATAAATCAGAAAAAGAAATTAATTCATAGATAAAAGCTAAGTTGCCCCAGCTCTACCTAAGCACACAGAGTAATATAGCAGAGCTAGCTACTACTGGATTTTTGCAAGCCAGTTGTTAGACCGTTGGTAGCTTGAAAGCATCCATACAGACAGTGTTTATGCCATGTGAAATCAAAAGCAAGGTGTTTTTGCTTTTTTTTGCAGAGAGCAACAAACCACTGGAATATATCCACTCAATCTTCTACTTTAAAATGACTTAGGAAACATATATATCTTTTTAATAAATTTAGGACCAAGAAATCTCAGTCTTTGGATACTAAATAGTTGGCATTATTATTTTGTATAATATCTTCATACATATTTAATTTCATGGATATTAAACTGAGGAATAAACATGGTAATTTCTCTTAGGTAGTTTCAGTTGTGTAGAGGAAACAAACACGTAGGCCAGAGTCTGGCAAACTATGGCATGAGGACCAAATCTGGCTATAGCCTGATTTTGTACCCCCTATTAGCTATGAATAAGTTTTACCTTTGTAAAGTGTTATTTTTAAAAAGAAGGAGAAGGAAAAAGAGAACAGAAAAAGAAGAAAAGAAGAACATGCTACAGAGATCACATGTAGCCTGCAAAGTCTAACATATTTACTATTTGGTTCTTTTCAGAAAAAGTTTGCTGAGCTGGGTAGCAAACTTCTGTACACAACTAACTAGATAACTAACTATAATATAAACAAGAATCATGTAAGTTTTATATAGCATGTGAGTGTATAAAATGCAATAATTCATTTGACTAAGGAGCATCAGGTAAGCATTATGATGAGTTCATTTAAGTCTTGAAGGATGAGAAGAATTTCAATTGGCAGAAAATAAATAATAGGAAATCACAGCTAAGGGGCACAGGGTAGGTAGTGGGGACCTGTATTCTAGGCTGAGGCAAACACAGGGCCAAAGACTAAGTGACATAAAAACTTTTTACTGGTCTGATATGGCTACAGCACAGACATAAATATTGGAAAAGATAAACCACAATTGGAGGATAAATTACAGAAGACCTCACATGCCACAAAGAAGTTTGTAGCTGATTCTGAAAGCAGTAAATGGAGAGCCATTGTGGGTATTTCAGAGAGGGATTAAGTAATCCAGCCTGTGCTTCAACTAAATTTAACTGTCAGCAGTATGCGTAAGTCAAGGGCACAGGCAAGAAATGATACCTTAAATTAGGAAAGCCAAGGTGGAAAGAGGAAGATGAGAACTCATCAGAGAAAAATCAAGATGGTAAAATCAACAGGACCTGATTACTGAGTAGAGGGAAAAATCACATATGGCACTGAGATTTCCTGCCTATGTGATTAGAAAGACAATATATCATAAACTAAAATAAAATACACAGTGGAAGAGGTAGATATTGGGGAAGAAACAAAGGTCTTAGGCCTGTTATGTATAATGTAGGAGTGGTCATAAGGCTGGTATAATGTGAATAGAATTATATGGCTGGATAGAACAGATTGTGAACAGCCTTGGAAGCCTAATTAGGAGCATGGAATTGATGTGGTAGGAATTAAGGGGGTGGCTGATTATTATTGGGGAGAAAAATGACATGATGATAATGATGTTTTAGAAAGATCACATCACATGAATGGAATAGTTTAATAGTTTGGATAATAAGATTATATATATATATATATATATATATATATATATATAGTCACCATTATCTATTGCTAATGTTAAGAATGTACTGATATTTATTACTGAACCTTTAGGTAATAAGCTAGTGTGTAGACAGACATGGTAACATACCTCCAACTAATATAATATTCTCACTGATTCCACTATATTCACCAAACCCTAGATTATTTGCAGCTACTACTCTGAACTGAAATATTCCTTTCAGGTTTTTGGACTTCCATGTGCAAACACTACTGCAGGATCCATTAAATGTCATCTTCCACCTTAAATTCTGGTTCTGTAAATTATTTGAAGTGCTCTTTCTGCAAAAAATAATAAATACAGAAAATATACATGACAATATACCTGTTATTTCTAGTTGTTCATAGATCTTCTTAGTGACTGAACGCCAGAGAGTGTCCTTTGGCACAATTTACCCTTGACCTCATTCCTCTCCCATAATCTGGCAACACAGATGCTAACAGCATGGTTTTATAGTGATCCTAGTGAGGCATGGAGCCAATTAACTCAGCCCACCAAGAAAACTGTGAGTAATCAGTGGTGAAGAGAGAGCTGAGTACCTTTTTCCTATACTAACAGCATGGGTAAACTTTCTCCAGAATTCCAAACCTATAAGACAATTATTCCATGATTTTTAACTGGGAAGTTTCCATTTTCTCAATTTTCAGTCTTTTACATTATTTGTAGTTTACTTATGCCATATTTCAATAAAATACAGAATACAAAATTGATAAGGAAAGTGTGACAGTTCAGCTACCAAAGTTATCATTATATCTGAGATTCTGAGGCTCGTTGCTTCCTTTTGTATTGACCTACATTCCACCTCAAAGTCAATCCAATTGTTTTTCATTTGAAACATGGAAGGAGCACAAGGGCTGGGTTCAAAAGACATAACTGGAATGACTTTTTACAGAATCATCAAAGGCAAGCTCAAGGTCTTCCATTATGTCTTCTCTAACAATGAAGAATATTTCAGGTCTGAAACTTTTCAGACCGCAATAGTTTTAGGACTTGGTGCCAATCCACGGTAAGCTTAGGGATATGTGGGAGAATCTGGTTCTATTCCTGCTAATTGACTCATCCTTCTGAAGACCAACAGAGAGTGAAGGCTGGCCCTCATAAGAGGCAGGGAAAGGGTAAGAACATCGGGAGCAGCAGGGCAGCAGAGTTGGTCACAGCTGTTCCCCGGAGCTGAGGGTCCCTTTAAGGACCATCCTGAGCAAAGCATTAGGACAGAGTGTTTTTACACATTTTGTGACGTCTCACCTTTAGCATTGGCCATTTCACTGTTTAACCAAACAACTCTGATCCAAAAGAAAGAGGCCCTTGAGAATTTGTGAAGTGGCTCTACACAATGGCCATTGAGAAAAGAAAGAAGAATTCTGATGTTGGTTGAGCACCTTCTATTTACAACATACTGTACTGGGGCTTTACATAACGTTGTTTTAATTCACTGAGTCCACAACAGCTTAAAGAGATAAGATAGATATTATCATCTCCATTTTACAGATGAGGAAACTTAAGTTCAAAAAAGGAAAAGAACAAGCATTTAAACATGGTTTGTGTACTGGATTGAGTCATGTCCTCCCAAAATTCATACCCACTCAGAATATTTTAATGTGACCTTGTTTAGAAATAAGATCTTGACAAATGTAATCAAGTTAAGATGAGGTCATAGTAGTTTAGGGTGGACCCTAATCCAATGACTGGCACTTGCATAAGAAGAGGGAAATTTGGACACAGAGAACACCTTGTGATGCAGGAGGTGATGATGACAGTGATGCACCTACGAGCCAAGGAATACCAAGGACTGCCAGTAAACGCCAGAAGCTAAGAGGCAAAGATGGATTCTGCCCTAGAACCATCAGAACAAGCAGTCCCGCTGATACGTTGGTTTCAGACTTCTAACCTCTAGAGCTGTAAGAATAAATGTCTACTGTTTCAAGCCACCCAGTTGGTGGTCCTTTATTGTGGCAACCCTTGGAAACTAATAAGGCTTGTTCAACTCCCAAGTTCATGCACTTTGCACTTCCACTACCCCATCAGTGAGTACACAGAGTCTAACTAGAGTGTCCTGACTGAAGGACTTATTTTGAGACACTGAAGTTACAACAATCATTCAGTCATCCTATAGTCTATGTCCTGACAGTGGAGACCTGGAGCAAGGAGTATGCAAAGTATTTAGATGGAGTCATTTTAGTAGCACTTAAGGTGTTACTCAGGGTAACACACAAAAGAGGTCCTAGCAAAAACCTGATGTGTGACCTGATTGATGAACATCATTACAGTCACAAACCACCAAGACAGTTCTGCAGGTTAGAATGTATTTCACTCTGCATGAAAAGCAGCAACAGAAACTTCAAGGAGGTTTCAATTAGAAATAAGGGCCAAGGGAATTCTCTAGTATGAACAGGAACATTTTTTAAGGTTATGGGAATGCCAGAGCCAGATGAAGCAAAAATAGATCTAAAGATCAAGTTGCCAGGACTATAATTATGGAAGTGACTTTTGTCCTTGGAACTTCTTAAAAGATGGTTTCATAGTCCTGTGAGAGGAGTGTCTTTGGAATTTGGAATTCTCCCCTCAAGTTGGCATGAAATCAGTCCTTCTAAGCCAGTTATGGTTCACGTGCTCCCCGTACTGGCCAGGTCTGAGGCTGTTCATCAGTGGCTGGTTTTCATCGACGGTGTGTTTTCAGTCCCTGGGAACACATTGCAAACTGTAATCTTCCCAATGAATACAGAATCCTGTGTGACCTCTACACTTCAGACCATTTCAGAACCTGACCTAATTTTACAGTATGAGAAATATCTACTTCATCACCATTTCTCACTAGAGAGTATTCACCTTGCTAAAGCAAATTATCATCAGGAATTTACATGCCATCATTATTTAACATTAAACATCAGCTAAGCTTTTTAAACAAAACTGATATTAAGTTAATACTGGTTGCATGAGCCTATGATCAAACAATTTCCATAAAGTGTCAATGAGCAGTTAGAGATTTCTGAGAATGACGTGATCTGTTTATAATTAGCATGCCAAGACCAACGTCTAGGAATTGAGCAAAGAACGTAATGATGCATGTGAGTCCTTTAACTAAAGATCTTTGTGTTTGTATATAAATACATTTGCATAAATAGTGTTACTTTTGATTACTTTATAATTATCTTCTTAGTTCTTTGTCATTTACAAGTACTTTGCAAACACACATACCTTATCTCAAGGATATAGTATGTAATTCTACATCCATTATCTTCAGCTTTCTCCCACTGTATTGAATTTTTACTCCCTTCTAGTAATTTGGGAATGCCTGGTTTATTTGGGACTCCAGCTTTAGGGAAAAAAAGAAAATATTGGTTGATATGTTTGAAGTATTAATCTTCTGCACTGAAATCTTTCTACAGAATATATTAAGAGGAAAGACAACATTAAAGAAATATTCAGAGGCGGGGCCAAGATGGCCGACTAGAAGCAACTCCGTTCAGAGGTTCCTATTGAAAAAAACCATAATAAGTGTGTGAGTCCTTCACCGGCAAGGTATCTAGATTCGCTCATCAAAATTGACTAGAAGGCTGGCGTGACCCACAGAGAGAAGGAAGAGCAGTGAGCCCACCTGAGAACCACACGGGGAAGGGGAACCCCCTCCCCTCCAGCCAAGGGGAGCGGCGAGCGAGCAGGCTACCCAGCCGGGGAAATTGCTTTTCCAAAGAACTGTGCAACTCATGGATTGGAAGATCCCACTCTCGATCCCATGCCACCGAGGCCTAGCATCCCAACCCTAGAATGTACAGATTCTTATGGCCTCTCAGCTGGAATCTGCCTAAGCTTACTGAACTCCCTGGGGGAGGGGTGACCAGCACAGGCTTCTGCTGCCTGCTGTCTAAGCCCTTTGAGCTCCTTGAGGGAGGGGCAGCAGCCAGCACTGGGACTCCCAACTGCCTAACACGCTAATCTCCCTGGGCGGCGGGGAGAAATGCAGCATCCATTTCTATAGCTCCAGGCTGTGCTTTTCCCCTGCGGGAGCCAGCGAGGCTGGACAGCTTGGTCCCAAGACTTGTCGCCACAACCCAACACACCAGCTGTGGTAGTCAGCGGCCAGAGTGCCTCTTCAGGTCTAACCCTCACCCATCCTTCCTCAGTGGGTGGGGCTTCCCTGCAGAATCTTCAGTAACTGCAGCCAGAGGCTCAGGGACAGAATTCAGATCTCCCTGGGCCTGAGCCCCTAGGGGGAGGGGTGGCTGCAGTCTCTGCGGACCAACAGACTTAGCCTCTCCTCCTGGTAGTTCTGAGGAATCTGGGAAGCCCAGACAAGTGGGCTTTCCCACAGCAAAACACACCCTCTCCACCAGGGGACAAAGTGCTTCGTTAAATGGGTCCTCCTCCTGGTGCCACCCAACTGGGTGAGACCCTCCAACAGGGATTGTCAGGACACCCTATACAGGAGCGATCCTACTGGCATCAGGTTGGTGCCCCTTGAAGTCAGAGGTCCCAGAAGAAGGAGCAGACACCCATTTTTGCTGCTCTCCAGCCTCCTTGAGTTACATATCCAGGCGTGGGAGCAAATCAGATGAATAAGGCCTAAAGTGAACCCCAGCAAACTGCAGCAGCCCTACAGAAGAGGGAAGTGACTATTGAAAGAAAAACAAATAAGCAGAAAGTGACAACAACAGCATCATCATCAACAACAACAACAAGGGCCCCCACAAAAAACCCATACAAGGGTCAGCAGCCTCAAAGACCACAACTAGACAAACTCACGAAGGTGAGAAAGAACCAATGAAAAAAATGCTGAAAACCCAAAAGGCCAGAGTGCCTCTTCTCCTCTAAATGATCACAATGTCTCCATTAAGGGTGCAGAACTGGGCGGAGGATCAGATGGATGAACTGACAGAAGTAGGCTTCACAAGATGGGTAGAAAAAACTATGATGAGCTAAAGGAGTATGTTCTAACCCAATGCGAAGAAGCTAAGAACCTTGATAAAAAGTTGGAGGAATTGCTAACTAGAATAATCAGTTTAGAGAGGAACACAAATGGCCTGATGGGGCTGAAAAACACAGCACAAGAACTTCGTGAAGCATACACAAGTGTCAACAGCTGAATCGACCAAGTGGAAGAGAAGATATCAGAGTTTGAAGACTACCTTATTGAAATAAGACATGCTGACAAGAAGAGAGAAAAAAGAATGAAAAGGAATGAATAAAGCCTCCAAGAAATATGAGACTTCATAAAAAGACTGAACCTATGATAGCTTGGAGTACCAGGAGGAGATGGGGAAAATGGAAACACGTGGGAAAACACCCTTCGGGATATTATCCAGGAGAACTTCCCCAACCTAGCAAGACAGGCCAACATGCAAATTCGGCAAACACAGAGAACACCATTAAGATACTCCACGAGAAGATCAACCCCAAGACACATAATCATCAGATTCTCCAAGGTTGAAATCAAGTAAAAACTGTTAAGGGCAGCCAGAGAGAAAGGCCAGGTTACCTACAAAGGGACGCCCATCAGACTAACAGTGGACCTCTCAACATAAACCCTACAAACCAGAAGAGATTGGGGGCCAACATCAACATTCTTAAAGAAAAGAATTTTCAACCCAGAATTTCATATCCAGCCAAACTAAGCTTCATAAGTGAAGGAGAAATAAAATCCTTTCCAGACAAGCAAATGCTGAGGGATTTTGTTACCACCAGGCCTGCCCTGCAACAGCTCCTGAAATAAGCACTAAATATGGAAAGGAAAAACTGGTACCAGCCATTGCAAAAACACACCAAACTATAAAGATCAATGACACTATGAAGAAACTGCATCAACTAGCATGCAAAATAACCAAATAGCATCATGGTGACAGGATCAAACTCACATAACAATACCTACCTTAAATGTAAAGGGGCTAAATGCCCCAATTAAAAGATACAGACTGGCAAATTGGATAAGGAGTCAAGACCCATTGGTGTGTTGTATTCAGGAGATCTATCTTACATGCAAAGACACACACAGGCTCAAAATAAAGGGATTGAGGAAAATTTACCAAGCATATGGAAAGCAAAAAAAAAAAAAAAGAGGGTTGCAATCCTAGTCTCTGACAAAACAGACTTTAAACCAACAAAGATCAAAATAGACAAAGAAGGGCATTATATAATGGTAAAGGGAACAATTCAACAAGAAGAGTTAACTATTCTGAATATATATGCACCCAATACAAGAGCACCCAGACTCACAAAGTAAGTTCTTAGAGACCTACAAAGAGACTTAGACTGCCACGCAATAGTAGTGGGAAACTTCAACACCCCACTGCCAGTATTAGACAGATCAACAAGACAGAAAATTAACAAGGATATTCAGGACTTGAACTTAGCTCTGGATCAAGTGGACCTAGTAGATGTCTACAGAACTTTCTAGCCCAAATCAACAGAATATACATTCTTCTGAGTGCCACATGGTACTTATTCTAAAATCTACCACATAATTGGAAGTAAAACACTCCTCAGCAAATGCAAAAGAGCTGAAATCATAACAAACAGTCTCTCAGACCACAGAGCAATCAAATTAGAACCCAGGATTAAGAAACTCACTCAAAACCACACAATTTCCTGGAAATTGAACAACTTGCTCCTGAATGGCTCCTGGGTAAATAATGAAATTAAGGCAGAAATAAATAAGTTCTTTGAAACAAATGAGAACAGAGACAATGTACCAGAATCTCTGGGACACAACTAAAGCAGTGTTAAGAGGAAAATTCATAGCACTAAATGCCCACATTAGAAAGCCAGAAAGATCTCAAATCGTCACCCTAACATCACAATTAAAAGAGCTAGAGAGGCAAGAGCAAACTAATCCAAAAGCTGGCAGAAGACAAGAAATAACTAAGATCAGAGAAGAACTGAAGGAGACAAAGACACAAAAAGCCCTCCAAAAAAAATCAACACATCCAGGAGCCGTTTTTTTTAAAAAATAAAATAAATAACAAAATATACCACTAGCTAGAGAAATAAAGAAGGAGACAGAGAAGAATCAAATAGACACAAAAAAAATGATAAAGGGGATATCACCACTGACCCCACAGAAATACAAAATACCACCAGATAATACTATAAACTCTTCTATGCAAATAAACTAGAAAATCTAGAAGAAATGGATACATTCCTGGATGCATACACCAAGACTAAACCAGGAAGAAGTTGAATCCCTGACTAGACCAGTAGCAAGCTCTGGAATGGAGGCAGTAATTAATAGACTACCAACCAAAAAAAGCCCAGGACCAGATGGATTCACAGCTGAATTCTACCAGAAATACAAAGAGGAGCTGGTACCATTCCTTCTGAAACTGTTCCAAACAATGGAAAAGGAGGAATTCCTTCCTAACTCATTTTATGAAGCCAGCATCATCCTGATACCAAAACTGGGAAGAGACACAACAACAAACTTCGGGCCAATATACCTGATGAACATTGATGTAAAAATCCTCAATAAAATACTGGCAAACTGAATCCAGCAGCACATCAAAAAACATATCCACCACGAACAAGTCGGCTTCATCCCTGGGATGCAAGGCTGATTCAACATATGCAAATCAATAAATGTAATCCATCACATAAACAGAACCAAAGACAAAAATCACACGATTATCTGAATAGATGCAGAAAAGGCCTTTGATAAAATTCAACATCAACATCCCTTTATGTTAAAAACTCTCAATAAACTAGGTTTTTATGGAACATATCTCTAAATAATAAGAACTATTTATGACAAACCTACAGCCAATATCATATTGAATGAGCAAAACCTGGAAGAATTCCCTTTGAAAACCAGTACAAGACAAGGGTGTCCACTCTCACCACTCCTATTCAACATAGTATTGGAAGTTCTGGTCAGGGCAATCAGGCAAGAGGAAGAAATAAAGGGTATTCAAATAGGAAGAGAGGAAGTCAAGTTGTCTCTGTTTGCAGATGACATGATTTTGTATTTAGAAAACCCCATCATCTCAGCCCAAAAACTTCTTGAACTGATAAGCAACTTCAGCAAAGTCTCAAGATAAAAAATCAATGTGCAAAAATCACAAGCATTCCTTTACACCAACAATAGGCAAGCAGAGAGCCAAATCATGAATGAACTCCCATTCACAATAGCTACAAAGAGAATAAAATACCTACGAATACAGCTAACAAGGGATGTGAAGGACCTCTTCAAGGAAAACTACAAACCATTGCTCAAGGAAATAAGAAAGGACACAAATAAATGGAAAAACATTCCATCCCCATGGACAGGAATAATGAGTATCATGAAAATGGCCATTCTGCCCAGAGTAATTTATAGATTCAATGCTATTCTCATCTAACTACCGTTGACATTCTTCATAGAATTAGAAAAAGTTATTTTAAATTTCACATAGAATCAAAGAAGACCCCATGTAGCCAAGACAATCCTAAGCAAAAAGAACAAACTTGGAGGCATCATGCTACCTGACTTCAAACTATATTACAAAGCTACAGTAACACAGCATGGTACTGGTACCAAAACAAATATATAGACCAATGGAGCAGAACAGAGACCTCAGAAATTACACCACACATCTACAACCATTTGATCTTTGACAAACCTAACAAAAACAAGCAATGAGGAAAGGATCTCCTATTTAGTAAATGGTGCTGGGAAAACTGGCTAGCCATATGCAGAAAACTGAAACTGGGCCCATTCCTTAACCTTATACAAAATTTAACTCAAGATGGATTAAACACTTAAATGTAAAAACCAAAACCATAAAAACCCTAGAAGAAAACCTAGGCAATACCATTCAGGACATAGGCATGGGCAAAGACTTCATGACTAAAACACCAAAAGCAATGGCAACAAAAGCCAAAATAGACAAATGGGATCTAACTAAACTAAAGAGCTTCTGTACAGCAAAAGAAACTATCATCAGAGTGAACAGACAACCTACAGAATGGGAGAAAAATTTTGCAATCTATCCATCTGACAAAGGGCTAATATCCAGAATGTACAAGGAACTTAAACATATTTACAAGAAAAAGACAGACAACCCCATCAAAAAGTGGGCAAAAGATATGAACAGACACTTCTCAAAAAGGGATTTATGCAGCCAATAAACGTATGAAAAAAGCTCAACATCACTGATCATCAGAGGAGTACAAATCAAAACTACAATGAGATACCATCTCACGCGAGTCAGAATGGCAACTATTAAAAAGTCAGGAAACAATAGATGCTGATGAGGGTGTGGAGAAATAGGAATACTTTTACACTGTTGGTGGTAAAGTAAATTATTTCAACCATTGTGGAAGACAGTATGGCAATTCCTCAAGGATCTAGAACCAGAAATAACATTTGACCCAGTAATCTCATTATTGAGTACATACCCAAAGGAGTATAAATCACTCTACTATAAAGACACATGCACATGTATGTTTACTGCAGCACTGTTTACAATAACAAAGACATGGAACCAAGCCAATCCATCAATGACAAACCAGATAAAGAAAATGTGGTACATATACACCATGGAATACTATGCAGCCATAAGAAGGAATGAGATCATGTCCTTTGCAGGGACATGGATGAAGCTGGAAGTCATCATCCTCAGCAACCTAACACAGGAACAGAGAACAAAACAGCACGTGTTCTCACTCATAAGTGGGAGTTGAACATTGAGAACACATGGATACAGAGAGGGGAACAGCACACACCAGGGCCTGTTGAGGGATAGGAGCTGAGGGGAGGGAACTTAGAGGACAGGTCAATAGGTGCAGCAAACCACCATGGCACATGTATACCTATGTAACAACCCTGCACGTTCTGCACATGTATCTTATTTTTTAAGAAGAAATTTTAAAAAAAGAAATATTCAGAAATATTCTTATATGATTACATATTTTTAAATGAGCATTTGAAGTTTTTATTAGTGATGGATTTGATGAATTGGTGATAAGATTAACAATATATCTCAACTTGAAACAAAATAAGTGATAAATGAAAATAAAGAAAACTATCATAAGTTTTGGAGCATTTTCCCTCCATTCTTTTTTTCAAATTTTTTTATTTTTAGTTCTGGGGTACATGTGCAGGACGTGAAGGTTTGTTACATGGGTAAACATGTCCCATGGTGGTTTACTACACCTAGCAAACCATCACCTAGGTATTAAGCCCAGCATGCATTAGCTATTTTTCCTAATACTCTCTATCCCCCCACCCCTCCCCCTGACAGGCCCCAGTGTGTGTTGTTCCCCTCCTTGTGTCCATGCGTTCTCATTGTTCAGCTCCCACTTGTAAGTGAGAACACGCAGTGTTTGGTTTTCTGTTCCTGAATTAGTTTGCTGAGGTTAATAGCTTCCAGCTTCATCCATATCCCTGCAAAAAAACATTATCTCATTCCTTTTTATGGCTGCATAGTATGCCATGGTGTATATGTACCACATTTGCTTCAACCAGTCTAATGTTGACGGGCATTTGGGTTGATTCCAAATGATTCATTATTGTGAATAGTGCTACAGTGAACATACGTGTGCATGTATCTTTGTAATAGAATGATTTATATTCCTTTGGGTATGTAACTAGTAATGTAATTTCTAGGTCAAATGGTATTTTTGGTTCTAGATCTTTGTTCCTTCCATTCTTATAGAGCTCATCTCAGAGTTAAGGTATATCTTTCAGAACACTAGTTAATTTTTAATGAACTTCTTATATTTTTCATCCTAGTATCTCAAATATAGTAGCCAATAAATATTTTTTGAACATTCAGTAACACTATTTTCATATAGTTATCACCATAAAATTGTCATAGCTAGACATGAAATAAGGATACTGAAAGAAGAAGTAATTTTGCCCAGTTCAGGATCCAGCCAGACCCAGCCAGTATTATTTCATTACTGCCTGCAAGGTCTCCTATATTTTCTGAATTTCTTCATTCAAGTTCTAGAAATAATAATGTACTGCTTTTAAAGAACAATTTCATATATCTCTAGGATTAGTGAAATAAGTGATAAGAAAAAAACTGAAACACAGAGTTTTCTGAGTATTGAGTATGTTAGTACTCACCTTTTGTCTTAAAGCTTTCTGGAAGTGAGGTGCTATTTTCTCCCGTCTTATAAACCACCACTACTCTGACATTATATGAAGTATAAGGTTGTAGATTTGTGATATTACAGACATAAGCAGGACCTTGGCTGCATGAAGTTTTAACATGGTAAAACTCATTGTATTTCCACTAGAAAAAGAAGTCTCGATTAATATTTTTGTTTCTCTAAGAAAATATTCTTAAAACACAAAAATGTATAGGCTTATAGCAAGTGGTTAAAATTTAAGCATTCTTTTCTATTAAAGAATAAGAACTTCTTTATGAATGATCCCAAACATTACCCCACTGCCTATAGTCGTTTTGCTTTTTATGACAAGATATAACTGATTTACATGACTGTTCATGGGAGAAGCTCAAAGTGGGACATACACCTCTGACTATATGTCAACGAGGAAGATTCAGAGCTATGACTTCTTGTTATCCCAAAGGGTAGATACCTACATTTAATCAGGATGGCTAAGAATGCAAATCCATAGCTGTGGGACAATGATGGATCAAAACAATGGTAATTTCAAATCCCAGGGATTTGTTAATTTCATAGCAATAATATTTTTACATGTTTTGATTACATATTTTGATAAAGAAGTCCACAGTGACTTACAAACTAAGACTTTTTTTTCCTCCTAACACCCTCTTCAGACATGTAAACAGAATTCTTTATTTTTATATACTGGAAGCCTACATAGCCAAAAGAAGAAAAATTTTGCCCACTATTATGAAGCTACTAAGTAGCAAGGCTAGAAGCTAAATACAGAAAATCTTGTTTTCATTCCACTTTAGATATTGGGCCTCTAATTGCAGCTATCTGAAATTTCTTGCTCTGTGACATTGCTTTCTAAAAATCTGTATATTTGGATCCTTAGTATCATTATTTGAAAATGATAATTTCTTAACATACAAATAGGAAAAGACAAAAAGATATGGCAATTTGTCAGGGGTTCTTGGTGTATTTTCCCTGTAGAGTTTCATAAAAAGGTCAGTTTCCATAAATAAACTTAATTTATATCTTCTTTTTCACTTAACACTCATGAGGTCACATCATTTCATTAAATGGATACTTTATATTAGTTTTCTATTCAGTAAGGAATGATTCTCTATAGCATTTTCAGTCAGTAGACCACTATGTACAGTAAGAAAGGGGAATAAGGGAATGGAAGGAATGAAAACTTAAAAAAATAGAACTGCTGATGTCAGGGACATTGCCTGCACTAAACTCATAAATGTATCAATCCTGCTGAGACATTTAGCTTAATAGCTTAATGAAACGGGTGCATTGAATCCATAATATTTACTGTGAACCTCAGAGAGAGAGAAATTAACTCCTGGCCAAAAAAAAAAAGTCTTAACTCTTTATGGTTCTGTCTCCTTCATTATCTGGTGGAGAAATTACCTATAGTGAATAGTCTAGGTAACCCAACATTCCAAACCATCAAGAAATTATCAGAGCTCCTTGAAATGTCAGGAGATGTTTGACCAAGCTTACCGCTGGAAAATGGTAGAGTGTTGGCATCACCACAGCAATGAGTGTCTGGGCAGACCACCAACTTGGAGAGGTGCCACAGGATATCCCAGTAAATCACAAGGGTGTCAGGACTTTCCATTTGTCAGAAGCCAACAAGTGCAGGGGTGAAGGCTACCATAGAGGGATTTTCAAATTATGTGGGTGGGAGTGAGGGGGAGTGTGAGCTAAGATGTCTGAGAGTTTGGAACTTCAGAAACTTATGGTTCTGCTAGGGATTTGCCTGAACAGCTGAGAAAAACACAATTTTAATGGACTTCCGTGAAAAAAATTACCAAACAAAATTATTTGTTTCCTCCCCATTTTAAATATGTTCTTCTTCTATACACTGTTGTGAGTTTCTTGTATTATATAGAATTTAAGATCTAGATCAAGCTTGTCCAACTTTCAGCTTGTGGGCCACATGTGGCCCAGGACGACTTTGAATGTAGCCCAACCCAAATTCGTAAACTTTCTTTAAACATTATGAATTTTTTTAGGGAATTTTGTTTAGCTCATCAGCTATCGTTAATGTTAGTATATTTTACATGTGGCCCAAGACAGTTGTTTCAGTATGGCCCAGGGAAGACAAAAGATTGGACACCCCTGATCTAGATCGAAACTTCATCTTGTGCTCTAGTTCCCTCATTTTTCAGATAAGGAAATTTTGACAGAAATGACAGAGACAAAGTTTATCATTTTCTTCCTGTTTCCTTTCTAAAACATTACTAATTAAAGAGACAAATATTCTCTTTTATTGCCCACTCCTCAGAGTTTCAGTATGCAGTTACGGTATTATTTCCAGCTGTCCTGTCATTGTGAGATAGGCTCAAGTTGTTCAAAAGAGACAGCACTTTCTGACTATATAGCACTCATCAACCCTTGCAGAACCACAGACTTTTACTGTACTCATAGTTAGTATTTGTAGATGGCCACTCATGTACAAATGACTCTATCTTGTATTTGCAGCTTCATGATTTTCTAAATGGTCTGCCTGGAACCTGTGTTGAGCAAATGTGAAAACAGAGGAAGTTTAGAAACAAAAAGCACTGCATGAAAGTCATGAGAATTCAACCAGGAGATCTCTGTCTGCTGTCCTTCTCCCCAAACTTGAAAGAGTGGGATGGATGACTTAATGACTCCTATTCCTTCCACGGACAGCACCCTAATAGGACTGCTGTAGGGAGAAGTCAGCCCTGGGGTTTTTCTCTGCCTGGTGACATCTGGCATCTGTCTAGATCTCCATTTCTGATCAATAAAATGAGAGGCTAGGGTGTCAATTATCTCTGAAGTCTTTTCCCATTTCATTTCTTTGATAATCTTGGAAATGAACTTTACATCCTTCCTCTTGGTTTTAGACTGAACTGCATTAAGTTTACTAAAATAGATGTTATTTTAAAAGGCACTCCTCCAATTTCTCCAATTTAACTGCATTTTTATAAGGTGGCAATTTTTTAAATAGACAACAAATTATCAGAAACATGCTCAACAGAAAAAGTCCAATGAAACTATGGTCTTTGAGTTTATCAACTCAATATTCAGTGTTGTTCCACAGTTTTCATAGTTTTTATCTATAAAGTATAAGATCACAAAAATACCTTACATAATAATTTTAAACATCCTGGGGAATAACTGCATTTTAAGAAGTAGTGAGGCCATGATTATACTGATTTGCTTTTGAGTTACCACTGAACAAAACATTTCTAATTAATCTTTAAAAACACGTACACATACATAGGCCCAGAAATATACAAACATGCACATGCACATATATAATAGTTAAAATAACAAGTAGCAATTATAAAAAATTAATAATCAATTTTGAGTTTATCACCATAAAAGTCAATGTAGGCTTTCCCCATCAATGAATTAATCAGGTTAATTGATGACTTAAAATTCAGTGGGTGCTTCCTTATTGGTTAAAGCGTGAAAAGTTTTGGATGAGGAATCATTTAAAGTTTGCAAGCCAACAACAAAACTACTTTAGAATAAGCTGGTTTTATGGTTTACTTCTCTCTTGTTACTGCACAGCCCTTAAAATGATGAAAGAACATTTCTAAACAAGGTTTTGGTTTTTTCTTTCTTCAGTTCTTTTTCATTTTTTTTTCATGGAAAACACCAAGTTACTATGGACTTTAAACCAGAGAACCATGCTAACATCTAAACTAAGTAAAATATTATAAAATTAGTACACTATAACTTATACCCTTTTACATAAAGCCTTTTAAAAGCAAATTAATCTCCCTGAGAATTCTTCCCACCAGAAATTAGTCTGGATAACTCACTGCTTCTGCATGCCAAACATAAATCAATGAAAGTTGTCAAATATATTGTTTATTTATACATGAGCATGTTCTAGATGCATGAAAAAGCCCTTTCCAATTTATTCTATATCATAAAATAAAGACTTGCATTAAAAGTCTACCTTCTGTAGCTCAACCCAAAATCTGATGAGGTTAACATTCAATGGAGCCTTCCAATTAAATTGCAAACTAGTGTTCTCTGGAACCAAGGAATAAGGTTTCTCTGGTGTGTTAAACATTTCCACAGTGACAGGATGACTCTCTGTACACCACATTTCCTCAGAGTGGCAGGCAAGAACCTTTTGGTAAAAAAGAACAATTGCTTAACCTTTTGAGAGCCTTGCACTTGAGAATGACAATAAAGAGTGCCTAGTAAACTCACTGTACCTTTAACACATAAATATTTCCACCAGACAGTCTAGTAACAAGGAGAGTGAGCCTTCCATTTGGAAATTCACTTTGTCTTAGAGGAGTTTCAGGAATTAGGGCCAGGTGTGAGATTGCCAACTGATAACGGACTGATTCTTTAGGTCCATTTGGCTTGTGAGATTCTCTCCAAGATATAATGAGGCTGGTGTCTGACCGCACAGTTGTATTAATGAGCTGCACTGCCTCTGGTACTGAAATAAATAGCAAGGAATGATAAAGGATGCTGCAATAGCACTGAAAGATGGAAAGAAGTAATGGAGTTTGGGTTGAAGAGTAATCATGTGGTATGAGCAGAATAAATAACACATGTCCAGAAAGAAAGTCAGCCTCTTCTATAATCGTAGGTTAACAGACTGCCTAAAAGGCTCCCACTTATTTTTGCCCAGTGACCAAATCATTCTCTGACTCCAGCTCAAGGATATGGCCAACGGGGAATAACCCAATTTGGGTGAGTTTTGTGAATATCATCAGAGACATCTGAAATAAACGTCATCACCTCATAATAATCACCACCTCATCAGCTCTTAGAAAACCTTTTCAGACCTATTTTCTTTAAGGCTATACTGTTGCATAACTTTACAGCTCAGGCCTCAGTAAAATTCACATAGAAAAAAAGCTTGGTTTTTCTATAGCTCACCACATGTACAGAAACCTATGAGTATCTGGAAAAAGTGACACTGTGTGGTGAGACCAAATAATGTGTTTCTTGGTCAAACAATATTGATTTCAATGTTTTACCTCCTAGTTGCTTTCTATTTTAATAGAATATTATTAGTTAGCTTCAGGGGTTAGAGTAAGGGTCAGGTCAAAGTTTTCTACAAACACATTTTTCTTATTAAACTTAAAAAAGCTTACTAAAATTACTTCGCATTCAGATTTTAAAAAATAAACATCAACATACACAGCACATATATCACAATATTCTGCTTGAGAAACCCACAACAAGCCCATAACTTACCTCCATTTTTAGTTTTTCCCCAAATCTCTTTTCCTGGTGGTAAATGTTCCAAAGGATCTGAATAATAATTTTTTACAGCTATCTGTATCATGTATGTTGAAAATGGTTGTAAATCTTCAATAAGAGCTATACTGTCCTGAAATTCCTGTAATTGATTTTTTAAAAATCAACATCTTATTTTTAACATTTTATACAAATTGGTAGAAATTATTTAATCAAAGAGAGAACAAAGTTAAAGGCTCAAAAAAATTAATTTATTTTAAATTCTGGATTATTAATGGTAATACCACTGTCCAATCTACCCAGACCTGAGTTGTTCAATGTTTCCAAGAATAAATACCAAATGATTGGTAGCCTTCAGTTGGTTTTGTGGCATAAATTGTTTCACATGGGAAGTTAAATTCCTAGAAGAGGACACTATTTCATTAACATTGTATTAGAAATTCAGCAAGATGGTAGAAAACATGTGACACATATGTGAATACAATAAAATATTTTTATAGTATCTAATCACTCTTAGAAATAAAGTTTAAGAGAGTAAAAAGACTTTCCTTAGACCAATGGTTCTCAACTTTGTTTATACTTTGCTATCATCTGGGAAGTTTTAAGAAACTACTATGCCTGGGTTCTATTGCCAGAGATTCTGATTGAGTTATCTGGGGTGAAGCCTAGATGCAGAGTGTTTTGTTTTTTTTTTTTAAAGCTTCGATGTGCCGCCAAGGTTGAGAACCACTGTCTTAGACCACTGTTAATCAATGAGAAGACAATAAGATAGATTAAATTTAATAACAGACATGACCAGTGCTGCCAAGTCCAATCTTGGCCAGCCAAATGATCTATCTGAAATTACTTATTTTAGAAATGTGTAAAAAGGGTTAATTAGACAAAATTAAGGAAGGAATGAAAAATCACATACACTTTATGGGAAAACATATAGTGTTTAACATCCAACAGTTAGTCAATTTCACCTTTTGAACAGGCTAAATAAAGCCAAGCACAAAGCAAAATATTGGATATATGTGATTCCATCACTAAGACAACTGAAATACTAATGAATACATTTCATCATTTCAATGATTGAATGAATAGTGCCAATTCATTCAAGAAATAGTTAGTGAATGCCTACACAGTGCCACTAACTGTGCTAGGTGCTAGGCATACAATGATGACTAAAAACAGTATCTGCATAGCAGTATATTTCTCTGCACATAGGAAACAAAAGACAAAATATAATGTACAATTTTTATATTAGATAAATGCTGTGGAGAAGAGGTATAAGGCAATGTTCTTTCCGTCCAGTTCATTTCTTACTCTTCAATCTTCAGTCTGCTCCATAGGCTGCAAAAATAATTCTCTATCATTCTCTCTGAGGATAATTAGATAATCAGGGAGGGGAATAAACCCAATTCTTTCTGGACACTCAGAAAACGGTTACCATGGCAATCCATCAATGGGCAAGAGTTGATATACTTCCTTGAAGCTTAACTTACTCCCAGTCAAGAAAACTAGAACACAATATGTTTTGATGAATCATTAGCTGTAAAAAAGTTGCGTACTAGTCCATTTCAGAACATATAGGAAATACTTTACTATGGCTCATAATTTTATATCAAAAAAGAACATCTTGTGAAAAGACAAAGACCACTAGTTCCAATCTTACCAGAATTCTATATTTCAAGTCAGAGCTGTTTTTCCTGTCATTAACTTCTGCATAATAAACCAGGTATGTTGGAGTAGGGCTGGTGATGCCATACCATGTGAGGTTTGTCTTGGCCAGAGGTAATCTGATTGTGAGGCTAGTGTTAGTGGCATTAAGTATAGTTGGTTCCACAGTGTCTGAAGCTAGAGACAGAAACGCTTTATCTAAAATAAGAAGAAACCAAAAGATTAAATATCTATACTATATATATGAGAGGAAAAGCAGATTTTTAACAAGAATAATATCAAAGCTTAGAAAGAAATTTGTAGAGCATACATAACTTTTGCTTGAAAACATAAATATGAAAATGATTTGAAATAATATTCTCTTTGAAGAAACAAAAATGGCTGCAGCTTGATACTGTGTGTAGTATGTGTAGTATGTACTGCTACAGTCTACCCAATGTCCTCTCCTTTTCTTCAAGTTCATATATATCTGATATTGTTCAGGGCAGTATGCTGGGAGGAAAAACTGTTTCTGAAGTTTGATTGCAGCCCAGACAATCATGTGACACGGTCTGGTTAGTCAGATGTGCTTATCACTGTGGCGCACCTCTGTCCTTCACCCTCCCCCAACCCAGGAGGCGGACACTATGCAAGAGGGGCGGCAGCCATCTTGTGAGAATTGAATAAAGGACTCACTAAGGATGTTTGGGGAAAGATCAAGTCCAGGTGATTGATGGCATTGTGGAGCTCCCTGGCCACCGCTTACAACCAAACACCTTGCACGCTGCACAACTCCAGGGAGCCCCAGTCACAGAGACTACAATGGAAATGGTCTGTTCTAGACCAGTGCAGTAGCGCAACCATACCGCAGGCTTAAGCCTCGAAAAATCGCAGATCTGTCACTTGCAGCTGAACACAACTTCTTGACCTATTCACTCTCAGTCTTTATGTAAAACATCACCTAAAAATGTAGCATAATTACATAATATGCAAATAACTCCAAATATGATTTTAATATGAAATCTAACAATCTTACACCAGTTAGCCAACTCTTTAACTCATTGTGCGTGGCACTGTGCAATCTGGCTCCTGCCCGCATATCCAGTCTCTGCTATGCAAAGCCATCCTTCACTCTAACCACAGTACACTATCTACACACTGCAGGACTTCTACCCCTCCAACCCTTCACATAGGTAGTCTCTTCAGGTTGGAATGATCTTCCCCATCTGCCTAACCTTACTTAAGCCTCAATTCATGCATCATTTTTCCTGGGAAGCCCTTTCTGCCTTCCTATTCCAGGTGAAGGACATCTCCTCTCTGTCCTCACTCCACTTCACGTGTTCTTCTACCAGTGCACTAGCCACATGTGATTTTGGTTTTGGTTTTCTTTTGCTGCTTTCTTTTCTTCATCTAGCACTAGAATGTAACTATCTTTGGCTGAGACTGTGCTTGAATTATCTTTGTTCCACCAGAGCCCCAGGAGGGTGCCTGACATATATTAGGTATTTAGTATGTGTTGTCGATCCTTATGAATTCATATTAGCCACATATAAAATACAACCTTTGCATTCAGCAAGTAAGAAAATTAGGGGGTAAATGTCTAAGTGACAAAAACTTGATGAAGCCAGCTCCTTCACTTGCTAACTTTTTTGTCTTGGGAAGGTTACTCCAGCTCTTCTGTAAACAGAGACAATGGCCTGCTTTACAGATATTTATATATCACTCTATCCCTAGCACATGGTAAGAACATTAAATAAATGTTAGCTATTACTATCATCATTACTGAGACTAAAATGAAAAGTTAGAGAAAATAATGCTGGTCTGGTCTGGGAATTCCAAATATGAATTCCAAAATGCAGGAAAAAATGTTTAAAATTAGAAGTACATCGAAAATCTCCAACAACAGTGTCAAGGGCACTGTGAACCTAAGTTTGAGGACATTTGGAAAGTATGGGGGTTTAGAGATGGATAACCTTACTAAAGTTACAAGATGAACCACTCTTCAGTTCAACCAATATTTATCCAATATATTCAGTTTGTACTGATTTCTGATCTGAACAGAGAATGGGATACACATGTGAGCAATCAGAGCAATTATCTAATTCAAAAGTCATTGGTAATTTTGTCGTTCTTTTATTTAATTGATATAATATGACATGTTGAAGTGTCAGAAACATTATTCAGGACAGAAAGACAGGTTTTTCCCTTACATTTTTTTTTTTATCCCATACATTTTGAAGATAATTGAATACCTTCAGAAAAAAAGGACCAAGATAACTTGTAATTGCTTAAAATTTCCAGCAGATGGAGGTAAAGTATTCTTAATAATGTACCTAGAAACTAGCAACATAAAATAGACTCCATTTTTTAAAGAAAATAATGAGTATTAATCATACTCTTAATGAGTTCCAGTTTAAAAAAAAAACTCATGCCACTCTTGGGACTTCATTTTGGAGCGTGTTTGTGTATGTGGCTGGGAGGAGGATATGTGTGTGTGTCGTTCAACTTCAGATACTGCATGGACGTCTTTTTTTTTTGGTAAGACTTTATTTTTTAGTCAGTTTTAGATTCACAGCAAAATTGAGAGGAATGTACCAAGATTTCCCAGATACTCCTTTTCTCCACACATGCATAACTTTCCCCCATTATCAATACCCCTACCAAAGTAGTACATTTGTTACAATCAATGAGCCTACAATGACATCATTATTACCCAAAGTCTATAGTTTACATTAGAGTTCAGTTTTGTATTGTACATTTTACGGGTTTGGACAAATGTGTAATGAGCTGTATCCACCATTATAGTATCACATAGAATAGTTCCACTGCCTTCAAAGTCCTCTCTGCTCTGTCTATTCGCCACTTCTTCCCCCAGCCTTCTCGCAACTAGTGATCTTATTACTGTCTACATAGTTTTTTACTTTCCCAGAATGTCATATAGTTGATATCAGCCTTCCCCAACTTTGTTCTTCTCCTTCAATACTGTGATAGCTACCTATTCTAGGTCTTTTGCCTCTCCATATAAACTTTAGAATCAGTTTGTTAATATCTACAAAATAACTTTAGCTGGGATTTTCATTGGGATTTTATTGAATCTATAGATAAGTTGAGAAGAAATGACATCTTGACAATATTGAGTCTTCCTATCTATGACATGGAATATCTCTATACTTATTTAGCACTTTGATTTCTTTCATCAGGGTTTTATAGTTTTTCTCATATAGATTTTTGTGCATATGCTGTTAGATTTATACCTAAGTATTTCATTTTCTGTGGGTGTTAATGTAAATGATACTGTGTGTTTAATTTCTAATTCCACTTGTCCATTGCTGGTATACAGGAAAGTGATTGAGTTTAGTATATTAACCTCGTGTCCTGCAAACTTGCTATAATCACTTATGAGTTCCAGGAGTCTTTTTGTCAATTCTTTCAGATTTTCTACATAGATGATCATGTCATCTGTGAACAAAGACAGCGTTATTTCTTCATTCCCAATCAGTATACCTTTTCTTGTATTGTATACCTTTTCTTGTATTGTTGCATGCTGTGACTTCCACTGCAGTGTTGAAAAGAAATTGGGAGAGGGAACATCCTTACCTTGTTTCTGATTTAGTGAGAAAGCCTCTAATTTCTCACTATTAAGTAATGATGTTAACAACAAGTTTTTTTATACATGTTCTTTCTCAAGGAAGTTACCCCTATTCTTAGTTTGCTGAGGATTTTTCATCCTGAATCCGTGTTGAATTTTGTCAAAAGCATTTTCTGCATCTATCAATGTGACCGCCTGATTTTTCCTCTTTAGTCTGTTGATATAGTGGACTACATTAATTGATTTTCAAATGTTGACTCAAACTTGCATAGCTGGGATAAATCCCACTTGACTGTGATATAAAACTATTTTAATATATTGCTCGATTTGATTTGCTAATATTTTGTTCAGGACTTTTGCAATTCTTGCAATATTCAAGAGAGACACCGGTCTAAAATTTTCTTTTCTTGTAATATATTTGTCTAGTTTTGGTTTTAGGGTAATTCTGGCCTAGAATAAACTCATTCATTGGCCTAATTGGAAGTAGGCCCTCTGGTTCAATTTTCTGAAAGACATTGTAGAGATGGTATAATTTTCCCATAAATGTTTGATAGAATGCATCATTGAATCCATCTGGCCCAGGTGCTTTCTATTTCAGAAGGCTATTAATTATTGATTCCACTTATTTAATAGATGTGGACATATTCAGATTGTCTATTTCTTCTTCTGTGAGTTTTGGCATATTGTGTCTTTAAAAGAATTGGTCCATTTCATCTAGGTTATTAAATTTGTGAGCATAGAGTTGTTAATAGTATTCCTTGATTATCCTTTTAATCTCCATGGGTTCTACAGAGATGTCCCCGCCTTCATTTCTACTATTAGCAATTTGCATCCACTCTCTTTTTTTCTTAGCCTGGCTAGAGGCTTATCAATTTTATTTATCTTTTCAAAGAACCAGTTTTTGGCTTCATTGATTTTTCTCTATTGATTTCCTGTTTCAATTTCATTGATTTCTACTATACTTCCTTTTTATTTTTTCTTTTGTTTTAGTTTTGTTTCTTATTATTATTTGGGACTTAATTTACTCTTCTTTTTCTAGTTTCCTAAAGTAAAAGCTTAAATAATTTTAGATCTATTTTTTTAATACATGCAGTCAGTGCTGTAAACTTCCCTCTAAGCACTGATTTTACTGATTCCCGTAAGTTTTGATGTTTTGTTTTCATTTTTAGTTCAAAATATTTTTAATTTGAGATTTCTTCTTTTACCCATTTGTTATTTAGAAATACGTTGTTTAATCTCCAAGTGTTCTGAGATTTTCCAGCTATCTTTCAGTTATTGAGTTCTAGTTAAATGGCATTGTAGTCTGAGGACAGATATTGTATGATTTCTATTCTTTTAAATTTGTTGAAGTGTATTTTATGTTCTGTCTTGGTGAATGTTCCATGTGAGCTTGAGAAGAATGTTTATTCTGCTGTTGTTGGAAAAATTATTAATAGTAGATAGATGTCCATTACAGCCAATTAATTGATGGTGTTATTGAGTTCATCAGTATATCCTTAGTGATTTTTTTTCTGCTGGATTTGCCCATTTCTGATAGATGTCGTGAAGTCTTCAATGGTGATAGTGGCTTCATCTGTTTCTTGCAGTTCTATCAGTTGTTGCCTCATGTATTTTGATGCTCTGTTGTTAGAGATATATGCATTAAGGATTATTACATCTTCTTGGAGAACTGATCCCTTTATCATTATGTAATGTCCCTCTTTATCCCTTATAACTTTCCTTGCTCTGAAGTCTGCTGTCTGAAATTGTTTCTTCTTTCATTTGATTAGCGATAGCATGATATACTATCTCCATCCCTTTACTTTTGATCTATATGATGTGTCTTTATATTTAAAGTGGGTTTCTTATAGACAATGTATAGTTGAGTCTGTTTGTTGATCCACTCAAACAACTTCTGTCTTTTAGTTGGTGTATTTAGACCACTGATGTTCAAAGTGACTACTAATATAGTTAAATTAAGATCTACCATATTTGTTATTATTTTTCATTTGTTGCCCTTGTTCTTTGTTCCTACTTTTGTCTTCCACTTTTTTTCTGACTTTTGTGGTTTTATTTGAGCATTCTAAATGATTCTATTTACTCTCCTTTCTTGGGAATCAGTTATACTTTTCTAAAAATATTTTTCAGTGATTTGCCCTTGAATTTGCAATGTATATTTACAACTAATCCAAGTCCACCTTCAAACAACACTATACCACTTCACAGGTTTGCAGTACCTTATAATAACAAAATACTCCCAAGTCCTCTTTTCTATCCCTTGTGTCACTGCTGTGATTCATTTTGCTTAATATAAATATAAATATACACATATATATATGCACACATACATACATAAGTGGATATAATTGAATATGTTATTGCTATTACTATTTTGAACAAACTATTATCCATTAGGTCAGTTAAGAAAAAGAAAAACTTTTACTTTACTTTCACTTATTTATTCTCTAATGCTCTTCCTTTCTTTATGTAGATCTGCATTTCTGATCTATATCATTTTTCTTCTTTCTAAAGAACTTCTTTTAACATTTCTTCCAAAGCAGGTCTACTGATAACAAATTCTCTCAATTTTTGTCTGAGAATGTCTTTATTGCTCCTTCTCTTTTGAAGGATAATTTCACAGGGTATGGAATTCTAGGTTAGTGTTTTTTTCTCTCAACATTTTAAATATTTTACTTTTCTCTCTTCTTGCTTATATAGTTTCTGAGGAGAAGTTGGATATAATTCTTATCTTTGTTCCTCTATAGGTTAAGTATTTTTTCCTCTGGCTTCTTTCAGAATTTTTTTTCTTTATCTTTGGTTTTCTGCAGTTTGAATATGATAGGCCTAGTGTAGATTTTGGCATTTATCCTTCTTGGTATTCTTTGAGCTTCCCATACCTGTAGTTTGGTATCTGACATTAATTTGGGGAAATTATCAGTCATTATTTTTCAAATATTTCCTCCAAATATTTCTTCTGTTCCTTTCTCTCTTCTTTTTCTAGTATTCATATTATACCTATCTTACACCTTGTGTAGTTTCCCCACAGTTCTTGAATATTCTGTTTCGGTTTTTTTCCTTTTTTTTTTTTTTTTTACCTTTATAGTTTTGCAGGTTTCTACTGAGATATTTTCAAGCTCAGAGATTCCTTCCTCAGCCACATCCAGTCTACTATTAAGCCCATCAAACATTCCTCACATGTTACAGTGTTTTTATCTCTAACATTTCTTTTTTTTCCTCAAATATCCATATCTTTGCTCACATTGACCATCTGTTCTTGTATACTGACTACTTTATCCATTAGAGCCCCTAGCATATTAATCATAGTTGTTTTAAATTCTCAGTCTGATAATTCTAACATCCCTGCCATATTTAAATGATTGTGATAGTTCCTCTATCTCTTCAATCTGTGTTTTATGCCTTTTAGTATGCCTTGTAATTTTTTCTTGATAGCTGAATATGCTGTACTGGGTGAAAGCAACTGCTGTAAATGGGCCTTTAGTAATGCGGTGGTAAGGTGTAGGGGAAGGGGAGGCATTTTATAGTCTTAGATTAGATCTCAGTTAACTTCAAGTGGGTTTTTGCTTTGCTTTTCGACTGTGAACTTCACAGGTTCTTTTCAGTCCCCCCACCCCACTTAGGTGGGACACGACGGCTGGAGTGGGCTGGGGTTGGGCACTTCTCTTTACCCAGGTCAATTAAGCTCTGATAAAACCCGAGCAGGTCCAGCTGTGATTAGTGTATCTTGAATGCAGCCCTTGTTAAGAAGAACAGAATGCTCTGGTGCCTTTCAAAATTTTTCCTTTTCCCTTCTCTCTGTGGGAAGCACAAGGAGATTCTCTAAGAAAAAAACCAGTTAAAGCTCCTGGAGGTAAAACTTATAAAATGAAGCCCTCCTATGACAGGATGCCCCTCGAGTTTCTAACTCTCAGAGTTACCCACACTGAGCCTCAAGCAATTCATCAATTACAGTTTGGATTTTTCTACCACTAACACTGCTTTCTAAAAAGATTTCAGCTCATGGGTTTTTGCTCTGGTAAATTGTAATTCTCTGTATTTACCAATCTGTCTTTCCAACTGGGGACAGCAGTTTGCTCTGTGACCTCACTTCTCTTGTGGATCCAAGAAGAGCTGTTAAGTTTTCAGTTTGCTCAGACTTTTACTTGTTTTTGGGTGGAGTGGCAATTTCTAAGCTTCTGGGCCAGAAACCAGAAGCCACATGAACTTTTAAAATCTCTTAAATTTCTCAAAGTGAAAAATAAATTATTTTACAAAAATACAAAGTAGGCTTTATTTATAAATTTTAACATTTTTCAATTTACATATTTTATAACTGAAAACATTTAAACAAAGAGAGTTTATGTCATTCATATCTGTCCCTCTCCAGAGGAGAGTTATAGTTAATTTAGAATGATATTTGCACCTTAGTGGCAAAGACGGCTTTGACAAAATACCAATGAGGCCATGCAATTCTGTTTTTGTTTTTGTTTTCAGACGAGTCTCGCTCAGTCGCCCAGGCTGGAGAGCAGTGGCGCAATCTGGGCTCACTGCAAGCTCCGCCTCCCAGGTTCAATCCATTCTCCTGCCTCAGCCTCCCGAGTAGCTGGGACTACAGGCACCTGCCACTACGCTGGGCTAATTTTTTTGGCAATACTGTTTTTGTTTTTGTTTGTATGGTTTTTAGATTTCAACAATGTTTTATTATGACTGTCAGTAGAAAATATATAGTCAGTTCTGCTATAACATGATACATGCCTTTCTAGGAATCATTGCACTGTACAAATCACACAATAAAATTCACAGTTTATGGGAAAAGTAGGATGAGGGGCATAACACTAAAAACTTCATCAGTGACATTTTTTTTAAAAAAGATAAAAACTTAATAAAAATGGTAGCACAGGCTTACTCATGTTAAATGGTACTACATATTATAATAGTATATATTAATACTTAGTGATTTGATACCTAATACTGCATACTGCATAGTAACAGAAGTATGACCTGTTACCTTGAAAACAAGGTTGTATGCAATGCTTTTTGACACCACTGGGAGGCCTAAAATATCAGCAAAGGAGAAATAAGAGAAAGAAGAGAAATTATGGGACTGAGAAGAGAAAGAGGCCAGGCAGAGAGAACAACAGGACGCAGGTTTCCCATGTCTAAAGTTGCCCACCACACCCTGAGCTGTGTTTACACATAGAAGTAATTTGTGATCCAGGGCAAACAGCAATCACAGTGCACACAGAAGACTAGCAGAGTTTGGAGCAAGGATGAGAGCACAACAAAGGGGCTAAAGGGACAGCCTTGGAGAAGGAGATGTTATGAGATTTTTCTGACCCTAAATTGGGAGAACAAGCTGATTACGAATGTGACTTTATTACCTGGAAAAGGCTGCATAACTGAACTGTAAGCCAAGATATGCCTACTCCTTAGGGCCTTCACCTGGGAAACGATGGCCCCATTTCCTTTCTTTGCCTGATAAATCTGTGTGCTGTCCTTTGCTGTGATGATCCAGTATATAAGATCTCCATCCACAGTTAAGCTAACAAGGGTTTTTCCTGCTGTTAAAAACATAAGGAATATAAAGAACAAAATTAATATCTTACATTTTTTACTCTAAAAATGTATGAAATTTTTTCTATATTATAATTGCTAAATTTTGAATCTATTATTTCAACATTAAAAAATACCTTTATTTTATGTCATTTGACTAAGGGTTTTAGAGATGTTCTCTCATTTTAGCACCATATCAAGCCAATCAGGTAACTACTATTATTACTAACCTCATTTTGTGGAAAGGCAAACTGAAGTTTAAAGGAGTTAAATAATCTGCTCAAGGCCACCAAAGGGCAGACCCAGGATTTAAAACCCACCTATGTGACTCAAAATCAAATAATGCCAACCTGAGGGAAATATTAAATGATAGGCATAGGGCTCAGTGCATTTCTCAATATTTTTATCAGTGGTTTGGAATGAATGCATAGTAAACATATTTATCAACTTTGCAGATAATAAATGATTATCACCATCACTAGCAGGTTCAGTTACAGCCTTGAAATTCAAAAATATCATAACAGAATCAGGAAATTGATTCAAATTTGATACGAACAAATGTAAAATCCTAAATTTAAGTTTCATATCAATTCTGTAAATGAACGAATGAAAGGGATCTGGCTTAATAATAATGAATGTGGAAAAGACTATGGTCTTTCAATGGCAGGCATCCTAAAGATCTGATTCCACTTTTGGCTACAACAAAAAGAAGACCTTCATAGTTAGAGTCTCCCTTCACTGACAAGAACACATTGAGAGTGCAGTGTCTTTATGGGGGCAATATTTAAGAGAATATTAACTAGCTGGAATGAAATCACGGGAGGGCGACTAGGACAAAGATTTAGATGCCACATTGCCTGGGGAGCAATTGAAGATACTTGAATTTTTCCTCCAAAGAAAATGCTTGATTCCAGCATGGTGGCTCACGCCTGTAATCCCAGCACTTTGGGAGGTCAAGGCAGGCAGATTGCTTGAGCCCAGGAATTCAAGACTAGACTGGGCAGCATAGCAATACCCTGTCTCTACAAAAAAAATACTAAAATTAGTGAGGCATGGTAGTGTGCACCTGTAGTCCCAGCTACTTGGGAGACTGAGGCAAGATGATCACCTGAGCCTGGGAGATGGAGGCTGCAGTGAACCATGATTGCACCACTGCACTCCAGCCTGGGCAACAGAGTGAGACCCTGTCTCAAAAAAAAAAAAAGTGCTTACAATGAGCTACAACAGTTATCTCTACATAGTTGAATGGCTATCATGTGGAAAGTGATTAAATTATTCTTTGTAAATTTAGAGGTAAGAACTAAGACTAATGAACGGGAGAAATGAAGAGAAGACAGGCTAAATATAAGAAAAAAACTAATATTCATAATTGTCCAAAAGCTTAAACAGACTTCCTTATGAAGTAGCAGGGTTTTTTAAAGAAACAGTTGTTTAAGCATGACTATTTTTAAAGAAAAAATTTCTTGCAACATCATAACATCTAAATGATCCCTAAAATCTTTCTAATTTTCTAATTTTAGGATTTTAATTACAGGTTTATGAAAAACTGACCAGTTTTATACATATATAATGGTCTACTAGGTAATTCTTGTGTCTTGTGTATCAAATATTAAAGAAAAAAATTATTCTGACACTTGTTAAAATGGTAAGAAAGACTTTAGTCAAGATAAGTGCAATAGCGCACTAGGAAAGACAAATATTGCAACATAGCAAAGACAGTTGGGGTTTTTATAGCCAAGAAACTGAGTGAGGAAGTCATTGGGTGGAAAAATACAGGGACAGCATCCAGGATAGAGCAATCCTTATTAAATTAGCCTAATGGGATTCTTGCTAAAGGCAGGCCAAGAGCCTAAACAGGATTCTTACTTAAATCAGACCAATGTCCATCAAGGGTGGGAGATGAAGAACTTGATCAGGTATCAGTGGTAGGGGGTTCTCCTAAACTGACTTTGTAGGATTCTTGCTAAAACTGAACTCAGCAAGGATGGACACATGAAGACCAAGGCTGAGGCCTAGTCAAGAAGAGGACTCAGAGGAGCATAACCACATTTTGATCAAAGAAAAGGTCTTTGTCACAGGTTTAACAGAAACAAGTAATATAACTAAGGAGGAATCATTCAAAACATTACCTCTATCATTAAATCTACTTAATGATAGGAATTGTTTCTAAAAGGCCTTGTTTCTAAAAGGCCTCTAAACATAGGAATTGCTTCTAAAAGGCCTTGGTTGACATGTCAACAAAACCTATATACAATTATAACACATACACACATATTTGCAATTTCAAAACTTTACTGTATAATCCAGCAGTGACCAATAGATTTCAGTGATGATGAAAACGTTTTATACCTACATTGTCCAATACAGTGGCCATTAGCTATTTGTGGCTTTTGAGCACTTGAAGTTTAGCTAGTGTGACTGCGAGATTAAAATGTTTAATTTTATTTAATTTTAGTTTTTTTTTTTTTGAGACAGTCTTACTCTGTCACCCAGGCTGGAGTACAGTGGCACCACCTTGGCTCACTGCAACCTCCACCTCCTGGGTTCAAGTGAGTCTTCCTGTCTCAGCCTCCTGAGTAGCTGGGATTACAGGCATGCACCACTGTGCCCAGCTAATTTTTGTATTTTTAGTAGAAACAGGGCTTCACCATGTTGGCCAGGCTGGTCTTGAACTCCTGACCTCAAGTGATCTACCCACCTCGGCCTTCCAAAGTGCTGGGATTACAGGCATGAGCCACTGCACCTGGCCTTAATTTCAATTAATTTAAACTTAAATAACCACATGTGGCTAGTGATTACCACACTGGGCAATGAAAAGTAATTTTAAGAGTATATGGGGTATTTAGAGTATATATTTTTTTCTGTTGAATTACTCCTAATTAGGAGACTTCCAAATTGTACTCGACTTTCGAATATTTATTCTACAAGCATCTGAATTTCAACAAATAGACTCAGGTATTGACCAATTCATGTTGAAAGTGGAATCTATGGGATCATCAAAGTGGAAATAATTTAGGATAGTGGGAAGATCATGCATGTTGTAGTTAGACCCAGTTTCAACTCCTTCTAACTAACTGTGGCCCTTGGGAAAAGTTACCTTACTTTTCTCAGCCTCAGTTTCCTCATCTGTAAAATGAGGATATTAGTACCTACTGCACTGAGGTATTATGAAGATTAAATAAAATAATGCATTTAGTACATGCTAAGAATATACAGTTAAGCTCATTAAATTGTAGCTCTATTGTTAATTACAATTTTTTAAAACACAGATTTAGAAAATTATGTGAATGCCTACATACAATTTTCCTGGAAACAACTTGATTTGAATTCTGCAAGAACACTTGGCATGGTACAGAGCAAATATCATGTGTATATTTGAGTATACGCGGAATGCAAGCCCTTTGTAAATGCAGTTGAAGGGGCTGCTCTTATTAACAAATATCTGTGCACATACATCAGCATCTTACCGAGCATAGCAGGTACTGTGATAACTCTCCAACACTGACAGCCTTCCAGATCCATTGCCCAGATCTCTTGTGCTTTGGCAAAGTATATCAATGGTTTCTCTAGGTTAGAGGTATCAATAGCCATTGCTCCACTTAACTCAAATTCAGTCACATTACAAGAACATTGATTCCTTTTGTTTTGTTGGTTTGTAGCTGTGGGTTGCAGAATTCGGTGCAAGGTGTGACTGATAATACTGTAGTAGAACATCTGGTAGCCAAAATTGGAAACTTCTGTCCAATACAAGCGACTATAGAGGAAAAAAAAGTCCCCCCAACTTAATGAGTAAAATACATCATTTCAAATATTGGTTTCTAATGCAGAGCAACTATTGCTAATGACTGTGAGGGACAAATGGAGCCTTTGGAGAGAACATGGTCAAGTTTTCAATAACCTTTTTCTGAGATGGAAGAAGTCACAAGAAGTCTAACTTGTAGCATTTCCAATGATTTCTCAATAGATGTGTTTACAACTAAAGTCTTGGAATATAATGACCTTAGGTGCTATATTAAAAGGCCCACTTAATAACTGAAATATAAAATATATTTGCTAATTTTCATCAATGTCCATCTCTATTCCCCTCCTCTCATGTTTGTTTCTGCTTCTTAATACTAGTTAATGATCTAGTTTCCAAATAGCCTATCCCCATGCTTATGGCCCAAACAGAAATCCATCTTTCCAGCCTGCGAAATTGCTACTTAGGTGCTAAAAGGAAACTTTAAAGCTCACCTTATGAGGATATTAGTTAAACTAAGATGGATGAGCACAGAATAACTTTTACTGTGCAAGGCATGCTGCCCATCTGTTCCTGCTCACCTCTTGCCACTGTCTCAATCCACTTCTTGTACTTGCCAACTGATGATGTTATTGCATTCACTAGTATAAAAATCTGCTATTGTTTCCTTTTAGGTAATTAGCCTAACTTTGTTAGTCAAATTGTCAGTATGCATTAAGTTTACATATTTGTAGTTGTGCCTCCTAATTTATATGAAGAACTACTTACTATAATATAGTGGGCCAAGAGCCCTAAGCATCTTATTTTTCCATAATTGTCTTCTACTATTAAACCAAAGACATTACATTAAATATGTCTATATCTATTTCATCACAATATAAAAAAATACTTGCATTTACATACCTTAAAAGAGGATATACAGAAAAAGAAATTATTGTTGAATTCCTATTGTGAATCTTCACCTCTCTGGGATATTTCACCTTGTGTTCAAGATCAACATCAAATACTTGCATTCCATTTTGTGATTCTTTCAGTGCAAAGTAGAGGTGCCTTGAAATCCAGTCAATTGTAATAACTGTGATATCAAAAACCAGTGAATCTTGGAAAAGCTTAACAACAGGTAGAGAACACAGCCAAGAAGAGAGTGGTTATTTTTTTATTTGAAGACTTTTCTATATTCACCCATATCATTTGTTTACTGCACTTCTCATTTGTAATCCCAAACCTCAGCAATCTGGACGGTATACCATTGTAACATGGGCACTGTTCTCACATTTTTCCTAAATGATTTTAACTATCATGGCTTTAACTGCAATCTACAAACCAGTGCTACAAATTTATATCTTCAGACAAGATCTTTAATGAGTCACTGATTCAAATATCAAACTGCCTACTGAACATTTCCATATGAATTATCCCAGAAAACAGACTTCATCACCCACCCCAAAACCTCTTTTTCTCCTGCATTTTATATTTTTATGGATTTCCAACACCACCCAAGGAGCTAATCCTGACAAATATGGTCCTCCTTGACTTCTTCTCATTACTACCCATAGTAAACTAGTCCCTTTTTTTTTTGGAGATGGAGTCTGGCGGTAACCCAGGCTGGAGTGCAGTGGCATGATCTTGGTTCACTGAAACCTTCGCCTCCTGGGTTCAAACGATTCTCCTGCCTCAGCCTCCCAAGTGGCTGAGACTACAGGTGCGCACCACCACGTCCAGCTAATTTTTATATTTTTAGTAGAGACAGGGTTTCACCATGTTGGCCAGGCTGGTATCGAATTCCCGGCATCCAGTGATCCACCTGCCTTGGCCTCCTACAGTGTTGGGATTACAGGTGTGAATCACTGTGTGCAGCTTGAACTAGTCCCATTTTAAATGTCCAGTTTGTCATCTCCTTTCTCACCTCATGCTCATCCCCTCACTCAGGCCCATAACATTTTCTACCTGGATTTCTGTGACAGCCTCCTAATTGTCTCAGACTTAACCCTCTCTAAGTCACTATTCACACTGCTAACAGACAGGCCTTTCTAAAACACAACTTGACCATGTTAATGACCCACTAAATATCTTTACTGGCTTGCTGTTGGCTTCTAGAATGACACCTGTCTCCTTAGCACAGTAAAGGAGGCCCATTATGCTCAGGCTCCCACCTCTCCAGATTTCCCACCTTCCTTTCACTCCACTCTCATCCAAACACTCTATGGCTCTTTGTTTTCCTGTCTTTGTACCCCCTCAGCCTTCACCTGTCTCATCTTTGTTTCCAAGATGTTTTTCCATTCTACCACCACCAAGCCAACCTAGACTACGTGTTCATTCTCTGTGATTCCACCACATCCTGCTCTCAGCACAACAGTTATCCTAGTCTGTCTTCACTATCAGTTAACATTTAGTGAATGCCTACCACATGCCAGGCATTGTGCTAAGTGCATTACATGGATTATCTCATTTAATCTTCATGGGAACCCTATGATGAGGTATTACTTAACCACAGAGGTTAAATAACTTGCCAGTGGTCACAAATCTAGTAAGTAGTAGAGCCCAAATTGCATTCTAGGTAGTCAAATTCCAAAACTCACCTTCTTAATCACTAGGCAATACTGCCTTCCTAGTGTTGGACTAATACTAGACTGGGTTTATTAAGAGCAAAGCCTATAAACTTTCACCCATAATATCCCAGGCTCTAACACAGCATCCTAAACCCAATAACTATTTGCTAACTGAGTGTTGAATGACATTTGCCCAAAATGTAGTCTGTATTCATTTGTGGCTAAATAATTATACAATATCTGTCCTTTTCATTCTAATCTTAATGACTAAACCGTTTTCCAGTCATTTTAACTACAAAGTAGTGTCATATGCAAATACTTCACTTCCTTTATTTCGGAAGAATTACATAGTGAAATACCTCAGAGCTAGAGCGATTGTGCAAGTGCAGAAGAAAGAGTGAGTCCCCTTCAGCATAATATCCCATCTCATTATCAGCTGTGTAGCAAACGGCACTGATAACTCTTTCTGCTGAAAACGTCCACACAACTTGATTTTGATCCATATCTAAAAAAACTATCTTGTTACCAAGAAGAGTTATGAGGTGAGGAAATGGGTTGATTTCTGAAAGCAAAAAAACATGTAGATAATATGCATGAGAAAACTGACTTTAGCTTAGCAAAGTCTCGATTTAATATCTGGCAGTTTTGAAGTCCATGGGCTCCCTTTGGTTCCTCTAATAGATCTTTCTCAGTGATAACCTTGTAGGCTCTCTACCCCTAGGTTTATTTAAACATATTTTGGTGGTGTGTTGGGGTCAAAAACATGTTTTTGACCTAAACTTTAGCAAAGAGACAGTGTTCATATCCCTAAAGACACCAATGGGACACACACACACACACACACACACACGCCTCTAAATTATTATTTGCACAGATTTTAGAAAACAAATACCTGATGTTGTAGACTTTACAACGTCAGCATATGGTCCTGGCCCCTTAGATGTAAAGGCCCTAACCTAAAGAAAAGGAAACAAAAATTGCATTCAGTAGTGTTCTCCGTGGCAACAATTAAGTTCTGAGACTGAGAGATTACTAAATGTTTCATTTCATACTCCTGATACACAATATTAATAGTTTCAAATAGTTATTGACATTAATATACAGCAATATAAATCACCAAGAGAAAAAATATTGCTCTATATTTATGTTGACAGATTTTTTAATCTAGAAAAGTGCAAGAATTGGAACAAATCTCTCTTGCTAAAAAATGAATTTCTAAAAATGTCTGGGGATTTAATGTACAGCATGGATGGTGATGAATGTCTAATTAATTCAATTGTGATAATTACACAATGTATACATTTATTAAGTCATGTTGTACAGCTTGAATATATATATATCAATTGAATATTTTTAAATAAAGTAAGGTCATTATTTTCAAAATTAAGTTACATAGAACATTTAACAGAAATAAAACTGTACAAATTATGATAAACTTCCATTTTTCTTGAATTCAACAACTAGAAGCTTCAAAAAACTAAATTTCCAGACTTTTTAGAAAGAGTAACTTTTAAAAATAATTAAATCTTACATTTGAAAATGATTGTGCATTTCAAACCAGTTTCACATACATTGTCTCTTTTGATCTTCACAACTACTAAGAGTAGAAACTGGACCAGGATACTAATAAAGGTAAGTAACTCATGCACAATGACGTATGTAGAAACTGGCATCAGAACCAAGTCTTCTGAGGTCTACATACATTTTTTCCCATTGGGCCATGCCACATTCTAACAGTAAAGTTTATTTTTTTTCTTAGATATTTTCTATTATGTAATAAATTATTTCCATTTCCAAACCTTGCATATGTACAGTAGCCTGCAAAGAAAATTGACATCTATAATGGTGGACTCAAAATATAAAGCCCCAAGTACTTTATCAACAAAACATTGTATTATTTTTATTATACTTTTAGTATTAAACATATTTTACTGTATTTTATATATTACTATCTGTATGATTTATAATGGTGCATATATATATATATAGTAGTGTTTACTTTTGTACAAAACTGTGTTAAATGAAACTCATACATATCCATGCATATCACTTTGCATGGTTCCATGGTGACCAAAATTTGAAACTATATATCTATATACATATTTATATTATATATTCTATATAAATACTATATATT
Source organism: Homo sapiens (assembly GCF_000001405.40). NCBI lineage: Eukaryota > Metazoa > Chordata > Mammalia > Primates > Hominidae > Homo > Homo sapiens. The sequence goes on from NC_000006.12 coordinate 117,361,587, forward strand.
CTATATATAGACACACTTAACCCGAATATTATTTTACCAAAACACTCCTAATTTTTACCAAATAGGAACGTGTACTATCTTTAACTTTCATGTATAACTTATTTGATTAGTATATGTAGACAACAAATTATCAAAATAATTATTAAATTAGAATTTTATGAAAAGAAAAACAAATCCCTACACAACTCAAATCTCCAAAACACTCCCCAAGATGTTATTTTCCCCAAAAAGAAATGGTGGAAAGCATTACAGCACAGTGCTTTCCAGCCACGCAGCTTTGGTAATTGACTGATACTCTCAACGACTTAACTTTTTCTTTATAGTATGAGGATCAAATGAGATAATGAATACAAAAATACCTACAGTGGTGCAAGGCCTATAGTGATTTTATTGAAAAATAATGGTTTATCAAAATAACACATGTACCCCAAATGTATGTACAACTATAATATATATCAATAAAAAATGTAAAACAAATCAGTAATGTGTAACATACAGAAATTAAAATCATGATACAGCTTCAAAAGAAAAGCAAAAAGAAAAAGAATGACTTACTCTGAATTTGCAAAGTTCCCTGAATGTGAGAAAGTTGTGAAAGTGTCCTTCACCCAAGCAATCCCCTCTTGCCTCTCTACTTTTGCTGCCCACTTGACCTCTTTGATCACAGTATACCTAAATTATTGACAGGGTGGCAGAATTCTTAACCTAGTCCTTTAATTATTCTTCTGTTTAAACTTTTTTTTTTAACTGCAGTCGTCTTTAATGGAATAAAAACGAATTCCTGCATATTAATCCTCAAAAGGTCCACTTTCCATTTCTTTAACAGTTTACTTTAGTCACTCTTATCTGAATTACCTCCATTAATTTTCTCACATAATTTTAAAAAACTATAGTGGCCAATCAAAATCTAGGTATGTGTGCCATTTACACTGTAACATATCCCAGAAACATAGTCTTTCCCTCTCCCCACAATGCCGCTATTAAGACTCTCATATCTTCTGTTTTCTCTCTCATACCTGGAAGGCAATAAAGCATCTGGGACTCATGCCTTCAAGTTGAAAAGACATCACTGAGGGAGTGACATTGACAGCAATCCAGTCTTCACATGTTTTGTTTGTAATACTTTGATTGGATATATTGTAGAAAATTTCAAATTTTGTTAACACCCCATTTTCATGCTTAGGTTTGTTCCACCTAAATTCCACCACAACTTCATTCTTGTTGCAGCATTTTCCACTTGGTAATATAAATATTCTGGGGTTCTCTGGTGCTGATGGAACTGAAAAGTAGAGGCACAGGTAGAGCAGAAAAGAATATAAGAATATAAAGAATATAAGACTTTTACCACTTATAATAAGATTGTAAACAACTTAACAATATTTCTCATTCCAGGCAGTTGCAGTATATTTATTACATTCTTAAAGATCTTCAGGAGAGAATATTCCATAGATTTCTTCAGGAACCCATCCTGATAATTTCAGCACATCTGACTGACAGGCAAGACTTCCTTATGTTCAACTCAAATCCTTCCTACTACCACTTAAGCACACCTTTCTTGTCTGTGCCTTGTGTAGATGGAAGCTGTCTGGTTCTCCCCGTAAAATGCAACATTCACTTTTATCCTGACAGAGTGATTTCAGTGAAGGTGAAAATGTCATCATCAGGATGGATGGCAGTAAGTCCCACCAGCCTTCAGCCAGTTCAGGTTGTAAAACACAGCATAAATCAGAGACCTAGGCCCTGTCACTCTGAAGTTCCTAGAAAGCAGAAAGTTTAGGGGAGGCTGATCGTACCCCAAGAGTAAGGTTTGGGAGTATTCATTTATTCTAGAGCCAAACCAAGCAATTCAGTATCTCTCAGTCCTTTAATCAAGAGAAATGTCTCTGCCTGATTTCTAAGTCATTCTCTCTGGATGGCCCTCTCCTCTCTTAGGACTCCTCCACAAGGTCTTCATTCCCTCCCTCATTCCAATCACATTGCTATTTAATGTTTAACACTCATACTATTATTCAATCTCCAGGCCTTCTTACATTAGGCTTCTCTTCTCACATGGGATACCTCTTCTTGCTCCATCTTTCAGAGTGCACTAAAGTTTCCATTTCCCAAAGGCACCTTCTCTCTTAAAAATGCCTGAGGCAGCTTGATATAGGTGAAGGTTTCATAGGCTTGTCTACTCACTCTATGCCACTGCTGCTCAGGTATAACTCTCTAGTATCTATTATCATTTGCTGTGCATGTGTTTATCTCCCTCCTGTTTTATGAACTCCATCAGAGAAAGCATCTCTTCTTATTCCTTGTTAAATCTTCCCATATCTAGTACAGAACTGGCATACAGTAAGTGGTTAATAAATATTGGTCAATTTGGATAATTTCCTGGCTATATTGTAAATTTCCTGAAGGCAAAGGCCAAATCTTGTCATCCTTTCTTATTCTCCAATATCCAGCAGAGTGCTGTTGACTCTTGCTCCCACTGGATCCCCTGATGGATGCAGTCAAGTCCATTTCCACAGGACAATTCAACCAAGCTGATATCCCAAGGAAATCTCAAGCAGAACATTCCTGGATCCAATGCTAACTGCTCCGGAACCTGCCCAGGCCCCACTATGTTCCTGTTGTGTAATTCGTAGATGGATATTGTTGAAATAATCTTAATAGTAAAAAATGCAATGGAGAATGGATATCTATATTTATTAAGCTCTTACCACCTGCCAAATCCTGTATTAGCTTTACATAAATTACTATCATTTACCAACATTTGTAAAAGTGACTGAATGGAGATTTGATGAAACTGTAGTGAAAAGTCCAGATTAAGTCCCAGCCCAGCCACTTAGTAACTATTTTATTTGGGCAACTACTAGGCTTTCATTTTCTTTCTTGCATAATCAAGATAATAAGACTTTCCTACCCACCTCAGAGCTCTGTGAGGATCAAATGAAATGATGTTTCTGACACATGATAGGTATGTAGTAAATAGTTAATAAAGGAGTGATACATAAAAATGTGTTTTGTACACTTTAAGGTGATACACACATGTAATGATATGGCTAGTATCTTTTTTAAAATATCTTTTCCCCAAAACATTAAATTTAGATATCAGTTATTCACCTACAGAAGATTCTGAGTTCCCATCTATGAGAACAGTCTGCCTTCCAAGAAAACTGTCTCTGCCCTTAAATGCCCATTTTCCTTATAAAGGATTTTGCAAATTACCTGAAATATGCATCTGCATCTTCTACATCACTACAATCAAATGAAATGGCTGTTAAGAAATCTTTGAAATATTCTTTTGGAATAAATTATGCATATTTATGTTAATGACGCTATTCTAATCTCCAAAAAGTCATTGAAAGGGTATTGAATCTAAACACATCTATAAAACTGAAAGTTATTTTTAAATATCAACTATCCATTCCAGATCATGAAAAGTGAGATTCTGCTTTTTTAAGAAAAAAGACAGATTTTAACCCCTGTACCTGTTTCAGGTGCTCGAAGTGACAGAGATGTTTTGGGGCCCTTTCCCCAGTAGGTATAAGGAGTGACAGAAAGATTAAATAAGGCATAAGGTTCCAGTCCTTCCACAGTAAATACAGGTAAAGAGTGTTGTTCACTAGCCAAGAACTAAAATATAAACAGAAAACATTATTTTCTCAGGGAGAGAATTATAAAATCTTTCATTCCTTATTATCTAAAATCTCCAAACTTTAGTTCACATGTAAAATCAAAATTTGCAATTTTGGAAGTGCTAATTTTGGCAAGTTCTGTGTTGTGCCACACAGACCAGTTAAAGTGTATCCAGCACAGCAGTTAGCACCAAGCAGTCAGAGACTGGCTGCAAACAAGTCTTCTGGGGAATAATCTTAATGACCAAATGCTATGGGAATGACAAAGAAGATGGGCTTGGCTAAGTCAAGATGATACAGGTCAGTGTGGGCAAGGCTGACACAGATGGTACAGTCTGTTTGGGAAATGAAAGTTACTAGAACCAACACCATACCTTAGAATGAGCACTAAATTCTACACTGTAGAAAACTACACCCCAGTCTACCGCAGGGGGACCATTCCACAGGATTTGAAAACTTGAAGCATTTCCTTCAATCCTAAATGAAGACTCTTGAACAGAATCTGGAATAACCTTAGGGGTAAAGGAAAAGTTCCCTACAGGATGAAACAAAAAAAAGAAATAGGAGAAAAAAATGGGGATTATTGACCAATATAGAAATCATAGAAAATCAATAGCAATTACTAATAATTAGAACTGAAACAAAATTTTTCTTTTCTTTAACATATCCTGAAAAAAATCATCTTTTTCTGACTTTTTCAGGCTGTAAATTTGGGTTAAGATTAAACTCACTGCAAGCAAACCAATTGAAATTACTGAAACCTTACTCCTCTTAAAACTTAATTCTTAAGAAAAAAAAATATCCCAACCTAAACATTTATTTAACTGAAGGTATAGTGGAGTAGGGTAAGCAGGAATGAAATACTGTACCTGGCAGGGGCTTAAGGGATGTCTGAATAATTGTGAACTGATTAAATCTGGCTGGTTCCAAAACAGAGACACTGGTTTTCTGACCTATTTCTTGAGTTGTGATAATCCTAAAGCCATTGATCCAGAACAGCCGACCACTATAGTACATCAGTGCATTCTGGGAAATTTCAGAAGTACTCCAGGCTGCAAATTCTGTGATGGTGGTATCCCCAGTGCTGCTAAAACATAACACCAATTAGTGTGTGTTTCTGGAGTGGTGGAAGGGCTGGTCCATGCAAGTAGTCATGAGAATATATGTTTGTGAGTATCTGTACGCATTTGTGTACATTAAAATAAAGAAAATACTTTCTAACGATTATTGTCTTTTTTTGTTTCATATTAAGTTGGGTTTTTATTTTACATTTTTAAAAGTAGTAGACCTAAAGTAAATTTTCTGGGGGCTTTCCTTGTTTCTTTGAGATGGAGTCTCACTCTGTTGCCCAAGCTGGAGTGCAGTGGCATGATCACAGTTCGCTGCAACCTCTGCCTTCCAGCTTCAAGATACTCTCCTGTTTCACCCTCCCAAGTAGCTGGGATTATATGCACACACCACTAAGCCTGGCTAATTTTTTGTATTTTTAGTTGAGTCAGGGTTTCACATGTTGGCCAGGCTGGTCTTGAACTTCTGACCTCAAGTGATCTGACTGCCTCGGCTTCCCAAAGTGCTGGGATCACAGGCATGAGCACTGTGCTCTCTGGGGGCTTTTCTTATTAATGTGATATTGCAATATCAAGGGTGTTTAGATAGGTTGCAGCTTTTTAAAAAATGCTTGTGATTTTGGTAATACTCTACAACAAAGGCACAACCTGGATTCTCATTACTTCATTAGTTCAGAGATTACATCTTTGGTTTATTCTATGTGCTCCTACAACTCTTGCATTAGCATAAGAAAGACATGAGGCAAGGTTCTTACAGGACCTGGAAATAAGGTAATCATCCAGAAATGAAACCCGTAAAAACCAATGCCTGAAGTATAAATTTGCCATATGTAGAGGTGAAGCAGAAGGGCTTTGGGACCAATCAATGCAATAAATTAGCCTATAGATGTGAAGTTAGCCTACGGATGTGAAGCAGAAGGGCTTTGGGACCAGCCAATGCAATAAATCATGATGGAGACAGCAAGTTAGGATTCAGGTACATGTTCCTTTAAAAAGGAAAGCCTATTGCATTGAGGGATTTGAAAAAAAGACACACCCAAAGAGCAAGAATTTCCAAGCATTTATCCAGAATTGACAGGAATGACAGCTCTTAAATGTGGTAGCCATGAGGACTCCAGTACCTAGGCACACAGAATAACTCTGTTATGAGCAGAGTTCATCACTGCTCTGACACTGGCCTGTGTGGGCACCCTTCTAGTCTATCCAACAACCCTCACTCAGATTCCTTGTTCTTAAAGCAACCACCTCACATCTAACCCAGTTCACGTGATGCCAAGAAGGCATGGCCTGCATGCCCACATGACTATTCTCATTTCTGAATGAGACTAGGCCCCACTGGGAATTAATGAATTTGCAATGTAGGGGATTCTTCAGAAACAGATAGAACTGCATGGAACCCCAGCTCAGCCAATTATTAAATGTTTGACTTCAGGCAAATAATTTAACCTCTCATTGAACCATCTATTAAATGTGGGTATAACACTAATAAATCTGCATCTGGGTGAAGCTGATCTCATTTCATCATAGTTTTCTCAAGAAATAAAAAGATTGATTTAAAAAAATCAATTCCATGACCCCACCACCCCAAAATGAACAGCCAGGCATAACAAGATAAACAGGGAAAATCAATCCCGAAGGCATGGTCTGTTGAATTTTTTCTCCCCATTGAACCACGCCTTCCTCCTACTCTTGGTTAGTCATCTGATTTACCTGCCATTTATTATCCTAGCCTGCTGGGTCCTTCACTTTATACTACTCACAACTGTATGTTATTTCAATGTGTATCAGTTTCTATAGTTTGATCAAAGTGCTCCTTTTCAGACTAGGAAATTCAAGTAAAAAACTTTAAATTGTGTTTAGAGGTTTTTTTCCCCTCAATGGAAGGAAATTTTGCAATTATTTTTGCTTGAAAAATCTGCTTGGTTGTTTCTGAAGTTGTAACAGTTGTTTAGTACTCAAAAAAAGAACTATCTCAGTTATCCTCAGCATTTTGGAGTGATAGTTTGATTTTTTTTTTAGTGATTTCTATAAATCATTTTAAAGCATTCACTTTTCTCTCTTTAGAAAAATATAAATAAAGTTTTGTTTTGAGAATTTCACAGTACCTCAAATAGGTTTACTCTTGTATAAACTAAAGGGAATGGATGTACATAGGAGAGGGAAGAGTAGTTTGAGGGGCAATTCAATTACAATTCTCAAGTTCGGAATATGATGAGTGACAGCAATCAGTTTATCTCATCTCTACTACAGACTAGAGCCGTACTGCTCAGTGCAGCAGCAACTAGCTACATGTGACTACGGAGCCCTTGAAATGTGGTTAGTATGACCGAGGAACCAAAAGTTTAATGTTATTTAGTTTTAATTAACTTGTGGTAAATTTTAAAACTAATATTTGATTCATATATTATGAATCACGTATAATATATTAAAATATTTTTGAGTATTTTAGAACAAGTATGTAAATCAACTATTTTGCCTGTAAATTTTATGAAATCTAAATACAGATCAAATATTTTCTATGAAAACTTAGTTTGCAAATTAAGCTATGCTATAAATGTAAAATACAAACAGAACGTCCAAGAATTAATGTGAAAAAAAGAATATAAAATAACTTTATAATTTTTATTCAGATTGCATGTTGAAGTGACATTTTGATATGTTATCAAAATATTAAAATATACTATTAAAGTTACGTTTACTTGTTTTTACTTTTTTTAATGAGCCAACTAGAATATTTATAATTACATATGTGACTTGCATTATATTTGTATTGGACAAAGCTGATCTAAACTAAAGGGAAGGAATTTTGATTATATGTTAGAAAATACTTTCTCCTTATAAGATGACTCTGGAATCCCAATCTCTATATATAAAACTTCTTTTTTTCCTGATAGGTTTAAAAGGCAAGACTTACTTGGAAGGCAAAAGTACCTGCCCTTTGTTATCTCACTGGGAGCTGCTATGCTCCACTGTACATACATACAAGAAAACATTACTAAACTTGAAATGAGGAAATACATTTTTTAAGAAGGAACTTCCTTCCTCTACTTTATATTGAGTCTGTGGATGCTCGAGGAGCTAGACTCTTAAAGAAACCAGCTCTCCCTGGCTAACATGGTGAAACACCGTCTCTACTAAAAAATACAAAAAATTAGCCGGGCGTGTTGGCGGGCGCCTGTAGTCCCAGCTACTCAGGAGGCTGAGGCAGGAGAATGGCATGAACCCGGGAGGCGGAGCTTGCAGTGAGCCGAGATCGCGCCACTGCACCAGCCTGGGCGACAGAGCGAGACTCCATCTCAAAAAAAAAAAGAAACCAGCTCTCTGGCATATACAGACACAGAGAATGCAGAGAATGGACTATGATCCTTCAGGACACTGTTGCTTTGAACATTGTCTATGTCTCACTTTAGACAGCTTGTTTTGGCAATCAGATTGTCAGTACCTTAAGTTCCTAAGGAAAGGAATAATCAGTTTTCTCTGATTCACAGGTAGGAAACTAGCCAGAGCTGTCTGCCATACTTGATATGAAGTAATTGATCAATCAGATTTGTTGTGTTTATGTGCTTATAGGCATTATGTGTGTGTGTGTATATATATGGATATATACATAAATATCTATCTACATGCATCCACGTGCATACACATATATATACACATCCATATATATGTATATGTACATGCATATACACATATGTATATACATATATGTACATACGGATGTGTATATGGATATGAATGTATGTGGATATATATGGATATATACATATGAATGCATATGGATGTATGTGTATAAATCTATATCTATAGATAGATAAATATACACATACATACACTCCTTTTTCAGGGTCTCCATGACTTGGAGTTTTTCTACTTACCAAAAAAAGGAATTTTTATTCTAAAAATATTGTCAGCATTGTCTTCATAAAATAGTTATTGAACTTTAGGAGACTTTTTTGGAATTTTGATGAAAGATATGAATCCTCAATTGCAGAGCACTGACACATCCTAAAGCCTTCTATGAACCCTTTGGGGACCCAAGAACCTAATACCAGAAATCTTTACCTTTAGAGTATATGATATTTTGCTTTACTTTAATCACTTCCTGACCATTCCTCTGATTAACAATGTGATATTAGGAAAATGTGTGAATATCTCTGGACCTCAGTGTCCTCATCTATGAAATAAAATGATCTCTAAATTCTCCCTCTAAATTTTGGGTTCTAATGACTTTATAACCTATATTTTAATTTTAGATGTGTAACTTCTCCCTTAAAAACTATTAGTTAAATATTTTTAAATTATTGGATATTTAAACAAGTAGAAGTAAAACATATGACACGAAGAACACTAAGAGTAGGATGGTAAAAATTAAACATATATAAAGTTTTAAATCATTTATGAAGGATATATTTGGATATTGACTTGATAAGTTGAAGATGTATCATGTAAAAAAATGCATATTTTAATTTCTAATGCAACCTAAAAAAATAAATAGACATACTTAAAATGTCATTAGAGGAGATAAAATGGAATACTAAAAATTATTTTATTCACCCACAAAAATGGCAAAGAAGTAGAAACAGAGGAACAAGGAGCTGAGACACAAATGGAAGTCACATGTCAAGACAGTAGACTTAAATCCAAACATATTGATAATTATATTAAGTGTAAATGAACCAAATGCCGTAATTAAAATGCAGAAGTTGTTAGATTGTGTAAAAAAGCAACATCCTGTATGTTGTTTACAAGAAAGGCACTTTAAATGTAAAGACTCAGATCAGTTCCCAAAATAGTGAATAGGAGGCAAGGACTAACTTGCAGCTCCCATTCAGATGGACAGAGCGGCATGTGGAGACTCACATCATGAACTTTTGCTCCAAGAACTACCACAGGAACATACCAGGAAAGCCGAGAGAATCCACAGACGCTTTGAAGGAAGAGGCTTGCTGCTGTAGGCTTTGTGAGATAGCCAAAAAACTGAGTGCCCAAAGTGTGATATGGGGAGTGTCCACCCCCGAACACACATCCTCTGTGGAAAACCTGAAGGTCCAGATCATGGGAGAAGGATTTGACCTCACATGCAGCTGAGGCAAATTTACAGCCAAGCAAAATATAGGGGTAGAGGAAGCAGCAGGACGAGCCCTGTGGGCACTTGCAGTCCCCAGGGAAACCATTCCTGACTTTGTCTTGCAGAGATCCTTGGGGAGGGCTGCCAGTGTAACTGGAGAAAGACCATAGGAAGAAGAAAAGTTCCAGCTGAACTTTGTAAAAATTTAAACCGAATACAGTTTCCTGGACAGAACCTGGGAAAGGGGGCAAATAGGGAGTGCAGATATGAACACAGAAACCATGACAGGTGGGAGGTATGAAACCTGAAAGCCCTACTTGCTTTTTCAGCAGGGAGGCTTGTAACCTGCGGCAAGTTCTTAGTCCTACTCACTGGCTGCATGGGAGACATGGTGGGAGTGAGACTGGCCTTTCAGGCTGTGTGGGAGTTGGGCGAGGCCGGTCACTGCTGGCTTTTCCCCACTCCCCTGGTGGCCTGTATAATGCAGTAAAGTCAGCCATAATATCCCTGGGAACATAACTCCATCAGCCTGAGAACTACACCCCCATCCCCTACAGCAGCCACACACAGCAAGCTCCGCCCAAGGAGAGCCTGAGCTCAGACATGCCTAACCCTGCCCCAACTGAGGGTCTTTCTCTACCAATCCTGGTAGCTGAAGACAAAGGACATACTCTCTTGGGGGCTCTATAGCCCCCAAACTTCAGCATCCTTTATGATTAAAACCTCAGCAACACAGGCATAGAAGGGGCATATCTTAATGTAATAAAAGCCATCTATGACAAACGCATGGCCAACATTACACTGAATAGAGAAAAGCTGAAAGCATTCCCTCTGAGAACTGGAACAAGACAAGGATGCCCAGTCACACCAGTCCTGTTCAACATAGTACTGGAAGTCCTAGCCAGAGCAAGCAGACAACAAAAAGAAAGAAAGGGCATCCAAATCAGTAAAGAGGAAGTCATACTATCACTGTTTGCTGATAACATGATCATATATCTAGAAAACCCTAAATACTTCTCCATAAAGCTCCTAATACTGACAAATTAATTCAGTAAACTTTCAGAATACAAAATTAATGTACACAAAACAATAGCACTGTTTCCGGAACTGGTGGGTTCTTTTTCTGACTGACTTCAAGAATGAAACCACAGACCCTCGTGGTGAGCGTTACAGTTCTTAAAGGTGGTGTGTCCAGAGTTTGTTCCTTCTGATGTTCGGATGTGTTTGGAGTTTCTTCCTTCTGGTGGGTTCGTGGTCTCTCTGGCTTCAGGAGTGAAGCTGCAGACCTTCGTGGTGAGTGTTACAGCTCTTAAGGTGGCGCATCTGGAGTCGCTCATTCCTCTCACTGGGTTCGTGGTCTCACTGGCCTCAGGAGTGAAGCTGTAGACCTTCAGGGTAAGTGTTACAGCTCATAAACGCAGTGTGGAGCCAAAAAGTAAGCAGCAGCCACACTTATCACAAAGAGCAAAAGAACAAAGCTTCTACACTGTGGAAAAGGATCCATTCGGGTTGCCACAGCTGGCTTGGGCAGCCTGCTTTTATTCCCTTATCTGGCCCCACCCACATTCTGCTGATTGGCCCATTTTACAGAGAGCTGATTGGTCCATTTTACAGAGAGCTGATTGGTCCGTTTTGATAGGGTGCTGCTTGGTGCGTTTACAATACCTGAGCTAAACACAGAGTGCTGATTGGTGTATTTGCAATCCTTTAGCTAGACATAAAAGTTCTCCAAGTCCCTACCAGATTAGCTAGATACAGAGTGCTGATTGGTGCATCCATGAACCCTGAGCTAGACACAGAGTGCTGATTGGTGCATATACAATCCTCCAGCTAGACATAAAAGTTCTCCAAGTCTCCACCTGACTCAGGAGCCCATCTGGCTTCGCCTAGTGGATCCTGTGCCAGGGCCGTGGGTGGAGCTGCCCGCCAGTCCTACACCATGCGCCTGCACTCCTCAGCCCTTGGGCGGTCAATGGGATCGGGCGCCACGGAGCAGGGGGCGGCACCCATCAGGGAGGCTCGGGCTGCGCGGAAGCCCACCACGGGGGGACTTGGGCATGGCAGGATGCAGGTCCCGAGCCTTGCCCCGCAGGGAGGCGCTGAGGCCCGGCGAGAATTCGAGCATGGCGCGGGCAGGCCAGCAGTGCTGGGGGACCTGGTGCCCCTCTCCACAGCTGCTGGCCTGGATGCTAAGCCCCTCACTGCCCGGGGCTGGTGGCACTGGCCAGCCGCTCTGAGTGCGGGGCCCGCCAAGCCCGCACCCACCCAGAACTCGTGCTGGCCTGCGACCACCACACGTAGCCCTGGTTCCCACCTGCGTCTCTCCCTCCACACCTCCGCACAAGCAGAGGGAGCTGGCTTCAGCCTCAGCCAGCCCAGAGAGGGGCTACCACAGTGCAGCGGCAGCCTGAAGGGCTCCTCAAGCATGGCCAGAGCAGACATCAAGGCCAAAGAGGTGCTGAGAGTGAGCGAGGGCTGCTAGCACGTTGTCACCTCTCAGCACTGCTATATACCAACAGCGACCAAGCTGAGAATCAAATCAATAATTCAACCCCTTTTACAATAGCTGCAAAAATATACTCACAAATGTACCTAAGAAGATAAAAGACTTCTACAAAACTACACAATACTGCTGAAAGAAATCATAGATGATACAAACAAATGGAAACACATCCCATGCTCATGGATGGGTAGAATCACTATTGTGAAAATGACCATACTGCCAAAAGCAATCTACAAATTCAATGTAATTCCCATTGAAATACCAGCATCATTCTTCACAGAACAAGAGAGAACAATCCTAAAATGCATGTGGAACCAAAAAAGAGCCCATATAGCCAAAGCAAGACTAAGCAAAAAGAACAAATCTGGAGGCATCACATTACCTGACTTCAAACTGTACTATAAGGCTATAGTCACCAAAACAGTATGGTACTTGTATAAAAATAGACACACATATCAAAGTAACAAAATAGAGAACCCAGAAATAAAGCCAACTGATCTTCGACAAAGCAAACAAAAACTAAAGTAGGGAAAGGATACCCTATTCAACAAATGGTGCTGGGATAATTGGAAAGCCACATGTAGAAGAATGAAACTGGATCCTCATCTCTTGCCTTATACAAAAATCAACTCAAGATGGATCAAAGACTTAAATCTAAGACCTAAAACCTTAACAATTCTAGAAGATAACATCGAAGAAACCCTTCTAGACATTGGCTTAGGCAAAGACTTCATGACAAAGAACCCAAAATCAAATGCAACAAAAACAAAGATAAATAGATGGAATTTAATTAAACTAAAAAGCTTCTGCACAGCAAAATAATCAGCAGAGTAAACAGACAACCCACAGAGTGGGAGAAAATATTCACAAACTATGTATTTGACAAAGGACTAATATCCAGAAACTACAAGGAACTCACACAAATCAACAAGAAAAAAGCAAACCATCTCAAATAATAGATGTTGGCATGGATGTGGTGAAGAGGGAACACTCTTACACTGCTGATGGGAATGTAAACTAGTACAACCACTATGGAAAACAGTGTGAAAATTCCTTCAAGAACTAAAAGTAGATCTACCATTTGATCCAGCAGTCCCACTATTGGGTATCCACCCAAGGAAAAGAAGTCATTATACAAAAAAGATACATGCACATGCATGTTTATAGTAGCACAATTCATGATTGCAAAAATATGGAACCAGTCCAAATGCCCATCAATTATTGAATAAAGAAAATGTGGTGTATATATAATGGAATACTACTCAGCCATAAAAAAGAACAAAATAATGGCATTCATAGCAACCTGGATGGAATTGGAGACCGTTATTCTAAGTGAAGTAACCAGGAATGGAAAACCAAAAAGTACATTCTCACTCATAAGTGGGAGTTAGGCTGTGAGGATGCAAAGGCATAAGAATGATACAATGGACTTTGGGGATTTGGAGTAAAGGGTGGGAGGAGGGTGAGGGATAAAAGACTACACACTGGGTACAGTGTACACCACTCAGGTGATGGGTTTACCAAAATTTCAGAATTCACCACTAAAGAACTTATCCATGTAACCAAATACCACCTGTTCCCCAAAAACCTATTGAATTAAATAAATTTTTTAAAAAAAGAAAACCTACCTATTGGGTAATATGCTTGTTACCTGGGTAACAATCTGTACCCCAAACCCCCAGGACACACTATCTATAGAACCTACCTGCACATGTACCCCTTAAACTAAAATAAAAAATTTAAAACCAACAATAAAACAATACAATAAATGTAAACAACACAATTTAAAAGTAAATAAATGGAAATAGCTGTACTATGCAAACACTAAGCAAAAGAAAGCTGATGTGGCCATAGTAATATCAGACAAAGGAATCTTTAAGATGAAGAATATTAGCATAGATGAATAGGAGTATTTTATAATGATAAAAAGGCAATATAATTAAGTATATAGATAATCAATATACTAAATATAAAGCACCCAAATACATTAACCAAAAAGAACAATAGGCAAATCAACAATCATAGTTGGAGACATACCAAAATTTGTTGAATACAACTAATATAGACCTTGAAAGAAACTCATAGTTTTAAATGCCAGTGAGTGGAATGATACAAAAACAATGACCTTTCTTTTCAATCTAAAAAGCTAGAAAAAGAACAGAAAATTATGCCTAAAATAAATAGAAAAGGGAAAATAATAAGATTAGAAGTTAATGAAATAAAAAATGGACAATCAGAAAAAAATCAATAATGCCAGAAACAGATTATTTGAAAAGATAAATAAATCTCATAAACTTTTAGCAGGAGTGATCAAGAAAAAAATGTACCAATAGCAGAAGTATAAAAGGATATCACGACAGACCCTATAGACATTAAAATGATATTAAGAGGATATTATAAAATTTGAAAACTCATGCAAAATGACAAATTCTTGAAAGCATGAATTACCAAACTGGCTCAAGAAGAAATAAAAATAAATAGCCTTATATCCTTAAAAGATGCTGAATTTGTAATCAAATAATTTTCCACAAAGAAAACTCCAGGTCCAGATGAATTAGCTTGTGGACTTTATCAAAACTAAAGAAGAATTAACAGCAATTCTATACAAATGCTTTCAGAAAATTGAGGAGAGAATGCTTCCTAAGTCATTTTTGAGACTACTATAACTCTTACTAAAGTATTCTAGAAGAAATCTACTAGGACATATAAATTAACTTAAAAATGTATAAGATACAAAGTCATATACAAAAAGCAATTGTATTTTCCCACACTAGTAATGAACATTTAGAAAATGGAATTTTAAAAAGTAACATATATAAAGCATTAAAAAAATTAGATACCTAGGCATTAACCTAATAAAAGATATGTTAGACATCTACACTAAAAACTATAAAACACTTCTGAGAGAAATCAAAGAAAACCTAAAAAAATGGAGAGATACACCATTTTCATTGATTGGAAGATTCAAAATTTTGAGATATTCATTCTTCCTAAACTGAAAAGAGATTCAAAATTCCAGCAGGATTTATTCTAGAAATTAGTGAGATGATTTTAAAATCTATTTGGAAAGGCAAAAGATCAAGTATAGCCAAAATAAAAATATTGGAAAAGCAAAGCAAAGTAGAAGGACTGAATTTGCCTGTCTTCAAGTTTTTCTCTGAATTTACAGTTATCAAGACAATGTAGTACTGGCAAAAAGAGTAGACAAATATATCAAAGGAACAGAACAGAGAGTCCAGAAATAGACCTACACATACACAGTCAAATTATTATTATTATTATTTTGACAGAGTTTCACTCTTGTTGCCCAGGCTGGAGTGCAATGGCGCGATCTCAGCTCACTGTAACCTCTGCCTCCCCGGTTCAATTGATTCTCATGCCTCAGCCTTCTGAGTAGCTGGGATTACAGGCGCCCATCACCACGCTCAGCTAGTTTTTGTATTTTTAGTAGAGACGGAGTTTCACCACGTTGGTCAGGCTGGTCTCGAACTCCTGACCTTAGGCTATCCACCCATGTCAGCCTCCCAAAGTGCTGGGATTACAGGCGTGAGCCACCACGCCCGGCCCAAATTATTTTCAATAAAGGTCCCAAAGCAACTAAATAAAGAAAGAGAAAATCTCTTCAGCAAATGGCGCTAGAACAACTGGATATCCCTACAGAAAGGAAAAAAAGAAAACTTTAACTCATATCTCACAACATACCCCAAAATAAATTTACGATGAATTATAGATCTAATCATGAAAGCTAAAACGATAAAGCTTCTAGAAAAAATGGAGTATAAAATCTTCACAACTTTGGGATAGGCTAAGATTTCTTGTAGAAAACACAGAAAGCACAGAATATAGAAAATGCATAAATTGGACTTAATCGAAATGAAATTCTTCTCATCAAAGCACACCACCAAGAAAATAAGCAGATAAACTAAACACTGAGACAAAATATTCACAACACATATTTTGACAAAGTGCTTATATACAGAACAACCCAATAATGAAAAGACAACTCATTTAAAAATGAGAAAAATACTTGAACAGGCATATCATAAAAGAAGATATATAAATGGCTGATAACAAATGAAAAAGTGATCAAAATTGATAGTCATCAGGGAAGTGCTGGTTAAAATCACAATATTTACTGCTTCCCACACCAAAGAATGGTGAATATAATAAAGATTGTCAAAGCCAACTGTTGAGAGGATATGGAAGAACCACAATTTTCATACATTTTTTATGGGAATGTAAAATGGCACAAACATTTTGAAAAACTGGCAATTACTTAAGAATATAAACATCTATCTACCCTATCACCCAGCAATTCTACTCCT
Source organism: Homo sapiens (assembly GCF_000001405.40). NCBI lineage: Eukaryota > Metazoa > Chordata > Mammalia > Primates > Hominidae > Homo > Homo sapiens. The sequence goes on from NC_000006.12 coordinate 117,378,170, forward strand.
AGGTATTTATCCAAGTATACATCCACAAAAAGCCTTGTATACAAATATTCAGTTTTATGCATAATAACCAAAATTAGGAAGCAATTAAAATGTCCATCAAGACATGCATAGAATGGATACACAGACAGTGGTATCTTCACACAATGGAATACCACTCAGTAATAAAAAAGAAAAACTAGTACACATAACAAAGTGAATATATCGCAAAAGATTGTATGCCAAGTAAAAGAAGCCAGATACAAAAAGTACATATTTCTGGAGTGGTGCAGATTGATTGGCAAGGGGCACAGGAATTTTTTGTGATGATGGATATGTTCTGTGTCTCAAAATGCATTTGTCTAAACTGATGTAATGGAACACTTAAGATCTGAATATTTCACATTATGTATATTTTAACTAATTTTTTAAAATAAAAGTGTAAAATTTATTTTTAAAATATCTGACAATGCTAATGTGGAAGATGTAGAGATACCGACAAGATCAGGACAGGGGGATAAGCTTGAGGACACAGATCAAGGAGATAATTCATGTGGTCCCTTTCACTCTCTAATTTTCATTTAAGACATCACAGGAAGAGTTCTGCCTTCACTCCATAATGTATACTCTATTTTGTGAAGAAGCAGAAAAGCTTATCCATACACTTCCTGGGCTCTTAAGCAGCATTCTCCTGAGTGTCTATACTGTACTCTCTTCATACCCCATCACAGCACTTACCATATTCTACTGTAACTAGTTATTTACAAACCTCTTTACCCTACAAGCCCAATGCCTGCAACACAGTGGATAACCAGAAAATGTTTATTGAAGGAATAAATGAATTTCCATGCATTATCATTTATGACTGACAAGTTTTCTTCTCAATCAATTGCCTTTGAGGGACTCTACTTACCTCTGTCCCCGAAGAACAGCTGTGTACAGGTGAATACATTGACTGTCTTGAACCAACCAATACAGGAGCCCATCACTGAGGTCTAAAGTTAGAGCAATTACCTAAGTAGAAAGTAAGGTAAGAAAATAAACCAAATACATGTTTGAAGCATAACTTTGTGAACAGGTCACACTTAAGCTATAGATTTCTCTTTAACATCCTCTTTGGAATAATAAATTCAGTAATTTTTACTTTTTTCTGACTATAAAACTTATATGATTATGCTTATTACTGTTATTTGGATATAAACACTGGTGTCCTAAAATTTTACAAAAAGGCAAGGAGTGTATTATTCACTTTTATATACTTAGCTCCAGTAATTATCAAAGTATGATTCTCAGACCTGCAGCAACAGCATCACCTGGAAGCTTGGAACAAATATAAATTATCAGTCACACTCCAGAGTTACTGAATCTGAAATGTTGAGCCTGTGTCAAGCTTGCCTAAAGGTAGTGGTAACTCTGGCCTATTTAGCAACATGAGCCAGTGAATTTTGTTGTTGTTTAAACCTGTTGTTATCAAACATAGCTGCATATTACAATGATCTGTGGAGTTTTTTAAAAATCTCAATTCCCAGGCTGCACTCTATTAATTATGATCTCTGGGGATGGAACCTAGGCTCCAGTATGCTTTAAAACTTCTCAGGTGATTCCAACGTGCCACCAATGGTTTAAACCATTTTGAATTGTATTTTCTATTAATTGCAACCCAAAACATTCTCATACACTTTAAAAAGATCATACACAAAGGATGTTTATGTATTAAAATTGAATAGTAATGTGTATATAAAGCCCTATTTCCAGATGACATATGAGAACCACTTCTTACTACTCTTTGCTTTCTTGTTGCAATGTATATCTTAAGTTTACATCCAGTCATCTAGATGAGGCCTGATGGCACAGAATCCATGAGATATGGCATAGAATCCATGAGACAGATAGAAGTTACTATCCAAAGATCCTGTTTTTGCTTTCTTTGGCTTTACAAATATTTTTCAAATAAGCTAAGATTGCCAGTAGCCTGATTTCGGAGCAGTGCAATCTCCCTGTAACATACCTAGAAGCTGTGAGGTATAACCAATAGAATTAAAGTTGACGACTACATCTTCAGCAAGATACAGCAGCATTTAAACAAATATGATGAGCCAGTGAAAGATGTGAAAAGACTACAATAAGGTATCCAAGAGCTAAAAATTCTTCCTGAAAAGTTATCCTGCTACAAAGAAACAGTTATAAGGTACATGACGACAAAAACCCTTCGGTTGTCATACAAATCACAGCCTTCTATCTTCAGGAAAATTCAACCAACTTATTCTCCAGAAGGTAAAAATGTATTCTGGCAATTCTCAGCCTTTTAGGAGTTGAATCATGTCCTTGCTCCATGCTGAGAGAGATCTATTGATTTTTTTTTTTCAGTTAAAAAGAAATCAGGTTAACCTTGTTTGGTTATTTACAATGAGATACACTAGAGTTTCTACATTACAAATTAAGTCTATTTCATCTATTTTAAAAAGGAGATTCTACAATTTTTTGCTGGAATACAACAAACTATTCAAACTCTAAGTAAAATTCAGGTGTTGAGTCATCATCCCATTCCTCCACAGCAGTCAGCAGCTTCATATTTAAACAGTCAGAGGGTACTCCATACCTTTTATATAAACCTCTCTGATCTAAACTAAAACCCTTATGCTAAATTTTAATTCTGTGGTAAAATGTACCATATGCTGTGAGTTGAGCTCATCAGATGTGGCAAAAGGTATCTTTTTACCTTAGAAGAATCTCTTACTTTGTTCATTCTTTTTTTATCACACAAGTAATTGGGCCTTTCTATAAATAATTGCCTGACTGTATTTCATTATGTCGGCTGATTGCAAAATATATTATTACTGCATAATAAATCTGTACATGACATCAATGAACAAGAGAGAGATGAAGAGCTTTGCTGGATGCAAAATGCATTGCCTTCAAAACATCCACTGTCACTAAGGGAGTCAGATAGATTAGACATCAAACCATGGAACCAGAACACAGATTTGCAAAAGCAACAACAGCACTTGACAACCTGGGAGAGGATTTGCAGAGGACTGTTTTTTTTTTTTTTTGGTTAATTTCCATTCTTTTGCTTTTATTATATATATATTTTTAACTTCAATAGCTTTTTGGGGTACAGGTAGTTTTTGGTCACATGGATGAATTGTACAGCTGTAAAGGCTGAGATTTCAGTGCACCAGTCACCTGAGTAGTGTAAAAATGTACCCAATATGTAGGGTTTTTTTTATCCCCCACCCAACTTCCACCCTCCCTCCTTCTGAGTCTCCAAAGTCTATTATATTACTCTGTATGCTTTTGCATACCCATGGCTTAGCTCCCACTTATAAGTGAGAACATATAGTATTTGGTTTGCCATTCCTGAGTTACTTTACTTAGAATAATGGCCTCCAGCTCCATCCAAATTGCTGCAAAAGACATTATTTCCTCCTTTTTTTTATGGCTGAGTGGTATTCTATGGTGTATTTATACCACATTTTCTTTATCCATCCACTAATCAGTTGATGGGCACTTAGGTTGGTTCCCTATCTTTGCAATTGCAAATTGTGCTGCCATAAACATATGTGTGCAGGTGTCTTTTTGATATAATAACTTCTTTTCCTTTGGGGAGATACCCAGTAGTGGGATTGCTGGATCGAATGATAGAAATACTATTAGTTCTTTAAGAAATCTCTGCACTGTTTTCCATAGAGGTTGTACTAATTTACATCCCCATCTGCAGTGTATAAGCGTTTGGAGGGGGGATTTAAAGAGGGGTAAGAAGGATGAATTTCCCCCAAACATGCTGAGATGACTCACTCATTTATGGGGAAGTCCCCAAGGTCACACCAGAGCTTTATCCTGGCTAGTGAGAGTACTCAAACAACCATATCAGAACACTGGGAAGATTACTGACAAAGTCCCTGAGGTGGAGAAGAAGTTACTCTTGAGATAATATTATCAATATGTTTTTACAAAAATGAAAATGCTTTTCCCTAACAATTATATTTTTTGAAAAACAAAAAAAAATGCTTTCTTTGTATTCAGACTCAAGTGACTCCAAAATAGAATTAAGAGACCTTTTTATTATTTGACAAGAATGATTGTCTTTGGATATGGTACATAAATTTCCATCTCTTTTAAATGTCTGTGTTATAATCCATGTAATGCAAATCAGGTCTCTTTAAATATCCTAGGAATTATGGCCCATATATGTTATTGGAATTGGAGATCAAGTGACTCAACTATTAGTTCATATATATACATACATTTTTAAAATCATCTGGTATTCTGTATTATGTATATTTTATCTCTGCAGAAAAAAATGACTTAAAATAAGAAAATCTTAAGGGATATATTAGGTAGAAATGGTGTGAATAATTTATTTATTCTTAATGCATTTCTGCAATTTTCAAGTTTTTCACAGTTGAAATATGTCACTATTATGGTCAGAAAAAATTAAAATTTAGAAACTTAGATGGATACCTAGTGGGTAGCTAAACAGAATCAACAAAAATAGTTATTGCTTGTAAAAGCTGAGGAAGTAAAAGTAACATTTGCTTTAGAAACATTCCTGTATTTGCAGGTTGAGTAATAATAATATGAGCTTAACTACGGAGCATTTACTTTGTACCTGGAACTATTCCCACTCCTCATGAATACTCTCATATAATCTTTATAAAAAAAAACTTAGGAGGTAGAATAATAGTTAACAGTCCCATTTTTCAGATAAGGAAAGAAACACGGAGAAGTGAAATCATTTGCCTAGTTTTTAGAAACAGTTTTTAAAACAGTCAGTGCCCAAAACTGATTGAAAATAGTAAAATGCCTAGTCACCACCTGATTCAAAGCTTCTAAAATATTCAACAGAAGTCCTTAAGACTATAAAAACAGTTATAAATTAAAATACTTTTAAGTTGGGTTCACTCAAAATAAAGTAAACAAAAAAAATCTCCATAGTGCATTTGAACTTACATAATCACTTATCACCATCAAATAAGGCTTTCAATTGTGACCATCAAATAAGGCGCTTTTTTTTCAAATAACAGAAAACTTGGTTAAACCAAGATCTTACCAAAACACTATTTCCTTTAGGAGTCTGCTTTAAGTACTCACAATAAGCGAGAGAAAGTATTATCATAAATATAGAGCTATTCAGTATTACTAAATGATCAGATCTTTTAATTTGTCACCTTTTTCCCAGAAAACCAAGGCTGTGTCTGTAGTACAAGGGAACTTTCCCCATTTAGTCTGGTGCTTTCCACTGAATAGAGTGTGGTCCAGTAGAGATATCCACCAACTGAATCCACCACCATGTCATTCACCAATAGCTTCACGTGGGTAACAATGTCTGTGTGTCCCGTCAACACAGACTGCCTTTGTATCTAAAAAACATAATTGTATGGCCAGTTAATGGCTTTCAAGTGACATTATTATTTCTGAATATTTATTGCAATCATTAATAAATTGCTTGATTAATCATTCATTCATTCAACCACAAATAGTGATTGGCACTATGTGCTGGGTAGTGTAATAAGCCTTGGAAACACAGCAACAAGCAAACAGGCATGGCACCTGCCCTCATGGGGCTTATCTGTTTTCATGCCTCCAAAGAGAAGGGAACTAAATTTACTTTGCATAAAAATAACTGCTTTTCCTAATTATACATCCAGACAATGTGAACACTGCTGGATAGGAATATATTTGATTAGACTCCCGAAAAAAGATGTTTATGTCCCTATAAATGATGACATCTCTCCTTGCTCTTCTCTATCAGTGTAGTTCCCTAATATTTCATGATTATCAATAATGTGCCAGGCACTGTACTTTTTTATCTTTAAAAATATAAACTCCTGTAATCCTCACATTAAGCTTATGAAGGATTTCTATTCCCTATTTTTTCACAGGTAAAGTGGATTAAAGTTAAACAATTTGTCCTGGAGTTAAACACTTTAATAAGAGATAGAGAAAATACTTAAAACTGGTTTTTATGTCCACTCTTCCATTTCCTTTTTCAAAACTATTTTTAAACTAACCTATTTGAGGGAGTGTTTTCTGACTAACCCCACTCAATTTCATTCTGCTTGCACATCTTTGGCACTTATGAATTCAGATTGTACCATATTGCTTTGTCTCTAAATACATTGCTTCATATGCTTCTTTATTTTATATATGTATTTTATCTCCTCAGAAGAGCAGGGACAACTGATGATGGCTGTACATCAATGGACACACTAAAAAATCTCTGAATTCTACACAATAAAAGAATGAATTTTGTGTTATGTGAATTATATCACAACAAAGTTGTTTTTAAAATAGCAGGGACATGTCGGCTATTTGTTTTATATTCCCTACTTTGCCTTCTTTCAAGGATTTCAACGCATTGGTAGTAGATAAATGATTGCTGGACAAATAAATAAATGGACAGCAAGTACTTTCCTGATTAAAAATTATTTCAATACCTTATTTCTTGATCTGTCAGGCCAATGTTCTTGTCATTAGCCATCATCTTTCTCTTCAAAATATATCACTCCACAGGTGTGCTGGATGTCTTTATTTTGCCTCTAGGTCTAATTCCCACCCTTCTCCACCCTACTCTGTGCCCCCATAGGCCAACATCTATGGACTTTATCTGCTAGGCTGAAGGGTTGTTGTCTGGCTTCTGGGGAGGTTCAGCCAATGGAAGCACTGGCAGATTAGAGGGCAGGAGGAAGGAGGGGTTGGGGTTCTTATTCCTTTAGCTGGCTCCTTGCCAGACCATACATCTTGATAGTGGCCAGCTTCTGTGCCTAAAGTCACAGTCCATATCAGCTACTCTCCTACAGCTACAGCCCTCACCAGGTTCTTCCACTTCTTCCCCTTGCCTATTCACACCTAGACTTATGTCTTCGCACACTTGTAAACCGTGAGGATGCCTCACCATCATTTGTTCATTTTCCCTAGCCCTGTGCACACCTTTGAAAATAGTCTCTTCACTTAGTTGCCTTGAATCATGCTTTTGGAGCATGCCATGTTCCTGCCAAGAACCAACGCTCAGGTGAGCATTTTCATGTATTTATTTAAATTATTATTGGGGAAAAAATACCTAATTCAACAAATAGTGATAACAAATTTAATTTACAAAAAAACATATTTTAAAAGTGAGATGAGGCCGGGAGCGGTGGCTCACGCCTGTAATCCCAGCACTTTGGGAGGCCGAGGCAGGCAGATCTCTTGAGGTCAGGAGTTCGAGACCAGCCTGGCCAACGTGGTGAAACCCCATCTCCACTGAAAATGCAAGAAGTAGCCAGGCATGGTGGCATATGCCTGTAATTCCAGCTACTCGGGAGGCAGAGGCCAAGATGGCGCCACTGCACTCCAGCCTGGGCAGCAGGGTGAAATTGTGTCTCAAAAAAAGAAAAAAAAAATGTTTAAGTGACTTGGTTTAAAGATAAACATTAAATAAATAATAGCATAAGTGGTGCACAGGTATTTAAAAAAAAAAAAGAAATTGGTGTGCAAGTCACTGAAGTGGATAAGTATCATTCTAGAGCATCCAGAATGCCATGCTTTAACTCACCACATATGTCTTTCCAGCCCAGTAGAGAAAGTGACCCAGCCACTCAAAAGCTAAAGCCCCTGCTCCTGCAATGCTGGGTAGGTGATAATTCTCTGAGATATCCGTCCCATTCAGCAGCCACACAAAAACGTCGCCTTTCGTGTCACTGTAGTAGAGGCTGTTGTTATACCAATCCATGTCTCAAAATAAAGTGAATGATTAGCAGTTATTTTTCATACATACCAACAAAAACATAATGAGTCAACAAATCACATCTGCACCTCAACATAATTTTAAACAACACACTGACACATATTCACTAGAACTTGATCTGTCAAGAATATTTAAATAATGTTTCCCAAACTCTTAACCCCTGAAACCAGGGAGAACAGTGGATACACATCGAGCATCTCCTCTTTGCCAAACATTGTCCCAGGCAGTTTACAGATCTCATTTAGTTCCTAAAACAAAATTATGAAGTAGGAATTATTCTCATTTTTGAGATGGTAAACCTGAGACAAGGTGAGATCATGTGTTCTGCCTGAGGGCTCACAGATACATCAAGAGGAAGCCCAGACTCAGCCAATGCCAAAGTGGCATTCTCTCCATTGGTGCCACATTACCTACATTTGGCTCCTATGTTGGTCAGAAATGCTGTTGTACTTTTAATGGCCAAATAAATCAATAAACAATTAGATAACTATGGAAGATGTCATCTTCAGGCAAGATCACTGTTATAACACCCTAGAATGAAGACTTTTCTTCCTTCTAACGCCTTCCAGGCAAATTACCCATTCATTACTTAATAATCCTCTTTGTCAACCAATTATTCCTTATACCTTATTTAGAACTCTATGCAGCAGTTTCTGCTCCTGTCTTATAGCAAATGCACAGTAAATTATTTAAGTATAACTGTCTTAGTGGAACAAGATAGGCTGTTAATGTGAGATGGCATTGGTAGATTAATACATCAGCATTATATCAAAGCCTTCCTGGTGGGCATAAAACTAGAAACAACCTCACATTTTGTGACTTAATAAATAGCGTTCCTATCTAAGAACTGACATTTTCTTAACAGAATCACTGGCAGTAGAGTTCAGTCAATATTTTTTCCTTTCACTATTGACCAAATACAAAAATACCCTATTCTTTTGATTCATTGAATGATGTGGGAAGTCTTATGAGTAGAAATCTGTCATTCAAGTGAACAGAGGACTTGGGGTTTACCTGACACATTTCCTATATCAGAGGATAAGAACTCTCCTGGGCCAAAGCTATTTAATGGTTTACTCCAAAGCCCATCTTCTTTCACAGCCATGATAAATGGTGGTTCACTAGCTGTTTAGTAAAAAAGAAATTAAAAGAAACATCAGGGAAAGCAAACTCTTTAAAGGTATCTTATATACTTATATCTATGCCTTATATCTTATGATTTTCTATATAAAGTAAAAGAATGTCAACACTTTGAAAAGTTCTATAAAAGGATATGAGTAATTGTTATCTGTGTAACAAGAATGATCCCATTAAACATACTTTCTGATTTTCACATAAATTTTTGAAATGTGAAGAAAAACGCATGGTGAGATTGCCTCTATAACGGTGTCTTGATCATTGCAGAATTTTTTTTGAGGGGGCTTTGACTACTGTTTGTCATGGTCTCATTCAGAGCATCCAGAAGAGACTGTGTTAACAATAGTAATATGAATGGTATAGTCATCCTTCCATTTCTTTTCAGCCAAGAGGATGGAATTCAGCATAATTCACAGCCTCTCAACTTCTCTCAGCAAGACCCTCAGAGTTCAGAAATGCCACTGCTTAATATACCATAAGAAAGAAGAAACCCGTAAAGAATCAATTATAGTGTTTCCTTAAAAAATATCTTGGAAAGTTTAAAATGGCAGGTTAGAAACACTAATTAAATATCACACAGTGCTTTATTTGCTTTCCTAATCTCAGAAAATAAATATGTACTCAATATGTGTTTACTCAAACACATACTCAAGAGGTCAATACACCCTCATTCTCATTTCTTTAAACCCAAGGCAAGGAAATTTAAAGGGCACTCAGCTAGTCCTCTTTTTGTGAGAGTCACTCCCTAAATCCAGAACATTTTCTCACCTGGCACCAGGGTAGTACCCACTGAGGGCTCTGACCAGGGGCCTGGCCTCTTTGGAGAACTTGCTCTCACAGAAACCTTGTATTTCATAGCACTCTGCAGCTCAGGTACATTCAGCATGGTTCCACTTATGTTCAAGAAAATATGAGTGACTTCAGGAGGGTCTTGGGTGGATACTTTCACCTCATAGGTCCAGTTCTGCCAGGCAGAAGGGCCTAATTCAAAGAGTTCAATAATATCACTGATCAGGATGACATCTGCAAGGGCAAACCAAGGATTCTCCATAAATTCACCTACAGCCTCATCTCAAATGGGAGAGCAATTGGGCAGTAATATCCGCTACCCCGATAATCACCAGGGATCATTTGTTGATGAGGCTAGGACAGTGTTCATTCCTCATGCCGCTCATTTGGCTGCATTGAAGGAGACAGCATTCCCAACAAATAGGACTGTCCTTCAGTCAAAGCTATATGCTTGCTGCATATAATTGTCAGAGGGGTTCTCTACAACACTAATAGATATAATCAGGCTCTTAATAAAAAATGCTTAATGATGAACCTTTAATGTAATTACCACTGTTTGTATAGTACCTTCCTCCAAGAAGCCCAATCAATAAAAAAAAATTACCTATTCATTTTCAGCCATCTTTGAGATATGCAGCAAACAGACATAATTAACTTTGTTCTAAAGCAAAAACAGCCAATGTTTTCTAAATACTTACTATCGTCTAGGGGATCAGGGATTGGCAAACTCCACTCACAGGCCAAACCTGGCCCACTGTTTCTGTAAATAAAGTTGTAATGGAACACAGCCACAGTTATTCATTTACATATTATCTATGACTGTCTTCACACTACAACGACATAATTGAGTAGCTGACAGGGACCATCTGACCCACAAAGTAAATAAAAATATTTACTATCTGGTCTTTCCTTTACAGAAAAAGTTTGCTGACCTCTGTGCTAGATACTGTTCTAAGTGCTCTACTAATGTGTTTTAATTTTATCTGTACAACAGTTCCATTAAAAGATATAATAAATATTCCCCATTTCCAGGTGTGGAAACTGAGACACAGAGTGGTTTAGTAACTTGCCCAGGGTCATTCTATTAACAAATGGCAAGTATTTGAATCCGTGCAGGCTGACTCCAGAGCCCACCTGCTTACCCACCCACATACTACCTCTCTCCAGAGATGGAGATTCGAGTTCAGAGTTTTAGGGAATTGCTGAAATTCATGCAAGCTTTCAACAGCACAAAAAATCTCAACCCAAGTATTCTATCTCCCTGGCTATTTGTTCTGACTAGAATGTCAATGCCTGGATCTTAGCAGACACTCAATAAATGTTCAAATTATTCTATTGGGATATACATGAGAAGTATAGAGATTCTCCTAATGTAAAACTAATAAATGCAGAACAAATGTATAAACTTTTTTTTTAGCTAAGTAGCTGCTTCTGGTTGATGACTGAATAGCCAAATGGGGCTCTCAAAATTGAATCACAACGCCAAGCAGTTCAAACCTTCCTCTTATTCCAGCAAGGCCAGTAACCACACTGGGGACAGAGCACTCACTGGCTCCTATGGCAAGGGCAGGAGGCTTCCATTGAACAAGAGCCTGGTGAGAGCCAAACAGCACCGAAAGCTCCTGCGGGCGGCCTGGCAGAGGGTGCAGCTGGGAGGATGAGCCAAAGATGACCAAGTTACCAAACCCAAATTCTTCTATGTGACTCAGGTCACATCCCACGATGAATTCATTAAAAGACAAAGCATCCTGTTGGAAAATGACCTTGCCATCTGTGACAAGAAAGTCATTGTTTTCACAAGCAAAACTTTTCACATCAGCAAAGGGGATGCGAGGTAGGATGAGATGGGAAGCAGAGCCATCCAGAAATGTTGACATGAAGACTTGGGCAGTGTCATTGAAGTAAATGATTCGCTTGGCTTGTGGCTTGATTGCAAAGTCCTTTAACGTGCAACTCTCCACAATACGCACAGCTTCTGCACACCGGCCAGATGGTACAGGAAGGTCTGCTCTATAAATGCCATCTCTCAGGAGGTAAAAGACATACCTGACACAGGAACAAAAGAAACCTCATGAGATTCAGTCCAAAGGTTGATGAGTAACCTCCTCAGCTAATTGCTTCATTCTGTTGCACAATCAGAACTATGTATCTCTGATGTTGCTAAGTACAGGATTTTCCAAGGTAGAAAAAGGTAATTTCCTAAGATATACTCTATTCGTTTAAGTTACAAGTTGGAACATTAGAAAATTTCAGCCTCACTTGTAATGCTTAGTCTCTTAATTATTATAAGTGACTTTTTAAGGAATCAAAAAATTCAAAAACAGGAAGGGTCTTTTATTTTTTTGAGACAAGGTCTTACTCTGTCACCCAGGCTGGAGTTCAGTGACACAATCACAGCTCACTGCAGCCTCAACCTCCTGGGTTCAGGTGATCCTCCCACACCTCAGTATCCCATGTAGCTGGGACCACAGGCTTGCCACCGTGCTCGGCTAATTTTTGTATTTTTTGTGGAGACAGGGTATCACCGTGTTGCCCAAGCTAGTCCTGAACTCCTGGGCTCAAGTGATCTGCACACCTTGGCTTCCCAAAGTGCTGGGATTACAGGCATTAGCCACCAGCCCTGGCCAGGAAGGGTCTTTCAAAATTTTAAAGGAAAACATACTATATAGAAATCACATGGCTAAATATGGTATTTACTATCAAACATTTTCCTCCAAAAAACACACATCCTTAAGTCTAATTTTATCAGTAAATTTTCTCATGCATTCTGAGTGATAAATGGAAGAAAGTAAAACATTTAAACCATTTTTAATTGTACAGTTATCATTTTGCTATAACTAGCATGGCTACTTTGCATTTGCAGTGGACTAATTTTTTTTAATCTACAATTGATGCAGGCAATAGAGCTACCATTTTATAAACCACAAAGAAATACCCCACACATGACTGAAGCAGGAAAATCCAGCAATCAGGAGAAAGAAGCCAACGGAAGAATTAGAGAAGCACATCTAATTTAAAGTCAAACCTCACAGTAACGAGGCAGGTTATTTTAATAATGAAAAAGAAAACATACTGCCAAAATATTTCATTGACAATGAAATATGTAAATAAACTTTTAACTAAAATATAAAACCATTAATGTGGATGTAGCTAATTTACAATTCGTGATTATGGAGAAAGGTGCTAACAGAAGTATACTTTGATAAATTCTTATCCCAACCCCAAGGACTGGCAGCATTCCAACCTCTCATCAAAACTGTCAAATCATTTTCCTTGTCCTTATTTAGTTCTGCTCTAATTCCCCTTGATGACTATTCCAAATCTTGATCAATTTTCTCAAAACTCCTATGCTAGAATAATATCCTGAGATATAAGCTCCATTTTGAGATATGTAGCTATGTTCTTTTCCCTGAGGACGGATTGTAGCAGGCAAAAAGCAAAAACAGCTTGGCTCTTAATTTTCTGCTTTTGTTTCCTAAATTCAAAATTGTTAATGGAATTTGGAGGAATTTCAGAGTAGATAAAAGGAAAACTATCTGTGGTAAATATTACAATTATTATATTGAAGCAGGGAGGAAGAGAAAGAAAAATAGAAAAGGTGAAGAGATCTGGTGCATGGGAAGAGGAGGACAGAGTGAGGAGGAGAAGCTGGGGTGGAAGAAGATGGGGAAGTGGTGGTAGGAAGAAAAGCAGAGGTTTTACAGTAAGTCTGAACTCAATGAGGAGACAATTTGCAGTGCAAAAAGAACAGCATAGAGGAAAATATTTCTAATACCAGGACAATACACTGTTTCACACATCTGATGTCCTTTAGGACTACTAAACACAAACTATTGCTGAAAGTTACATGCTGATTTTTATAGAAACTCTCCTATCATGGTATAGAGAGATGGTTAGAAGACAGGCCCTGGAGCTAGAAGTCCTGGAGCAAGATTTCTTGTTCCAGGGCCTGTCTGGTTCCACTGGTTCCATCGCAAAACAGCTGTATAATCTTAGACAATTACGGAATCAACCCGTGTTTCCCTTTCCTTATCTATAAAACTAGAATAATAAAAGTACTTATTTCATAGGGTTGAATACAAATTAAATGAATTATTGGACATAATACACTTAGAAACACACATTCAGTATAAATACTAATTATCATTATCATTTCTAGTCACATTGCAAAATCTAAGCACAAATCCATTTTATCCTAATGGAAAAAAAGAGCCACTGAAGACCTCAGTGATCGCATTTGAATGATCGATTAGTGGGTAAAGTTCATTATCCTCAGAATGAGTCATTTTGTGTAAGTGTCAACAACAAAGTTACATTTCATAGGACCGTAGACCTTTACACATGAAAACAGTAAGATCCAGAGAATCCTTGTCCTACATCACAAAGCATTAAATATTCCATAATTCAGTAATTCATTCAAACCTAGAAGTTAAAATAAATCTTTAGTAAATTGTGAATGAATAGGAATAGAAAGCTTGATTTTAAAATCTATAATGAACAATCTTTTTTAAAAGAAAGTTTTGTTTGTGAAAAACATGTTATGAGCTGTATTTTTTTTTTCATTCAAAATGAAAGCAACTTTATTCCTACAGGAAAGAAAAAAGTTTAATCTTACAAACATGGGCTTTGCCTACTGGTTACTAATCTGTTATTATCTGGTCATATCTGAGAAATAATAACTCCAAAATAACTTTCTATGTGTTTATCCTTCATATTCATATATATCTGGAGTTCACAAAATACATGCACAATAAATACCTCATTTTGTCTTCAAAATAACCCAACTGGGTAAGTATTATTACCTTCCCTATATGGATTGATAAATCAATGGTCATAGACATGATATTACTTGCTTCAGGTACTACTCCAATTTAACAGCAAGACTGCGGTACAATGTGTCCATTTCATTTGGGGGTAGGAGGCAGAGTTATCAATCAGCTCCTGTCTCCTAAGGTGGAAGCTAGCAGCTTTCTTATTAAAGAACCTCTTGATAGATGTGAGAACCAAACCAGAGGAATGAACTACAGTTGAATGGCTCAGCAAAAGGAACAGGTGGAATGAAGGGGCTTTATCACAGGTAGTGTTGAGGCGGAAAGTGAGACTCAATCCCATGATAAAGAAGTGGCAAATCCAGGACTAGAACCCAACCCCTGACTCCCAGACAGGAGGTCTTTCCCATATTCCCATATTTGGCTGTGAAGGAGAGAGAAATAACTACTTTATAAGAGTTGATTTATGTTTGAAAAAACATTCCCTCCTGGCTCTACAGAATGAAAACTTTGCCTGAATTTAATTAAATTCACCTAAAGTAAGATGCATAGATAGGCTCATCTGGTACTACAATGTTTCATTAGCAAGCAAGTTTCTCAAAGATTATTTATTCCCAATGGAAGAGAATTCATCTTTACAAGGCTAACACATACCCATTGTATGAATCAGCCACAATTTTTTGAGGTGCACTAATAGAGGGTGGAGTAATTTCCTCGATGTTTGAGCAGTTCTCTAAATCACAGACACATACCTAAAAAAATAAAAAATATACCGGTAGGATTAGCATCTGTCTATACAGCATTAAATTCAGCCAACAAGTATCCCTGAGTATCTGTTCTGTTGGAATTGTACTAGGCACTGAGCACTGCCCAAGACAAATGAGCAAAAAAAAGCCCTTAAACGACAGTTTTATATCCTATATCCTAATGAATTTATACATTATTGACATCAATGCAATACAAGTGCCTATTTTCCTGGCTTGTAGAGGCATTCAACTATTTTTAACATTTAAGCGATATCTAGGTTTATGCACTTTCAACCACAGCAATGGCTGTTGCTTACTGTGATAAGCCTGTACCTTCCAAAGAAGTAGAATTTGAAACATGTCAAGACTGTGTCTTCATCAGCTCAAAATAGTCCTTATGCACCACCACCACCAACAACAACAACAAAAAATGGTCTTCCGAAAAGTACAGTACTACTGTGTTTTTGGAGAACTACTAAATTTCCCTCTGGTTATGATATAATTTTAAATGCTTGCAGCTAACTTTGATCATGACTGGCAGTCTTACCTAACAATAAGACAGGTACCACCACTATCTTATAGAAGATGAATTATTTTTAGTATAAACTCATGACTCTAAAAAAGTACAAATAAAGGTGATTTAATGCTATGTCAGGACTAGCACTAGGTAAAGGCTACACCCTCCTATAGGCCAGATCTATGATTCATTGATAACCTAGTATCTAAGGCATAGTAAATACTTGAGTATGTATTGAATAAGGCAATTGTGTTTAGTATTAAATATACCAAGATATGCATATCAGTATCACTGTCTATCACTATTCCTCTTTAACTTCTCGGACTAACCAGTTCATCCATGATGAAATACATTCTTTGATAAAGCCAATCTATGGAGATAGAAGAAATTAATCCTGAACCTCTGTAAAAAATTCTCAGGTCAGATACATCAGACATGTTGGCAGCCTTCTTCGCCCATATGAGAGTTCCTTCAGAGAAATAAACAATTTGCTGGTGGACATCAACAGATATTCCTAGAAGAGCCATGCAAGTGCACACACATTATTATATAACAACCAGGACAAAAAACTTGTATGAATGAGAATTTATTTATTTAATGATTAATAAATTAAAATAGAAGTATTTTATTTTAAAAGAAAATATTCTTCTAAATTATTCTAATATATTAGGATATTAAGAGAATATGTTCCAGAAATATTCAAAAATTTTCTTTTATTCTAGAAGTACTTCTTTTAGAATCTTCTTTTCACACTAAGGAATCATTTATCCTTATCATACTGACCTGTAATATTATGGTATATAGCATCCAACCGAAGGCAATGTGCTTCATCTACTAAATGTTTTAAAGATCTCTTTCTTAGAGAAGTTTTTCTGGATAAAAAGAGCCACTGTTCCTCTTGTTGAACTGAAAAAAACAACACAATTTGCAGACAGGTAGACCAACCACAGGTACACTAACAGACACAAAAAAGATCAGTACTACCCTTCAAAGCAAGGGGACTAGTGCTTGAAAGAGGCTGGTCAAATTTTCTCTAATGGCACTGGAGAATTGCATCTATGGTATAACTCACATTATTCTATGATTGGAGGTAGGAAGTACAGTAACAATCAAATAGGATTTATGTTCATATGCCCCTAAATAACCCAGAAATGACATCACATGATGTATCACTATTCTCAACAACCTTGCCCCAGCTCAGCTTATTATTTTCAGCCATGAGAATTGGCTCGGTGGAGGTGGTCCACCCCAGGCCAGAGTGGGTTATGCATGACACACACATATTGTCAGACACTGGTTGTCTCTGTGTTGTCTTCAGTATCTTTGCCTTTAGGGCAGAAGAAAGGTCCTTAAAGGAATGACATTGGAAGGCTGCAGAACTCTGCTTGATATCCTGTTCAAGTGGAGACTGACACAAGGTGCATGGGTGAACATTTTTAGGGTATTTAATGAATGTTATGCAATAATCACAGTAACAACAACCTTAACCCTGCTCTATATTTAACTCACCCTTTGGACGTGCTTCTTACATAACAAAAATACCTCTCCTTTCCTAGAGTCTAGGAACAGCCAAAAAAACAAAGGCTGATGATGGATGACACTCAATACCCATTGGCACAGGCATGTACAGATTAGAGTAAGGGGCAGTCAAGTCAGCAAATAGGGTTCTAGTAAAAATAGAAAACAGGCTCCCAGAATTGTGAATCTTTGGATGTTCTCAAAAATCTTTTATTAGTTTCCCCTCAAATTTCCAGTACTTCTTAGAAAGCATTTTCATTTGTTATTTTGCTCACACATATATCATACAGTAAGTATTCAGTCACTTGAGGTAATCAATAAAACACCAAAGCCAAAAAGAAAGGGTGCTTACAAAATAATAAAAGATACTTTGGCAGACTGAATACTTATATAGTAAAATGTAAATTATTAAAGTCCAGATATATTTAAAAACAAAGATACTGGAAAACAATGTCTGATATATATTAAATAATTATATATAATCTAAAATAGGGATTAGGGCAGAAAAGTTATATGTATCCCTTAAGTGTGTAAATGTGAGTCAGAAACACTAGTGATTTCAACTGAAACCAAAGATTTGAGGCCATTTTTTTAAAACCCTAAATTTTTTATTCTGATTTTCAATTCCCAAATTCTAATATCTAACCACTTACTTTAATTCATCAAATACTTAGGTTCATTTAAAATGGAAAACTTAACAAGTACCCAAAAGACAATAATCATTTGGGCAGAAGAGGTGGGTCTTGAGGTCTACCAGGTGACCCAGGGCTTCTGGCTCTGAAACCACCCTTGCCACCCTCATTCCTGTGTAGCTAAAGGAAGAAGCCTGACCCATACCTGCTGAAGATGAAGTGGTAATACTAGATTCTGCTTCTGGACCCTCACCAACTTCATTTACTGCTGCAATAGAAAACCTATTCCAAAAACAATTTGGAGAGACGTGTTTCACATGGCATGGTGTGAACATGAGATAAAAATAGAAGGAGCAATAACATTTCTATTTAAAGGGTGATGTGGCAATGCATGAGTCTAGTTACGTGGTGCCACTGCTCAGCACCGAAATGACCATCAATCACATCCTTGTTTGCATTCCCCTAGAACAGTTCAGGGTCATAGAGGTCAAAAGCTGAACTCTGCTATCTGCATGACCCCCATTCTTCTCCGAATTTAAAGAGGCTCTAGTAAATGATAGAAAAGCTAACAATAATAAAATAATTACCCTAATGGTTAATAAAAATGCCTAAACAGAACTCTACCTCCTTACTTTTTTCATATTGGATTAAATGAAAATTTGACATTCATGGTGTTTACGATGTCTTTATTAGCCATATTTATAAGTATCCTCTGAATATAATAGAAATACTTGAGAATGTTTTTGCTTAGGATGCTATAATCTAATAGGCATATAAGCCTGAGGAAAACCACAATGACTTCAACCCAACACCATGGAGTCAGTGGCGCTTCTCAAAGCACATTTAAACTATTTGATACCCATATTTCTTAAATAATTATCATGCCTGCAGCCATGCTGGTTACATTTTCCTCTGTATCACTTAATTCTTACCTGTAGATAGTATTTGGTAAAGTGGAGTAAAACTGGAAACTGGTTCTCTGTGTCCCTGCATCTAATTTTTGATTTTTGCTGATCAGCCTTAAGTTATAACCCAAAATAGGTCCACCTGGGAATTGAGGTGGATCCCAGCTGACTTCCACAGTGTCGGGACTTGAGCTCTCAATATTCCTAATCAAAGGTGCAGTTTCAGGAACTGGAAGAGATAATGGTGACATAATGAGCAGAAAAATGTGCAAGCATGATGTTTTTAAAATAAGATGGAAAAAAGTCTTGTTTTTTTTTTTGAAAACTTAATGGAAACGAAATAATTTTATTAATACTCAAAATATGTGATAGAGGAAAGGTGGTAAGATGTCTAAACCAGTTCGCTCCTTTCCCAAGAGGCCCTTTCAAATGTTACTTTCCTCACTTCTAATTAATGAAATAAAATTAAATATAGTGTATACGAATACAATAATGGCCCTTTTAAAAAAAGTCATCAGGAATCTCTAGAGACTTAAATGAGTTGAAACATGGGATGGAACCAGTTTAGGAAGAAGAGGAGAGTCTGACTAAAACTGGAGTCAATGATCGACGAGTTTAAAAAAAAGTCCATCCTGGGGCCTTTTCACTCATTTGAGTGGGGCAGCCTTGCTGGTTCCAGCTGGAGATGTGGGTTCAGACAAGCTGGAATTCGAACAGTTGGCTTCACTTTTGTTGGCATCAGCTCTAATGACCCAGACTACATTTTCCTTACCCCAGCTCTCAGGTCCTGGAAATCCAGGCTGACTGAGCTTCAGCACCCCTGCCCTGGCAAAGGATTAAAGGAGCATGTATGAAACAACTGAGCGTTCACACACAGTCCCCAGCAGCTACTTAAGTGGAAAAAGAAAGGACAACAAATGATCTGACAGCCTAGCTTCCATCTGTGTCTCCACCTGCTTTTCAAACCAAACCCCTAAAACCAGACTCTTTCTCTCCTCTTTCCATAGAAAGACACAATTAGAAGTTACTTTGCTCTTGAGTAGATTTCTCTCCCTCTGAACACTTTTGGCAAATGCTCTGCATCACCACTGACTTTTAAAAGCCCTTTTAATTGCTCTCTCAGCCTTTCTCTGATGCAATTCATCTCTAACTCTCAGACTAATTTTCAGCAAACACAAGCATCATTGCATCACTCCTCGGCTCCATGTAGTCAGTCACCATGATAAACAGGGAAGAAATAAATTTCTCCCACTGAATTATAATATAATTAGAATGTCAAAATTTTAAGTCATTAGGGTCAATGCCCAAATGTGATCTTCCACCATTGAAGCAAGTTAAATGTCACCTACATGGCAAGATGCGATCATTGTCCAGGTCTTCCCCACCGAAAAAAAAACAACAACACAAAAATCATCCCTGAAATGCTGGTATCCCTTGTCTGACAATCATTCCTTTGTTAAGAAATTATTTTCTGAAAAGACCCAGTTAAAAGGCAATAGCACCATTTAGGCCGGGTGCAGTGGTTTACACCTGTAATCCTAGCACTTTGGAAGGCCAAACGTGGACCAATCGCTTGAGGCCAGGAGTTCGAGATCAGCCTGGCCTACATGGCAAAAACCCATCTCTACTAAAATTACAAAAATTAGCCAGGCATGGTGGCGCATGCCTGTAATCCCAGCTACCTGGGAGGCTGAGGCACAAGAATCACTTGAACCCAGGAGGCAGAAGTTGCAGTGAGCCGAAATTGTGCCACTGCACTGCAACCTGGGTGACAGAGTGAGACCTTGTCTCAAAAAAAAAAAAAAAAAAACTCGCGGTGACTCATGCTTGTAATCCCAGCACTTTAGGAGGCCGAGGCGGGCGGATCACGAGGTCAGGAGATTGAGACCATCCTGGCTAACATGGTGAAACCCCATCTCTACTAAAACTACAAAAAGTAACCAGGCATGGTGGCATGCACCTGTAGTCCCAGCTACTCAGGAGGCTGAGGCAGGAGAATCGATTGAACCCAGGAGGTGGAGGTTGCAGTGAGCTGAGATCGTGCTACTGTACTCCAGCCTGGGCAACAGCGAGACTCTGTCTTAAAAAAAAAAAAAAAGGCAATAGCACCATCTAAAATCATGTCATTCCCACAGCTAAAAGAGAATAGGGTTATGAGGCAATTAACACAATACAGATAAGTTTCTAAGTTTTGATGTAGCTAGAAAAGTGAGAATCAGAAACATGAGATGCTATCCATAAGAAGGACACCCATGTAGGGTCTAGAAGACACAGAGGGTATGTGAGCTTGCTTATCCAGGAGAAAGGCCCAGAAATGAACAGCAAAATTTGTTTTCATTATTTTGATTTGCCCAGCCAATGTCCCTGCACGGTATTTCTGTAGCACCGGAAAATGTCCCAGCACTGTTGGATAACATATGGCATTGCTTGGAACAAGGAAGAATTCATTCTCCTCTGATCTGGAAAATTTCGAACATGGTCCTAGGCCAGTGTTTGGTCTGAGGCGCTAAGCAAGAATAGTCAGAATAATCAGCAGAGGTGGCCACACAAACCCTGAGATCTGACAAGCAAGGAGAGAGCAACCATCAGGGAAGGGGGAAAATGCCCCAACCCACTTCATCAGCTGCTCGGCTCTGCTTAGGTCCAAGGCCTAGTTCAGCCTGAGGCTCTCTGCACATAGGCACATCTCCAGAGCTGAGGGTTAGGGCATCCAGCCTGGAGCATGTCTTCCTGGGTTGCCTCAGCTAACTCTGAGGGTGAGGGCACCAGACAACTCTCCCTCGGTGTCTGCCCCAGCATTCGCCTTCCTCTAAGGCTTCTAGGCTTGAATGCTTTTCCTGGTGTGGAAGTCACATCTTCAAAATAATAAGTCAGAGAATACCCCAATATATGTTCTGTTTTTAAAAAGCTGTTTTGATAAAATCTTAAAATAATATAGTAACCTCCCAGCTGGTCTCTACCTCTGTACTTTCAAATCTCACTCATTCTCTCAATCTATTCTATGTGCAGTTGCCAAAATTCTCTTTTTGAGAAGCAAGTGAAGCAATTACTATTGTGCTTTAAAACCTTCCATAGCTCCTAACTGCATTCTAAATAAAGTACAAACTCCTTACCCAGGACATTTAAGATTCTTGGTAATCTGGACCTAGTCTGCCTTCCCAGTGTTATTCTCACTATTTTTCTTCCTGTATTCTATGCTTCCAGCAGATGGCATACTGACTAATTTCCCTCCATGCCTTAGAATCCAATCTTGGTGACCCTGGTCACATAGACACCTGGACCTGCCCTTTTCTCTCCTCACCTCATGTCTAACTCAACAAATGAGACTTCCTCCAAAGAGATTTATTTGATATTTCATTTCAGAAATAAATACTTCCCTCCTCTAAACTTCCATGGGAATTTGTCAGTACGTTTTCTATGTGTTTAATAAAGCTTTACCTTACTATGAGGTTAGTTAGGCATGTGCTTTATCTCTTCTACAAGGGAGTAAGCTTCTTAAAGTATCCATGCATCTATAGATATCCCATGAATATATTTTGAACAAGAGAACAATAACATTTATTTAGAGCTAGAATTGCTCTAAGGATATATTAGTATTCAGAGGACAGCAGCTCAGATAAAGTTATATTCTGATAGGGCAACATTCTGTATAAAGGGTGGGAAAATGAGGAAGCAGGAATCTAGCAGATAAGAAGCTTTTTGTTGCTTTCCAGAGATAATGTCACTGTTTCATACTCAATCACCTTCATTTATGAAACACTTTTATCACTTGGCTTTGAGACACCACAAGCTCCTGAGTCTCTCCTTCTCCATGTCCTTTGCTGTCCCTCTTCTTCTTCCCAGCCACCAAATATTAAGGGCCCTTGGGCTGACACCTTGACCTTCTCCTTTTTTCAACCACATTCACTTTCAGCATATTGCCTCCAGGCCCATGGCTTGAATCACATCTCCGTGGTGATAACTCCTAAATTGGTAGTTTGGATACCTTCGACTTACCTCCTCAGTTCCAAATCCTTCCATTTAATTGCTTCCTCAGCAACTCCACTTGGATATCTAACAGACATCTCAAATTTTGCTTGGCCAAAACAGAACTGACGATTTTATCTAGGAAAGCCACTCCTCCTTTACCCTTGTCCCTGTCTCAGTAAATGATGACATTCAGGTGTTCAGACTGAAAGTCTAAGTTAGCAACTTTGATTTTCCCATCTTCCTTGCCAAATCCATTCAGCCACCCCAACAGCTCAATCTTCAAAATATATGACAAACCTTTCCCTGTTTTCCCATCACCATCCTTGTCAGAGCCATCACCAAATCAAGCCTGACTTGCTTGGCCTCCTAACAGCTCCCCAGCTTCCCTGGCCCTCCTTCCACCCTCCCAGTCTATTCTCCATGCATCAGCCATACTGAAAGTTTTAAAATTTGAACAAGTCCCTCCCCTCCTTAGAACACTCCAAAGACATTCTGTCCCACTTAGAATAAAATCTGTACTCCTTATCAGGGTCAGTATGGCCCTGTGCGACCAAGTCTCTGGCTATGTGTCACATCGCACTTCCTACTTTAAAATCTATCATCATACAATTTGGCCCTTATCAGAAATAATATTGACATTCCTGCAGCCATCTTCTGGCCGTTTTTGTTTTATCTTTTATTGGTTCAGAATTCAGACTAAGAAGAAGGATGCTATTCATTGGGTCTTCCCATAACCCAGAAAATACTTTTACTTAATTACTTATCGGACTGTCTTCCCTAGCTGGAATGCAAGCTCCATAAGGGTTAGGATTTTATCATCTTTAGTTCCTAGAACAATGTCTGGTATATAATAGTCCTTGATAAATACTTGAATGAATGAAAAAAGTGCGCAATCTTCCTTTCAATTATATTAAAAATATAATACAAAAAATAACAAACTTTTCAGTAAAAAAAAAAAAAAAAAAAAACAGGAGGTGAATTTTGTTACTGATGTTATTTTTCCACAGCCAAAGAAGTTTATAACCTAGGCAATAAAAAGACTAAAATTACATCAAGAAATAAAAATAGAATCCAAACATATCTATACCACACCACTACCACCCCTGGGCCTCTCACCTGGGTCACCACATGGCTTCCTACCAGTTCTTCCTGCTTCCTCCCACACCCCAGAGTTCATTCTCCATACAGCAGCCAGTTTTCCTTTTAATGTATAAGGCAGTTCGCATCAGATCGTGTCACTCCTCTCCTCAAAACCTTACAGTGACTCTCCTTCCAGAATAAAAGCCACATTCCTTACCAAGATCCCTGAGGTAGACTGGGTCTGGCCCCCATCTCTCTGACCTTAGCTGTTACTCCTCTGCCTCCTGCACTCTTGTTCAGCCACGTGGGCCTTCTAGTTGCTCCTTGATCAGGCCACAGATGTTCTTGCCTTAGGTCTTCCACACGGACCATCCCTCTGCCTGAAACTCTCTATGTGAGATAGCTGCCTGGTTGACTTCCTTGCCTCCTTTAAGTCTTTGCTCAAACTTTACCCCACCAGCTCACCAAGGCTCATTCTGGCCACCTTATTTCATACTGCCACTGGCCTCTCCTTCCCTCTTCACTCTTCATTTCCAATCCTCTAAATGACAAACCCTGCTCAAAATATTCCTCTTACTATAGCACACAGCACCATCCCACTTACAATATACTTTATTTATTTCTTATGTTTATTGCAGAATATTTCTGTTCCAACAACATGTGAGCTCCAGCTGGGCGAGGTGGCTCACGCCTATAATCCCAGCACTTTGGGAGGCCAAGGCGGGCAGATCACTTGAGGTCAGGAATACAAGACCAGCCTGGCCAGCATGGTGAAACCCCATCTCCACTAAAAATACAAAAAATTAGCCAGGCATGGTAGTGCATGCCTGAGTCCCAGCTGCTTGGAAGGCTGAGGCAGGGGAATCACTTGAACCCAGGAGGTGGAGGTTGCAGTGAGCCAAGATCACACCACTGCATTCCAGCCTGGGCAACAGAGCAAGACTCTGTCTCCAAAAAAAAAAAAAAAAAGAAAAGAAAAGAAAAAAGAAAGTGAGCTCCACAGGAGCAGGGGTCATTGTCTCTTTTGATCATAAAGGTATTGTGAGTACCTAGAATACTACCTGGCACATAGTTATGTACCCAGTTGTTGAATGGATCGATTAATAGGAAGGAATAGATTTATTTCATTGTTTAAAATAAAAACAAACTAAATCAAAGCTTTGGAATAATGTCCTTTCATAAGAAATGTGTGCACACCATACCTCCATGAGGATGAGTCCTGTAACTGGGACTTGGAGGGGAGTAGAGCTGCAGCTGCGCTGTGAAGATCCAAACCACTCGGAAAATGTACTCAGTGAAGGGGTGCAGGGGCTTGACCACATAGGACGGTCTGGACACAGTCTAGATCAAGGAGTGATCAATCATCAGCATTATAGAATCAGCACCCCACATTGGGACTAAAAAGCATAGATTAATTTGTAGAAGATGGATGGCTCAACAGAGAAGATGAAATAAGAGGCCTGGAGCTTAGAGCTAAGCCATTCAGATATCAGCGTGCAGAATTCACTCAGAAATTCTCCCCTTCAAAATAGCAAAATTATGGATTCAATTATTTGGCATTTACCTCAAGGACTTGAATTTTTCTATGTTAGTACACATAGTATCTTGGGACTATTTTTTTTTTTTCTAAACTTTCTCATGCTTCCCTAAAAGACACAGTCCTGGATGACCACCATAGACCGTACTTCTGAATTGCTACAACCCCCATGAGAATCTTTCTTCTGCCCTCCATCCTAGCTAGACTCATCTTAGCTGTGATGGGCAGATAATGACTAATGAGGTGAATGGTTACGTGATGCTGTACTGAAGGAATAGTATATATGTCCAACATTATATTTTCCTTATAAAATAAATATTTTCCCTATAAAATAAGCCTTAATGTTAAGGCTTAGCATTAGCATGTTACAGAGCAGCTGAGATTAAAGTTCATCTGAACCCAACTACCCATCTTACAGCTGAATCTTTTCTAGAAGGCCTTTACGCTTATAAGTAATAATTTGGCACTTTTAAAAATTGGGGGCAGGGCGAGGTGGCTCATGCCTGTAATCCCAGCACTTTGGGAGGCCGAGGCGGGCGGATCACGAGGTCAGGAGATGAGACCATCCTGGCTAACACGGTGAAACCGTGTCTCTACTGAAAATACAAAAAATTAGCCGGGCGCGATGGCGGGCGCCTGTGGGCGGCTGAGGCAGGAGAATGGTGTGAACCCAAGAGGCGGAGCTTGCAGTAAGCTGAGATCGCGCCACTGCACTCCAGCCTGGGCGACAGAGCGAGACTCCGTCTCAAAAAAAAAAAAAAATTGGGAAGGGGTCTGGGTTGAGGTACAAAGGCAGCCTTTCATACCTTAGTATAAGTCCAGCTTCCCAGAAGTTGTGCATATTTCCACTGAATGATGTATTTTACTCCAGAGAAGTTTGCAGATTTCCATCGTAATGTCATATTGTGGCTTCCAATGGAAGAAGCAAAGGGAGCAGTTGGTAGGTCTGCATTTTCTGGGGAAAAAACAAGATTTCACTCACCACGCACTCCTGTCCATCAGCGCAAGAGAGTGTGTGCCTCTCTCATCTAGGGCTCTCCGTATTCTCTTGCTAAAACTGCATCTTGCCACAATAACTCACTTGAATAATCAATGGTATGCATATTCAGTTTATTTTAAAAAATCAATCAGTCAGTCTGTCAGTCTTTTTTCCACAGAATTTATTGTTATCTTTGAACACAGTATTTTTTTGTTCAGGTTTTGCTTTTACAGGCAGATGACACAGAGGGTTCTGAGCTGTCCAGTTTTCTCTTTCAATACCACTCTCTTACAGGCGGGGGGAGCCAATGCTCAGAGCATGTCTGTGGCACAACAGAACCATCCATTATCCTGGGATGTGTACCCCAATATATTTCTGAAATTTTATACTCTAATTCTACTATTGCTGTGCATCTTAACAAGAAATTATTTTTTATATGTACAGAGCAATTGCCTTTACTCCAAAGGACACTATGATTGGCTGTTTCACATTATAAAATATTTCAGGACATCTAAACATTAGACGTATTACAATTGGCAGCAATTTCTCAGGTGCTGCTTGCCAGGCATGGTACTAAGGGCTAGATTTCTGAATGGTATGTCACTGGGATGAAATGATTTTACTCTACTTTTTATATTTTTCCAAAATTGTGATGAATTTAATGCTTCTGCTTTCTTTTATAGAAACAAAATCAGCACTCTGGTTGAGAAAGCATGGTAAATTTGGTAGGGAGCTTAAAATGGTTAATTACAAACTCCTGGGACCTTACTCTGGTTAAGAGAAAATTGACGCAATTCTCATCATTACCAACACCAGACACGGACCAAATAAAGTCTATACTCTGTAATCCAGAAAAATCAAGGCCATTGTCATCCGAGGACCTAGCCCACAAAGAGGCCTAGCACAACCCTTCTCTGCTTATTCTTCTTTTTATAGTCCATTTTTGACTATTATAACTGAATAAGCAAAGCACAGCTCCATTTTCCTTCCCTTTCTTGTTGTGAGACTCTCAATAGCAGGAATTAGGTATGCTGTGGACACCTTGAAGGGGAGTCCAATGATGGAGTTGTCAGCAGAGTGAGGAAAAATAACCAGGAGGCATCAGAAATGACAAAAGTTGAGAACTGGGCAGATGTGATCAGTTATATAAGTACAAGTAAATGTAAATATCATAGCTAAACATAGACATATTTCAAAGCCATGGTGATACATATGAAAAAAAAAAGGTAAAGTAGGTTTATGCTAAAATATCAAGGCAAAGAGAGAGCCAAATGAAAAAGGGAAGCTAGACTGAGCTCCATCCTATTTTCAGTACATGGCACAGTGGGTAAGAAAAGGCTCTGTTACCAGGCAGCTGGGTTATACTTTCAGAGATATCCCTTACCAGCTATGTGGCCTCAAGCAAGTATGTAAACTTTGTGCCTCAATTTTCTCACCTGTAAAATGAGGTTAATAATAGTATGTATAACTCTGAGGACAAAAGGAGCTAATACATATTAATTAATGAGAAAAGTGGTCAACTCATAAATGCCTAATAAAAAATAGCTATTTTTGGCCAGGCATGGTGGCTCATGCCTAGCTACTC
This sequence comes from Homo sapiens, assembly GCF_000001405.40. Classification (NCBI taxonomy): domain Eukaryota; kingdom Metazoa; phylum Chordata; class Mammalia; order Primates; family Hominidae; genus Homo; species Homo sapiens. The sequence continues at coordinate 117,406,038 of NC_000006.12, forward strand.
AGGAGGCTGAGGCAGGAGGACTGCTTGAACTCAGGCGTTTGAGGTTACAGTGAGCTGTGATTGTGCCCCTGTACTCCAGCCTGGGTGACAGAATGAGACTCTGTCTCTCTCTCTCTCTCTCTCATATATATATATACACACACACATATACATGCATACATATTTTGTATATGCAAATATATATGTTTATTTATTTATTTATTATGTTATTAGCTATTTATTTAATATGTTATTAGCTATTACCATTTTCCATCATGTGAAAAGAGATATGGGAGGTATCTAAAGTGAACATAGCATACTCACCGATAAATGACCTAGAAATCAGATGTGTTAAAGACAAATAAGGTCTTAGGATCATGGATGAAAGGATTCATTATAACAGACTATAGATATGGTCTTTAAGTACAAATGTCTTTATTTAGACTTGGTACATCTCATTTGTTAGTGGTACATAGACATTGATCCATAGCCAATGAGAAAATAAAAATAAAGCATTGATTACACTTGTATTCTAACAGAATTGTATAATTAAGTTGGTAATATAATTTTAGAATATAATAAAGGAATGTAAATAAAAGATTCCACACTTCCTCAGTTCTGGTGTCCTTAGTTTCTCAGAAATTTTTTTATGGTTCCCTGAACCAAAAGAATTCTCTAACAGTTCGACTTTTTAAGTAGTATCACTTAATAAGTATGTGTTAATAGTCAATTTGGTATCTAATAATTTGGTAGATATTTGAAACAAATACGAAATTGAAAGATAAAACTGTATATTTATTTCATCTTTAAATAAAAATAATTGCATGCTAATGGGGCCTGTGTACCTGTTGGGCACTGCACAACTCCTCCAATCTTATGATCAGATTGGGTATCACCATCCAACAGATTTCACATATCTCTGTGTTTACCTTGAGTGTCTAAAATACTCCATGGCTCCTCATGAGATTGCTGTAATGGCCTGGAGCACATCAGTGCACAGCTTGGACCCCCATAAAATATACATTTTATCCACAGCTAATTCCCGTGACACAGAAAAAAAAAAATGTAATATCACTACCTCTCCACAGAAACGTCTAGGGTGTCTTTTGTGGGACACTAAAGGGCAGAAGCAAATCAGAACAGCAAGATAAGTTTCCCCTTCCAATTTCCATCAGCCACTGAGAGCAAGGAACAAGCCACTGAGTCAAGAACTACAACATATGGAAGAGCCAAGCATCCTTCAGACTTAAGGGAACTGTCTACAGCTCGGTGGGAGGATGCCCTAGGGAATTCTGGAAATGATATCTGCTGACATCCAAGCCATGACTTATCAAAGCGCTGGCCTGTTAGAAACTACTAGAGAGTTAACACACTAAGGCAAAGCTACTTTGACATGCCCAACCTATGCTGAAATCAGGCAGAGGGAGCTGATAAACACCCAAGCCCCCTACTTGCTCAAAATCTAACACTGAGAAGCATACCTTCTGTACCTTTTACAAATTTCTAGAGCCTTTTGGGGAGTCATACACACAGTACGCACTCTATAGGATAACTTTTAGCTGAATAATGAAAGGTGCATTCAATACAATATGCCTATACTTTCCAGTCATTAAAACATACTGCCCAAAGTAATTTACAGATTCAATGCCATCCCCATCAAGCTACCAATGACTTTCTTCACAGAATTAGAAAAACTACTTTAAAGTTCACATGGAACCAAAAAAATGCCCACATTGCCAAGTCAATCCTAAGCCAAAAGAACAAAGCTGGAGGCATCACGCTACCTGACTTCACATTATACTACAATGCTACAGTAACCAAAACAGCATGGTACTGGTACCAAAACAGAAATATAGACCAATGAAGAGAACAGAGCCCTCAGAAATAATGCCACATATCTACAACTACCTGATCTTTGACAAACCTACAAAAACAAGAAATGGGGAAAGGATTCCCTATTTAATAAATGGTGCTGGGAATACTGGCTAGCCATATGTAGAAAGCTGAAACTGGATCCCTTCCTTACACCTTATACAAAAATTAATTCAAGATGGATTAAAGACTTAAACATTAGACCTAAAACCATAAAAACCCTAGAAGAAAACCTAGGCAATACCATTCAGGACATAGGCATGGGCAAGGACTTCATGTCTAAAACTCCAAAAGCAATGGCAACAAAAGCCAAAATTGACAAATGGGATCTAATTAAACTAAAGAGCTTCTGCACAGCAAAAGAAACTACCATCAGACTGAACAGGCAACCTACAGAATGGGAGAAAATTTTTGCAATCTACTTATCTGACAAAGGGCTAATATCCAGAATCTACAACGAACTCAAACAAATTTACAAGAAAAAAACAAACAACCCCATCAAAAAGTGGGCGAAGGATACGAACAGGCACTTCTCCAAAGAAGACATTTATGCAGCCAAAAAACACATGAAAAAATGCTCATCATCACTGGCCATCAGAGAAATGCAAATCAAAACCACAATGAGATACCATCTCACACCAGTTAGAACGGCGTTCATTAAAAAGTCAGGACACAACAGGTGCTGGAGAGGATGTGGAGAAATAGGAACACTTTTACACTGTTGGTGGGAGTGTAAACTAGTTCAACCATTGTGGAAGTCAGTGTGGCGATTCCTTAGGGATCTAGAACTAGAAATATCATTTGACCCAGCCATCCCATTACTGGGTATATACCCAAAGGATTATAAATCATGCTGCTATAAAGACACATGCACACGTATGTTTATTGCAGCACTATTCACAACAGCAAAGACTTGGAACCAACCCAAATGTCCAACAATGATAGACTGGATTAAGAAAACGTGGCACACATACACCATGGAATACTGTGCAGCCATAAAAAATGATGAGTTCCTGTCCTTTGTAGGGACATGGATGAAGCTGGAAACCATCATTCTCAGCAAACTATCGCGAGGACAAAAAACCAAACACTGCATGTTCTCACTCATAGGTGGTAATTGAACAATGAGAACACATGGACACAGGAAGGGGAACATTACACACCAGGGCCTGTTGTGGGGTGGGGGGAGGGTGGAGGGATAGCATTAGGAGATACACCTAATGTTAAATGATGAGTTAATGGGTGCAGCACACCAACATGGCACATGTATACATATGTAACAAACCTGCACGTTGGGCACATGTACCCTAAAACTTAAAGTATAATAAAATAAATAAATAAATAAAAAAGAGAGAAAAAAAACTGGCATTCTCTGACATCAAGTCTGCTCAGGATGTACATTTGTCTGTCATTAAGAGAGAAGTGAGTGTACCTACTGAACTTGAGGACAAAATCTGGTCCTAAACATTAGTCATGTACTGTTTACTCTGTTTTGTTCTGAAAGAAGAATCTTGCTGAATTTTATCAGAATGGCCTATACGTTTGAAATTATTGAATTCTCTAAATAGATATTTTTGATCATATTGAGATGCAGAAATCAAGATGTTTTGAGAGGTGTTTCGTTATCTTTACATAAGTACAAGTCACTAGAGTGGTGCAGCCTATTTTTTAAAAGTCGTGTGTGTCCTCTTACCCAGTACTTCCTCTTCATATGCACCTTCCGCGCTGCTACAGCCAACCTCACACGACTCCCGCTGTGGAAGACAGGGAGCATGACAGTCAGGGCAGCCTTGATACTGGTTTTGCTGATAAGCTTCAACTAAATTTTAAAATCCGAATGCCTAATATGCAAGTATATCTTTGACCAATATACGAGTAAATCTTTGAAATCGGAGTGCCTAATACGCAAGTACATCTTTATGTCAACTATTTCCCCTGCAGTAAAATTCCCACTTGCTAGACTGGCATTTCCCAAACTTTTGACCATGCTCCATAGCAAAAAATAATTTAACAAAACAACTTAGTACACACATACATGTTGAAAAAAAGATTCCTGAAATGATCCTTACTTTTCCCTCCATTTTTAGAAGTTTTATTGAAATATATTCACCTGCCATAAACTCACGTATTTAAAGTACACAGTTCAGTGCTGTTAGAATATTCAGAGTTGTGCAATAATCACCACAATCTAATTTTAGAACATTTTCGTTGTCCCCAAAAGAAACCCCTTGTCTCTGATGTGCTCTTATATGTACAATGATATTCTATTCTATTGTTTCATTTTGTTTAATGTGACTCTTGGTTGGCTGAATTGATTTGACGACCCTCTAATGTGTCACATCGTATGGTTTGAAAAAACACTGAGCTTAGCAGTACAATTATCTGCTTGCCATTTTGGTCAATGTTTTAATGAGCTTAAAATCTAAAACTTTAGAGTAAAATGATGCTTAGGGATTACCTATTTATTTTATATATCCCGGTCTTCCTTGGAAAATTAAAAGTGGACTATAAATTTGTAGAGTAGCTGAATATTTCAATGAATATCTTTATACCAATGCTGAGTTTTAAAATCTATGAAAACTTAATGATATTTACATTTTATCTCATTAATGAAAAACACAGTACATAATTTGATGACTGAAACACAAATTTCCTGCAACTCTTAACAGATGCATTAACATCAGCTACAAAACACACACACACATACTTGCAGAAAAGGCGCATATTGTAAAACTACAACACAATCATGATCAATCTTCCTGCTGTCTTTCAACTTGTAACTATAATACCTAGGACAACATGCTATTGTTTCTCATGGTAATAGCGGAAAGCAGGCACAATACATTTGCCCTAAAAAGAAGAGCTATAACTTGCAAACATGAACAGTTCAATGATTGATCTGCATACTAAAAGGAAGGGTGCCTGATAAGCCCAGGTTTGCTTAGGTAAGGATTAATTTAAATACCTCAGTTTGGGTTTGGAATTATTTAATTTCAAGATTTAGTATACGTTTCGCATCCTGTTTACATATTTTAGTGAAGCCTTCAACATATTTATGAACTGCAGAGAATAAACAAACCAATTCACAGCAAAATTATTATATAACATGAGGGGTTTTTTTCCAAAAAAGAAAACTGAGGAGAAGAGACGAGATGTATTTGGAAATACAGATTATTTTGAAATATAGGTAGTCTTGACAATCAGGAGAAATTGTGGTCCTGTTTTTTCTGATATTTTCAGGGGAAATCGATAATAAAATTCCCATCCTTCTGGGAGTTTAAAAGTTATCTCAAGTGGAGGCAAAGCTAACAACTACGTTTCCTTCTCTCAATCTCTCTCTCTCTCTCTCTCTCTTTCTCTCTCTCCCTCCCTCCCTCCCACTCTCTCCATCCCCCCACTCCTTTCACCTCCCTTCACCCCGCCCTGAACCATGGTGGCAATTCAACATTGGACTTCAAATAAAGTTATCCAGTGTTTCTCAAGCTTGAGTTGCCTAGAGAGAATCTAAAGATGGTTGGATTTAAGGAATTTACAGAATCTGAGCCTGAAGCCTCTGGATGGGACATTCATGTGGAATATTCCACGTTACTGAGCTGCCATTCCCACAGTGGAGGCCAAGTATACTCTTCCAGGGGCTACATCAGCTTGCTCTCTCCGTTCCCCCACATTCCCATCTTCCTCATCGTAGTCAGTCCATCTTTATTGTCCCTCTGGCTCCACCCTTGGTTTCCCAGACTGGCACACAGGCTGCCAGTGCCCTTTCCAGCTTCTGTAACACTAGGAAGCCTCGCCCACTGCCCTCCATATGAACTGAGGCATTGTTCCCTTAAAAATTATTCATTCATTCATTCAAGAATATTTGAACAATTGGCTTTTTTCATGCCAAGCATGGTTTTGGGATCTAAGAATATGACAGTAAGCAAGAAAGTTAAACTCCCTGCCTTACAGGACTTCCCTTAGAAGGAGGTAGATAATAACTGAGTGACAAATTTTTAAAAAGAAAAAATAATTCTGATAATGAAAATTGCTAGGACGAAAATAAGTCAAAGGCACAGGTATAACTAGGCAGAGAAGGAGACTTTATTAGGGTGATCCAAGCCAAGACTTCAGTCATTAGGAGGAGCTGGGCTTGCAGAGATTTGGGCAAAAGCAGAAGCAACAGCACGATGAAAACTTTGAGGCAGGAATGTGTCTTCTATGTCAAGAAAGAGGGAAAGGTCAGTGTGGCCAGCACAGAGACCAAGGGGAGAGTATGAGATGAAGTCAAGACAGGCAGGCAGTGGAGCTGGTAGACCTTTGTATTTTGTAATTTTTTCCAAAGAGCAGTAAAAAGCCATTGAAATGTTTCAGGTACAATAAGATCAATTGGCTATAATAAGATCTATTTTGACTATTTTATACTACATATATAAATATATATGTATATATATTCTTTTGTTTCATTCTATATATAGCTATATAGCCAAAGGCCAAGATGCAATGATAAGATCTAATTTGTGTTTTAATTATCAGGGACAAGCCATCTCACTAGCCATCGTCATTTTCCAAGTTCTATTTCACTGAGCTATCACTTTCAAGATTATTCTTTCCAAGAAATAAGAATTGCAAAAATGACAAGCTTCCTACGTTCAAACATCAATGAGTAAGGAGTTTGATTTCCTAAAGGTGTGGATAACTGAGGTGATAGATAGATAGATAGGTACATAGATAGATAGACAGATAGATAGATAGATAGATAGATAGATATACACATAGCATGTATTCCTGTTCAGTTCTACTTTATTTAAAGTGAAACATTTTAAAGTGTAAAATAGCAAAGTATAAAGAGAAAGAATAGTTATACAAGTTATAACACTGAGAGGAAAGATTTACACTATATAATCACAGAAAACTGAGCAGCATAATGATTAACAAAGAATTAGCACATTACAGATCTAATCCTGGGCTGCTTCGATGCTTTAAAGGCTCTCTCTCCCTGATTTTCCTGACACTGGTACATTTATCCTAGGGACTATTCTTTGGGGGTAATTTTGCTTTCATCACATAAAAGGATTTGCAGGCAATTTTTTTTTCTATCTCAATGAGGAGAGACCTTTGTCTCTTTACATATGGGTGACTTTTCTCCTCTGTTTTCTGTCTCTCTTCTTAGCCAACCCTCACCTCCACCCATTCCCAAGAAAAATTGCTCAGATGCAATTTTTATAACCAACCAGTAACAACTGAGAAAACATGCCAATTTAATTTTTTGTTTGTATTTTTGCTCTCTATTAAGAGGGAATTTTTTCTGTTTTACTAATGAAGGATAATTTATACTGCTTCCCCAGGCTTCTGGTTACCAGTTTCAAGGATATTTAAAAAAGAATACAACATAGGTTTTAAAGTTTTTTTTCTTTAGGGGACAGTCGTGCTATGTTTCCCAGGATGCTCTCAAACTCCTGACCTCCAGCAATCCTCCTACTTGAACCTCCGAAGTAGCTGGGATTACAGGTGCACACCACCATACCCAGCCAACATAGGTTTTAAACTGATAAATAATGTAGCTTCTTCATATCATCTATTGTCAAATAACCTTATTTTGAAGGGATGAAATACAGGACAGGTAAGTTCAGCTGAAGACTAAGTAGGAAACATCAAAACGTCAAGGTCTCTTTGAAAGAGAGAAAATCAAGTGTAGCAGAGGTTGCTTAGAGCACCGTAAGGACACCTGGGCAGGGCAGTGTGAGACATTACTTACCATTGGGAGAAGGGGTGGGTAGAAGCTGTCTTGCAAAATGTTGGCAAAGGATTTTGTTGCACAAGAAAGAAAATTACGGCCAGGCTTGGTGGCTCATGCCTGTAATCCCAGCACTTCGGGAGGCTGAGGTGGGTGGATCACTTGAAATCAGGAGTTCGAGATCAGCCTGGCCAACATGGCAAAACCCCATCTCTACTAAAAATACAAAGTTAGCCAGGCATGGTGGCACATGCCTGTAGCCCCAGCTACTCAGAAAGTTGAGGCAGGAGAATCACTTAAACCTGGGAGGCAGAGGTTGCAGTCAGCCGAGATTGCACCACTGCACTCCACCCTGGGTGACAGAGTGAGACTGTGAGAAGAAAGAAAGAAAAGAAAGAGAGAGAAAGAGAGGGAGAAAGAGAGGAAGAAAGCAAGAAAGTAAGCAAGCAAGCAAGCAAGAAAGAAAGTTGCAATTAAAGGATTCTCTTTTAATGTCCTATATTTAATGATAGAGCACTATACATTGTGGGGAAGAAAATGGAATCAGCAGAGATATCTCTGAATGTGCCTCTTCCTTCTCTCCCCTCCATTACCCCAACTCCAACTCTGCCCAGGGTCCAGGGATTATAACCTCCCAAACCAGATTAGAGTAATATATATGCAAATGGTGAATGTGTGTGTATGCACATAGGAACATATATATTATATACATGCACATAGATACATAAAACAGTAAATATTTGTGCCAAAATGGAATTTTACAGTCATCTGTATACTCAGAGTAATAACACTTTGAGGAAGAATGTCTCAGTGCACTGAGAATTTTAGGTTTCTTCACCCCTATTTTAAAAGCTTTTTAGAGACCAGAGATGAAGACATGTGGCTTGATTACATCTTTTTTGTGATTGCCAACTCACCTCACAAACGGTGGCATAAGTATCATTCTGCATAGAAAAAAAAAAAGACTACTTAAAATCTTGAAAGTTGTAAATAATTTTAGTGACACTGAGCTGTACAATCATTTCAAATTAATTTATTGCCCCACCATTGATAAACAACCAAAAAAACAACAGAAACAAGGGAGCCCAGAGCAGGACCCCCTGTCTAGGCAGGACACTGTATAAGCAGCTCTAAAAATTAAGCTGTTTGCATCACTGGAAAAATGGGAGAATATGATGTCCACCAGAAAAATCTCAGCAGGCTGAGGTAATCTGTGGTGGACCAAGTTAAGAGAGTGAAGGAGTATTTGCAAATGCCAAAGGTAAATAGAACAGGAAATGAAAACCACCAATAGCTCTTGCTAGCAAAGGACAGCAGATTCCTCTGCCCATGCTGGCCACTGCAGCAGCCACACAGCCTCCTGGATTGTTTCCCAGCAACAAATGGTGCTTCCCATTCATTCCTTCAGCAAATGTTGACTGAGCAGCTGCTATATGCCCTGCACTGTATTCAGTGCAAGAGATAACAATCTAAAAAAGACAGACAGCATCCTGCCCCAACACAGCTTACATGTTGGGATAAAAGATACTAAACACACAACTAGACAAATTATTTGTTTGAGTTGCAATTTCTGAGAAATATTTAATAGCCACTAAGTCCAGATAGCACATGCTGTACCTTTTGGTAACTTCCATTCTGTGAGGCACTCAGTCACAAATGTGAGAGTGGGCATAGGTAACTGCTATAATAGAACTTTGCAAGGACACACTATATAAGTAAAACTATGAATATACTCTAAAAACTATGTATATAAAAAGAGGTTAATGCATTATTTAAATCTCAATGTTATAATTTAACTCATTAATAGAAAATGACATTAGGATTCCCCAGCATTACCACAATTCTTATTGATTTAACCCCTGACCTGAACAACCTAAACAAGGGAACCCACTTTTAAAAGGCAAAATTCTTAATCATGTGATCAGAGTAGTTACAACACGACAGGCTCTATCTTTAGGAGAAAGATTCTGTTATTATCCTAAAATGGATGAAGAATGTAAAGTACCAAGGGGTTAAGTACCTTAAGTTACACACTGAGTGGCAAAAGCCAGGCTACATAATAAAATGAAAAATAAAGTATCTGGGGATGTATTTCCTACATAAAGGGGAGTAAACCAGGTGTTTACGGCCCTGAGTTAGACACCTACTATATTTCCTGCATAGAAACTTTGAACATGACCTACGGCCCTGGTATCCAAAATGTGGTCTGGGAACCACCAGCATTGCAACACCTGGGAGCTTGTTACAAGTGCAGAATCTCAGGCTCCACCCAAGACCTATTGAATCAGAATCAGCATTTTAATAAGATCCCGGATAATTGCACACTAAAATTTGAGACGCATAGGCCTAGGAAATTTAACAAATACCGGAGATTCTACTAAAAAACATTTATAGTTTTGGAGCGATTGAACATCCCTGGGTTCTGTTATTGGCAATAACCTTCCGTGACCTCTAGTCACATTAAAAATGTTAATCTCAATCTCTTTTCCATTACTATGTATTATCCAGGCTATTGGTTTTTTAGTTTTGTTTTGTTTTGTCTTAGGGTCAAGCAAACTAGTTGAAAGCCAATGGAAATGCAAATGGGAATCCTCTTACACAAATTTCCTCTTGAAAGAAACATCAGTATCAAAATAGAAATCTAATTAATACTTACACACTTTAAAGCACAGTTTTTCTGATCTACAGAGTTCCAAAAGTGACATCCTTGGATACACTGCAAGAGACAATAACAGACAATGGTGAGTGATTGAAGAAATGTGACTTTTTCTTGTCACCTGAAAGTACAATGTAGTAACAAAAGGCATCACTCTGTGTTTTAGAAATAGAAACCTACCAAGAAACCTGAGGCCTCCAAAAGATCCAGGATTTTGGGATTCCAAACAGAGCTGTCCTATCTACAGGTAGAACAAGTCTTGTGGCTCACTGCAGGGCAGCAGAGTTGCTGAGTGGAGTTAAGCCTGGCATGTGCAGGCCTAGAAGCCAGAGAACAGCCAACCTTCAGCGAAGACACCGTACACTGGGTAGTTGTCAAAGGTAAAGCCCAGGACAATGTGGCATTGGTATATCCTGGGTCCCTAAGGTGTCCTCACATATCAAGCAAAACTCAAAACTGGTGATTCAACTAGATGGTAGCATGTCAAACCTAAATAGGTAGACAGTTTGGGGAGTCGGCTGCCTACTAGCACCTTTCACCCCACAGCTGCCCTGAAAACCCTGAGTTGCCCTGACCTGCTATCAGACAGATTTGATATATTTCTTCTTACCTTACTTAATTCATCTGTACCTGTCTTGACCATTCCCTCCACAGGCCACGGTGGCACCTGGATTCCTTTTTCTTACTTCCTGCTCAGTCTCCTTTGCCATCTCTTTTTGCCTCTCTCCACCCCTTTGGTGTTTGTGTTCCATCTTCAGCTTTTTCTCCTCTCACTCTTCTAGTTCTCCCGGAGCGAGTTCATCCCCTACCTCAGCTTCAAGTAATCTGGATGTTGATATCCCCCAAACTTCTAACTGCAGCTGAGGCTCCATCCTGAGCTCCAGACCCAGATATCCACTGGCTCATTAGATGTCTCCATTTAAGTTCCTACAAGCACTTCAGATCCATCATGTGGAATTCAATTCCTTACTTTCCATCCTCAAATTTGCTCTTTCTCCTGTGTTTCCCATTAACGCGTTACATTCTCCTGAGTTGTCCAAGCCTGGAACCAGGGTGTTTTCTTCTCTCACCCCACTCTCCCCTCTCATGGAAAACCCATCACGAAGCCCTATTGACTTATCTGGTCATTAACTAAAATCCATCTGAGTTCATCACTCACTGCCTCAATTTTCTGTTTTGCCATTTACCACTTGCCAAAAACCTCAGGAAGGACCCCTCTTGTTCCCACATTTGGAGTGATCTTTTTAAAACAAAACCTGGTTACACTCTTATCTAAAACTCTGTATGTCTTTCCAACAACTTGTGAGTTAAGACCAACTTAGCAAGCATGGCAGACAAGGCCCTTCGTAATGTGGCTCCATGTAACTTGGCAATTGGTATGTAACTTGGCAATGGGTCTTCCACTTCCCTACCCTCTATACATGTACCCCAATTTCCAAGCAAGCTGAAATACTCAGTTTCCTTAACAACTTAGGCTACTTCACACCTTTGTGTCTTGACAAAAAGGGCCTTCTCTGATCGATAGGCTTTTTCCCCTCTAGTCCATCTGGAAAACTCTTCCTCTTTCTAGTTTTAGTTTGAAGGCCTTGCAGGCAAGTGAGGTGCCTTTTACTCTTGTGTATTCTCTTTTCACTCCTCACACACACCACAATTCTGGTTCTGATGATGCTGTCTGGCCATAATTTTATGCATATGTCTGTCTCTCTGGTTTTAAGTATGCATCTCAAAAAGGTTGAGAGTCCTTTTAAACAGAGACCCTATTTTTTTCATTGTTAAGTTTCTAGTTCCTGGCACAGTGCCTTGTGCATGCTTATACCTTAAGTCACTAAACACTTGTTAAACAAATGAATACATGTGCAGAACAGTAATAAAACCATAAAATGTCATTGTTAGAAGAAATATTGGAGACGATCTCAAATAACACATAATAAAACTAAATCTCAGAAAAATTAAGTAATTTGTCCAAAGCCACACAATTACATAGAGACAAAATCATGCACTTGGATTGGTCCTGTGCTATTTCCACTTCAACACACTTCATTTTTATATAAATTCAGACTTCTCATTATTTTCAATTTGTCTTCTTCCAGCAAGGATAAATGAGATTTTACTTAGCAATTCTTACTGTGATAAAATCTGATCATTGTCCCTTCATTATCAACACAAACATTGTAATATTCTTGACAACTGAAGAAATTACTTACCGGTTCACTCAGATTATGTGGTGTGCCAAGGTCAAGCTGCTGGCCCTGAAATGAAGAAGGAGGTAGTAAACACCAGCCATCAGTACTGGGTTCCGTGTAACTAACACACCTTTTAAAAAAGCTTCCTGAAATAACGTTGCCTCCTCCGCATTTTGTAACTCTAAAGTAAAGAGCCAAATGTTTTAGAGGCATTAAATTCATCACTACCAGACAAAATGCTGGTGCAAATTATAGATATAATGTCTTAAGAACTTTGCAGGTACTACAAAGGTGGAAGTAAGAATGTGGCTATAGGGAGAGAGTCTCATGCAGAATTAAATAATCCTGTGGCATTGGTCAGTTAATCAAGTCAAAGGACTCCTAGGTGAGTGATGAACTGTGTTCAGACTTTTCCTTTTTAAAATTAAGAGCAGGGAGAAAATGCAAATTGGTATGTAGTAAAACATAAGATTACTCTTTTATGGCTCACATACAAATTTTAAGAACTTTTTTATACTGGAGGAAAATAAAAGAAATAGGAACTAAGGACAGAGATCTATAAATTGCTCGTTATCTCTCTGGTCATAATTTGAATAGAGTCCTTCATAAACAAGACAGTTTACAAAGGATGGCAATCAGATAATCTGGGCCATCAGATAATCAGATAAGTACCCACATAGTGTTCTGTGCTTGCTAGAGAGAAGAGAGCAGCATTCTATCACTGAGCTCACTGAGCATGCTCCTGCTTTCTATCCATTTGGCTCTTCACTCCATCCTCAGCACCTGGAACACTGCCTGCTAGAAACAGGTGTTCAATAAATACTGATGTGCTAAAGGAGTAAATCCATTAATTCAAAGTGGTTTCCCATGTAAGGATGCTCCAAAAGTCCCTTGAAAACATTATCCAATGGCTTAATATTGTGTGGGTTGACTTGAAAAGTAATCAGACTCAAGAACCAAAGAACAAATGTTGCCTGTTTTTTTCTTTAATTTGAAGCATGAGTGAGGATTCCTTTAAACTCCGTTCCCTAACCGGTTATATTTGTAGGAAAAGAAGAAGGATGATTATTGGCTTTTGTTTTTAGATAATAAACATTTAGACAGTAAGAATTCTATCTGTTAGATGAATTTTGCAACCGAGTGCTTAATAGTACTGTGTTTTCATGATTTTGTTCAAAAGTTGGTTGAATCGCAAGCAAATAAAAATCAGGTGAGAGATAATGAGTTGAAAATTGAATCTTTTCCTACCCCTTCAAAAATGCATGTTAACTCATAAAAGCAAAAGGGTGGATGCTGGGTAGTCTTTGTGTTCCATTTTAAACAGTAGGAGAGCAGAGATATTTCTTGATGATCATAGTCACACTGTAACGGTAGTGAGTCCTGATGGCTCTTCTCAGGAGTAAATTTAACGGGCTGAGTGAAATGACCATCAAATGGTCTTGGGCAGGGTAGCCTCACAGTCAGGTCTAAGGGTTTCTAATGAGGCAGATTTTGTCAACACTCTTCCCTAATCTCCACTCATTCCCCATTCTTCTCCTCACAATTACAATAGCTAACATTTATTGAATTATTGCTATGTTTCAGGCACTCTTATAGGTGTTTTACACTAAATCTCATTGAATCATCTCAGCAACCCTATAAGGTAGCTGCTATAATTAACCTCATTTTACAGCTGGGGCACAGGGAAGTTTAGTAAATTACCTGGATTAGGATTTGAAGGGGGCAGAGTGATTGACTCCAGAACCTGTGCTCTTAACCGGATGCCTTCCATAATCTCCACCAAAATCACATTTTTCATTTTGAACATTAGGATCCCCGCTGGTTTGCCTTAGCTCCAACTACGCCAATTATCTGCTTCCAGTAGTCAAATTCAGTCCCAGATCTCAAACTTTCTTAACCTAATACCCACTTCTTGACATAAGCTTTTCTATTCTGCCCACCTCAGGCAGAACTAATCTCATTCTTTACTTCCTACCCTAATAAATGTTGTGGGGTGGGGGGAGGGGGGAGGGATAGCATTAGGAGATATACCTAATGCTAAATGACGAGTTAATGGGTGCAGCACACCAACATGGCACAAGTATACATATGTAACAAAACTGAACATTGTGCACATGTACCCTAAAACTTAAAGTATAATAATAATAAAATTTTAAATAATAATAATAATAATAATAATAAATGGAACAGAGCAGAATGATCTGTATTTTAATTCCACATGATATTTGCTCCCAATGTGATATTCTCAAAGTTACCTGTGCCATCTAAACTTAGTGGTCGTATCCGGGACATAAGTAGGATAATACTTAATTCATAAGCTTCTGTGAAGATTCAATTAAATGCAATAATTATTATAGTGCAGTGCAGGCACTTAGAAATGTATTAGTAGTATTATGTCCCAACTTGCTGTTAACAGCCTTTTGCATACATATCTTTGGTTAGTTAAACAATAATATCCTCAGATAAATTTGATGCATAAATTAGAGGTATATTTTCTCTTTCAATTTTGAGATTTAATAACGCATTCTTTTCTAGAAATTTATCCATTTACATCCAACCAACAATTCATGAAAATAGAAGTTTACCTGTACCTTTTCCCAACTATAAATGTTTTTATCTTTGCCAATTTGATAGAAGAAAAATTGATAATTTATTTTTATTCTGCAATTCTGTGGTTGCTGTGAGGTTGAATATCTATCACATGCTTTTTAGCCATTTTTATAATATATATTATATATTATATTGGAATATATGAATTGGAATACATATTATATTGGAATTATATATATTATATTGCAATATATATATATATAGGAAATATATATATATTTCCAATACCTTTTGGGGTACAAGTGGTTTTTGGTTACATGGATAAATTATATAGTGGTGAAGTCTGAGATCTTAGTGCACCTTTCACCCAAGTAGTATACATTGTACCCAACATGTAGTTTTTCATCCCTCACTCCTCTCCTTCCCTCCCCCTTCTGAGTCTCCAAAGTCCATTATACCACTCTGCATGCTTTTGTGTACCCATAGCTTAGCTACCACTTATAAGTGAGAACATACGGTATTTGGTTTTCTATTCCTGGCCAAATAATGGCCTCCATAGAATAATGGCCTCCAGCTCCATCCAAGTTGCTGCAAAGACATTATTTCATTCCTTTTTATGGCTGAGTAGTATTCCATGGTGTATATATATCACATTTTTTTATCCACTCATCAGTTGATGGACACTTATACTTCTTTTTTGAAGTGGCTGTTTATATTCTAAATTCATCTTACATGCTTTTATGTGTATCAGGGATTTTTTCTTTAAAAACATTATTTATCATGTGTAATACTTTTTTTCCACTTTTTGGCTTTGCAGTTATTGTATACTGTTGTCATAACAGTTTAAGTTTCTAAGTAGTCAAATTTATTGATAATTTCTTTTTAGGGAGTCTAAATTTTTTAATTAGGCTTCTTAAGGCATTTCTACTTCAAGATTACAGAAACAGTCACCCCAATTTCTTCTAATATTTTTATGAAGTAAACACTTGCTTTGTTTTGTTTATTTGTCTGTTTGCATTTAAGTAAACCTTTCTGTTTTTGTTTCTTAGAAACAGAGTCACCCAGGCTGGAGCACAGTGGTGTAATCACAGCTGACAGCATCCTCGACCTCCCTGCTCAATCAATCCTCCCACCTCAGCCTCCTAAGTAGCTGGGACTACAGGTGCATGCCACCACGCCTAGCTAATTTTTGTATTTGTTGTAGAGACAGGAGTCTCACCATGTTGCCCAGGCTGGTCTCAAACTCCTGGGCTGAAGGGAACTGTCCGCCTCAGCCTCCCATAGTGCTGGAATTACAGGCATGAGCCATCGCACTTAACCAAAAGTCATACCTTTTTACAAAATATATCCTGAAATTTATTTGAATCTGGCAGTTATGTAGGAATTTTTTATGCTACATGGATAGCAACTCATTGGTTTGAATTGTCATCTTTATCATATTTCACATTCTTTATGTACATGGTTTTATTTCTTGATTGTATTCTGTTTTACTCACAGGTTTATTCCTGTAGCAATAAAAACTATGCTAATTTGTAAATATTTTATAAAATTTCTGAATTATGATCTTATTATATTATTTTGTTTTAATGTTATATATTGATATACAAGACAATTTTTCATGTCTGTACATTAATTTTTTAAAAATCTTCCAAATCCTATTATTTCTAATAGTCTTTCAGTTGATTTTCAGTTTATTTCTTTGGAACTTAAGATACAAATCAAAAATAAATGTATTGTCATCACCCTCTAATATTATAAAAGCACATCATGTTTGTAACAGCCTTTAACTGTCTAGTGATAGAAACCTTGATATCTCAGTATTTGATAACTTACTTTAGGGCATTGATTACATAATTCACTTCTTTTGTATTCCGAATTGCATCCACCACAGAGCTGAATATACATAGATACCTAGGAAAATTTATTGAATGGAATCCATTCAATAAATTGATATTGAATGAAATTTATTGAATGGAATTGATACTCCTGAGCCCTTCTCAATATTAGTTCCTCAGTTGTTGTGATTTGTTAATTCAAAAAAAAAAGGGGGTTTGTGATGTAATTCAGGAATGGAAAACCAAACATCGTATGTTCTCACTGATAAGTGGGAGCAAAACTATGAGAATGCAAAGGCATAAAAATGATACAATGGGCTTTGGGGACTTAGGGGAAAGAGTGGGAGCAGGGTGAGGGATAAAAGACTACAAATATGGTGTAGTGTATACATGGCTGATGGGTGCACCAAAATCTCACAGATCACCACTAAAGAATTTACTCATGTAACCAAATAGCACCTGTTCCCCCAATAACTTATGGAAACATTAAAAAAGGGTTTTGTTGCTAAAGATGGGAAAATTATGATTAAACAAAGCTTTTAACATGTTATTGTGCCCTGTGAATCTACAAAAAGAGGGCATAGCAAAATACACTTCCACAAATGATTCAACCGTGAATTCTTTTTTCTTTATCATAAAGGATCTCACAATACTAGAGTTCTGAAGAGCATTAATTGTTTGTTGTTTTCTGCAGCACATGGCTTCTAGAATTCAAAAAAACTTTTCAGTTAATACTTTCAACTAGTACATGCAGATCTCTGTTAACGTAAGATAAAAGTAATGTAAAATACCAATGCTCAAGCATAGAACTCTGCTTCGTGCAATTTGGCCCACAATTCTAACATTTTATTTTTGGACAAGACATTCTTGTGGTGACTTTTTTTTTTTAAGAAAACATTTCTCAATATCAAGAATCACCCAATAAAATTATAGATGACCTTCAGAGTAAATGTCCATGTTTTTAAAAATGATGCAGAAAATATAATAAACTTGAGCACTTTGTATATCCTCTCCTGTGAACCATGGTTACATTCAATTGTACATTCACTTCACTTTTGTCCCTCCAGGCCCTATGTGGGAACATGTAGTACTTTCACTGGTCAAATTGGCAGACCGTGTCTCTCTTGCTGTTGCCACACATCAGCTGTGCCATTCTCTGTAGGTGGTGAACGGAAGGCAACTCAACAAAGGAACAAACTGTCTATTCCTACTGCCAAACCCTGGAAGCAAGGAGCCCACACAAAAAGATAAGAATAAATAAAACGACAGTAAAATAAAATGGAGACTGCAATATTGGAAACAACTAAAATCAGTTTCAGTAGCAGGGAAATTAACAAATAAATTATGGTGGTACATTCATATAATGGAATACTCTAAAGATAATAAAGATTCTGTTTCTAAAAAAATCTCAGGGTCTAGGGGAAAACTCACAATACAATGTAATGAAAAAGCTGGTTGCATAGCTGGGTGTAAATTATAGATATATATGTATACATATATATATATGAGGAAAAATACTAAAAGAAAATTCAATCAAAAGATTACTAGGGCTAGAATTAGAAGTTTTTTATTCTTCTGTAGTTCTCTATGTTATAAATATTTTATTTAAAATGTATACTCTTATTATAATTAGAAAAAAGTTAAAATCTTTTTTAGAACATTTAGTTTTCCATTCAGTAGTTGAAACATTTAGTAGTTCCATTCTTCCATTTTTAAGTTTGGGTTACAAATATAAAAAACTAAAGCATGCAATTCTATATTAAAGGCAATGAAGTCTTCGGCAAAGATTTATATAAAATACTAAACTTTTAAAAAAATGCTACTAACCATGGTAAACCTAAGTAGTGTTTTAAACTACAGTTTAAATCAAAAGTGTATAAGTGCAAGTTTCTTTTTAATCTGCCACATAATTCTATCTCCAATACTTTAGAATAATATAATGAATACTATATTTAGTACTTGCATTATGTTTAAAAGTATGGCTATAGATAGGGTCATATGCAAACTATCATGATATTTTATTTGTCTTTAGACAGGAAGAGTGCATTTTCTCTGTCTATAGAGTACTTGGTTTTTAAAGTTAATTCAGTGACTGTTTTAAGCACAACTAAATTACAACTGAAAAGAGATGGTACAATAGTTAGAGAAGGGATGACACCCAGAAATGAGAATGAAAGCATGAATTTCCATATAAAAAACTCACTAACTAAAATAATAAATGCACAAACAGAAATAAAGAAATGTACAAATAATTATTGCTTTAAAATATTATTTTACATGGCAACTGTATCTGCTTCCTTTTTCATCCAGCTCCCTACACAGCTGGAATTAGCAGGCATTATCCTGTGGCCAAACCGATTTCAGGTTTCAAGACAACTACTAATGACTTTGTAATAAATAAGTTTAAATAGAAAGTTTTTAAGTGTGCAAAATTGGCAAAATTGATTCCATTTAAACCTCCTTTACCCAGTCCTCTAGCCCAAAAAATATATGACCACATACCCTAAAGAAATAAAATAGCCTGCTTTATCTTCTGCAATTATAAGGGCTCCTAACTTATTTAAGAAAAAATAATCTATCTTGCCTTGTTGCCACCACTTCTCATAAGAAAACTCCTCATAAAGAGAAAACAATTCTATCAGTTATAACAAGCTGAATGCTACATGTTCTAGTTCCTGCAAAGACAAATATTAGATTGTGAGACTTACCAGATTAGTTACACACGACTTTAGGCAGCTATTTAAAACTGTACACTGCACCACAGAAATCCATAGGCAGCCAAGAGTTGCAAAATTGACAAGCTTCGGAATAAGACAGTAAATGTTCTTCATCACTTCACCAATGGCAGATTTTTAGATGGCCGGTCTAATTTTCTCCATTTTGCTATATGAATTATTTGGGCTTCATCACTTCAATTGGAGGAGTAGCTGATGGATTTTGCTTTGTTTGTTTTGCTATATTAGGATATACTTGCCTTTTGAAATAATACTTAGCCTTTTTCATTTAGACCTTTGAATGCTTGAAAGCTTGTAACAGTTCCATAAGAGCTATTTCATAACAGCTTCCTTTTACTCCCATAAAGTCACCCAGTGACTAAAGGTTAGTTCTTAGAAGTGCACTTCACATGGAAATTAAAGAAAACGAATTGTATTTCAGCAAGGGTGTGACACATGCAGTCTGAAACTGGAACATTTCAGTGGGTCGTCCACCACCTTACTTCTCTGAGCTCTTTTCAGCTCTGCAGGGAATTGGGTTTTGACCACGTATGCTTTAGCAAACAGTAGCACTATTATAATAAAGAATTATTGGAAAAATAGAGGCACCCAAATCAAGCAATGCAACTGAGAGAGAAAACAGAACTCAGAAGCCAAATACATATTTTTAAATTTAAGAGCAAACAAAGCTGAAATTAATAGACAAATACCCTGGGAGAGAGTTAAAAACAAGGAAGTTGGTTAGAGTACTCTCAGAACTTTACTACATATTAACTAAAATACTGACTTATCAGGTCTATCGAGACAGCTGAAACTAGTTACCAGAAACCTAAGATATGTTCAAGTGTCTGCTTTGAGAAGGAAACATTGTACAAGCTTCCTTCCTGCCTGCCTTCCTTCCTCTCTCTCTCTCTCTCTCTTTCTTTGAGACTGAATTTCTGTCTGTCGCCCAGGCTACAGTGCAGTGGCATGATCCCAGCTCACTGCAACCTCCGCCTCCCAGGTTCAAGCGATTCTCCTGCCTCAGCCTCCCGAGTAGCTGAGACTACAGACGCCCGCCACCATGCCCAGCTAATTTTTGTATTTTTAGTAGAGATGGGGTTTCACCATGTTGCCCAGAGTGGTCTCGATCTCTTGACCTCGTGATCCGCCCACCTCGGCCTCCAAAAGTGCTAGGATTACAGGCGTGAGCCACCGCGGTACAACAGGCCAACCTCCTTGTTTTCTTAAATAAATTATACTAAATGTAACTTAACCTTTTCTTAATGATATAAGGTTCTCCCTATGAGTAACACATGCATGAGGTTTTGTTTTGAGCTGAACGTCTTTTGATTGGATTTTTGTTTGTTTGTTTTTTAATTTTTGTGGGTACATAGTAGGTGTATGTATTTATGGGGTACAGGAGATGTTTTGAAACAGACATGCCATGTGAAATGAGCACATCATGAAGAATGGGGTGTCCATCCCCTCAAGCATTTATCCACTGAGTTGCAAACAATCCAAGTATGTTCTAAGTCATTTTAATATGTACAGTTATTATTGACTGTAGTCACCCTGTTGTGCTATCAAATAGTAGGTCTTATTTATTCTTTCTACATTTTTTGTACCCATTAACTGTCCCCATCTCCCATCCCCCACCCCACCCACCACCACCCTTCCCAGCCTCTGGCAACCATCCTTATACTCTCTTTGTCCATGAATTCAATTGTTTTGATTTCTAGATCCCATAAATAAGTGAAAACATGCAATGCTTGCCTTTCTGTGCCTAGCTCAATTCACTTAACGTAATAATCTCCAGTTCCATCCATGTTGTTGGACGTGACTGAATATGGCTGAATAGTTCTCCATTGTGTATATGTACCACATTTTCTTTACCCATTCATCTGTTGATGCATACTTAGGTTGCTTCCAAATCTTAGCTATTGTAAACAGTGCTGCAATAAACATTCACATGCAGATATTTCTTTGATATACTGATTTTCTTTCTTTTAGGCATATACCCAGCAGTAGAATTCTAGATCATATGGTAGCTCAATTTTTAGTTTTTTGAGGAACTTCCAAACTGTTCTCCATAGTGGTTGTATTGATTTACATTCTCATCAAAAATATACAAGGGTTTCCTTTTCTCCACATTGCCACCAGCATTTGTTATAGCCTGTCTTTTGGACATAAGCCATTTTAACTGGGTAAGATGATATCCCATTGTAGTTTTGATTTGCATTTTTCTGATGATTAATGATGTTAAACACCTTTTCATATGCCTGTTTGTCATTCGTATGTCTTTTGAGAAATGTCTATTCAAATCTTTTGCCCATCCTTTGATTGGATTATTTGATTTTTTTTCTATAGAGTTGTTTGAGCTTTTTATTTATTCTGGTTATTAATCCCTTGTCTGATGGGTAGTTTGCAAATATTTTCTCCCATTCTGTGGGTTTTCTCTTAACTTTGTTAATTGTATCCTTTGCTGTAAAGAAGATTTTTAACTTGATGTGATCTCGTTTGTCCATTTTTGCTTTGGTTGCCTGTGCTTGTTGGGTATTGCTCAAGAAATTTTTACCCCAACCAATGTCCTGGAGATTTCCCCAATGTTTTTTGTAGTAGTTTCATGGTTTGAGGTCTTAGATTTAAGTCTTTAGTCCATTTTGATTTGAATTTTGTATATGGAGAGAGATAGGGGTCTAGTTTTATTCCTTTATATATGTATATCCAGTTTTCCCCACACCATTTATTGAAGAGACTGTCTTTTCCCCAGTGTATGTTCTTGGCATCTTTGTCAAAAATGAGTTTACTGTAGGTGTGTGGATTTCTTTCTGGATTCCCTAGTCTGTTTCACTGATCTGTGTGTCTATTTTTATGCCAGTAGCATGCTGTTTTGGTTACTATAGCTCTGTAGTATAATTTGAAGTCAGGTAATGTAATTCCTCCAGTTTTGTTCTTTTGCTTAGGATAGCTTTGGCTATTCTTGGTCTCTTGTGGTTCAATATAAATCTTAGGATTGTTTTTTTCTATTTCTGTGAAGAATGTCATTGGTATTTTTATAGGGATTGCATTGAATCTGTAGATTGCTTTGGGGAGTATGGACATTTTAACAATATTGACTTTTCCAATTAATGAACATGGAATGTTTTTCCATTTTTTGTGTGTCCTAATCAATGTCTTTAATCAGTGTTTTATAGTTTTCATTACAGAGATCTTTCACTTCTTTGGTTAATTCCTAGATACTTAATTTTATTTGTAGCTATTGTAAATGGAATTACTTTCTTGATTTCTTTTTCAGATTGTTCACTCTTGACATACAGAAATGCTACTACTGAATTACTAAATTTGTTTATCAGTTCTGCTAGTTTTCCTGTGGAGTCTCCAGGTTTCTCAGCATGTGAGATATGTCATCTGCAAACAAGGATGATTTGACTTCCTCCTTTACAATTTGGATGCCCTTAATATCTTTCTCTTGTCTGATTGCTCTAGCTGGGATGTCCAGTACTGTGTTGAATAACAGTGGTGAAGTGGGCATCTTTGTCATGTTCCAGACCTTAGAGGAAAGGCTTTCAGTTTTTCCCCATTCAGTATAATACTAGCTGTGGGTAGGTTATATATGGCTTTTATTATGTTCAGGTATGTTCCTTCTATCCCCAGTTTTTTTTTTTAGGGTTTTTATCATAAAAGGATGTTGAATTTTACCAAATGCTTTTTCAGCATCAATTAAAATGATCATATGCTTTTGATCCTTCATTCTTTTGATATGATGTAGCACACTGATTGATTTGTATATGTTGAATCATCCTTCCATCCCAGGGATAAATCCCACTTGGTCATGATGAATGATCTTTCTAATGTATTGTTGAATTCAATTTGCTAGTATTTAGTTGTGGACTTTTGCATCAATATGTATCAAAGATTGGCCTGTAGTTTTCTTTTTTGGTGTGTCTTTATCTGGTTTCAGTATCAGGGAAGTACTGGCCTCATAGAATGAGTTTGGAAGTATTCCCTCCTTCTCTGTTTTTCAGAATAAGTTGAGTAGGATTCGTATTAGTTTTTCTTTAAATATTTGCTAGAATTCAGCAGTGAAGCTATTAGGTCTCAGGCTTTTCTTTACTGGGAGACTTTTATTACAGCTTCAATCTCATTACTTGTTATTGGTCTGCTCAGGTTTTGGATTTCTTCCTGGTTCAATTTTGGCAGGTTATATGTATCTAGGAACTTGTCCATTGCTTCTATATGTTTCCATTTATTAGCATATAGTTGCTCAGAGTAGCCACTAATGATCCTTTGAATACTGCAGATATCAGTTGTAATGTCTCCTTTTTCATTTCTGATTTTATTTATTTTGATCTTCTTTCTTTTTTTCTTAAACTGGCTAAAGGTTTGTCCATTTTGTTTAACTTTTCAAAAAAATAAAACTTTGTTTCTTTTTTTTTGTTTTTTCCATTTTGTCCTGCTCTGATCTTTATTATTTCTTTTCTTCTACTAATTCTGGGTTTGGTTTGCTCTTGCTTTTCTAGTTCTTTAAAATGCATCATTAGATTGTCATTTGAAGTTTTTCCTTTTTTTTTGATGTAGATACTTAGAGCTATAAAATTCTATCTTACTATTGCTTTTGCTGTATCCCATAGATTTTGGTATATTGTGTTTTCATTATCATTTGTTTCAAGAAATTTTTCAATTTCCTTCTTAATTTCTTCATTGGCTCACTGATCGTTCAGGAGCATATTGTTTAAATTCTATGTATTTGAATAGTTTCCAAAATTTCTCTTGTTATTAATTTCTAGTTTTATTTTTGTCAGAGAAGATGCTTGATATTATCTCAGTTTTTTTAATGTTTTAAGGTTCGTTTTGTGACCTAACATCTGGCCTATCCTTAAGAACGATTCATGTGCTGAGGAAAATAATGTGTATTCTGGCTGGGTGTGGTGGCTCATGCCTGTAATCCCAGCACTTTGGGAGCCTGAGGTGGGTGGATCACGAGGTCAGGAGATCGAGACCATCCCGGCTAACATGGTGAAACCCCGTCTCTACTAAAAATACAAAAACTTAGCTGGACATGGTGGTGGGTGACTGTAGTCCCAGCTACTCGGGAGGCTGAGGCAGGAGAATGGTGTGAACCCGGGAGGCGGAGCTTGCAGTGAGCTGAGACTCTGTCTCAAAAAAAAAAAAAAAAAAAAAAAAAAGTGTATTCTGCAGCCCTTGGATGAAATGTTCTGTAAATATCTATTAGATCCATTTGATCTATATTGCAGATTAAGTCTGATGTTTCTTTGTTGATTTTCTGTCTGAATGATCTGTCCAATGCTGAAAGTGAGGTGTGGAAGTCTCCAGCTATTATTGTGTTAGAGTCTCTCTCTCTCCTTAGCTCTAATAATATTTCTTTTATATATGTGGGTGCTCCAGTGTTGGGTGAATATATATTTAAAATTGTTGTATCCTCTTGCTGAGCCAACCCCCCTTATCATTACATAGTGACCTACTTCTCTTCTTATTGCTTTTGTCTTGAATTCTATTTTGTCTGATGTAAGTATAGCTACTCCTGCTCTTGGCATGGAATATTTTTTTACAATCCTTTATTTTCCATCTCTGTGTATCTTTATAGGTGAAGTGTGTTTCTTGTAGGCAGAAGATCAACTGTTTTTTTTTTCATCCATTCAGCCAGTCTATGTCTTTTGATTGGAGAGTTTAGCCCATTGACATTTAAGGTTATTATGGACAAGTAAGGACTTACACCTGTCATTTTGTTCTTTTCATATTGTTTTTTGGTCTTCTTTCTTTCATTCTTGTCTTCCTCTAGTGAAGATTATTTTCTCTGGTGATATGATTTAGTTTCTTGCTTTTTTTTTTGTGCATTCATTGTATGTTTTTTAATGTGAAGTTACCATGACACGTGCAAATATGATTTTAAAACTCATTATTCAGGCATATAAACCAGCCAGAGTGGCAGTAGCAGAGGCAAGACCACCATAGCACCAGGAGTAGCAACTCAGAGAAAGCACAGAGCAACACTGACTGCAGTGACCTGGTGACAGCATGAGAGGTACTAGGTTTTAAAAAATTTGTATCATGCTTGAGTATAAATTAGTCATTCTTGGCTCAGGAGCTGTTGGAAATTCTGCTTTGACTGTACAATTTGTACAAAGAATTTTGTTGAAAAACATGGTCCTACAATAAAAGATATTACAGAAAGCAAGTGGAAATAGATGCACAACTCTGTATGCTTGACATATTGGATACTGCAGGAACAGAACAATTTACAGCAATAAAGGGTTTGTACATAAAAAATGGACAAGGCTTTGTATTAGCATATACCATCCCAGCACAGTCCACATTTTATGATTTACAAGATCTGAGAGAACAGATTCTTTAAGTTAAAGACACTGATATTGTCCCAGTGATTGTTGGTAATAAGTGTGACTTGGAAGATAAAAGAGTTGTAGGGAAGGAACAAGGTCAAAATCTAGCAAGACAATGGAACAACTGTGCATTCTTAGAATCTTCTGCAAAATAAAAAATAAATCTTAATAAGGCCAGGCATGGTGGCTTATGCCCGTAATCTCAGCATTTTGGGAGGCCGAGGAGGGTGGATCACCTGAGGTCAGGAGTTTGAGACCAGCCAGGCCAACATGATGAAACCCTGTTTCTACTAAAAATACAAAATTAGCCAGGCGTGGTGGCACATGCCTGTAATCCTAGCTACTCTGGAGGCTGAGGCAGGAGAATCACTTGAACCCAGGAGGCAGAGGTTGCAGTGAGCTGAGATCACGCCATTGTTTTCCAGCCTGGGCAAAAAGAGTGAAACTCTGTCTCAAAAAAAAAAAAAGTTAATGAGACTTTTATGACCTAGTGTGGCAATTAACAGAAAAAACTCCAGTGCCTGGGAAGGCTTGCAAAAAGTCATCATGTCAGCTGCTTTAATATACTAAATGCACTGTAGCTCTGAGCCAGGTCTGAAGAATGTTGCCCAATTCAACAGTGCCTGAGCAATTCCAACTTTGTTAAACCTACCAAAGGCTTAAGTGGACTCTCCTGTGGTGATACCCTTTAAGAGAGAGATGAAAGATACCATATCAGTTTGCACATTCTAATAACTTTCCAGTATCACAAGAGAGATTTTTACTTATCTAATAGTCCTAGAGTATGCAGCTGGTAAAACCAGAGGCTACATCCAGTATTACTGCTAAGAGACATTCTTCATCCACCAATGTTGTACATGTATGAAAATGGTGTACTGTATACTTGAACAAGCCCCATGCTTTGTATTGGAGAGTACAATAATGCAAATTGTAAAAGCACCACTATTTCAACATAATAAAAGAAAGTCCAAAGAGATCCTATACAGACTACTCCAGATACTTTTGTTTTGTTGGTATTTGTAGCTTATCATAATTTTTTTAAAAAAATTCAAGATCATTATCATTGTACAAAATATGCATTTTGATTAACACAGCTATATAGTTTTTTAAATTTTTTAAAGAGAAACTATGAAGCAGTGATCTTGTCTTTAAAATATAATAGTCCTTTCAGTATAATATCTTATTTTGAAGATGTTGCCTTTAATATCTGTTGGGAAAGAAATGTCCAGACTTTTCAAATCTCTTATTATATTTTTCCTTTTTCATTTAAATAGGAAAAATGTTTATAGTTGTGTGTACAGTAAGAGTCTACAACAAGAAGTGGATATTTTCAAACAATTTTTTTTTTTTTTTTTTGAGACAGAGTCTCACTCTGTCGCCCAGGCTGAAGTGCAATAGTACGATCTCGGCTCACCACAACCTCCGCCTCCAGGGTTCAAGCAATTCTCCTGCCTCAGCCTCCCGAGTAGCTGGGATTACAGGCATGTGCCACCACACCCGGCTAATTTTGTATTTTTAGTAGAGACGGGGTTTCTCCATTTTGTCCAGGCTGATCTCGAACTCCCAACCTCAGGTGATCCGCCCACCTTGGCCTCCCAAAGTGCTGGGATTACAGTCGTGAGCCACTGCGCCTGGCCAGCTTACACATTTTTATGCATGACCATGCAAGATAAAGATTGCCTGTATAGTAAGCCAACATTGGGGTAGAGGGTCATAGTTTACACGCAACTGGTGGTCTCCTCAAGGGAGAAAGGAAAAGATTTACTGACTACCTAGTCATTATGGTTGAATTTTGTACCATGAGCATTAGAGATTCAAAAATAAATTGAAAAATAACAATTTTTAAAATATTCTGCACTATGATTTGAAACATAAGACTTAAAAAGCCTCCTAATTTATCTCAAGTTAGAATAAGATATTCTAAATAAATCACAAAAGTTCAGACCAAGCAAGCTCCTCTGAAGTGTCTGAACAAAATTTTAGGTGAAAGTATTAAAATGTTGTCCTAACAAACAAGACTGAAACTTCTGCACAATCCCTTATAATAAATCAAATTTTCCATAGGATCAATTCTACAATTAAGAGATTACATTCTGAAACAATGGCCTTTTTCATAAACTGCATCAGTGAGGTAGCTTTGTGAAAGAGCAAATTGTTAAAATGGTTCCCATCATCTAATTCTAATCTTGCTTCCTTGGGATGAGCACTACAACTGGTTAGCAACAGAATCGATTTTATGTCATCAGATACATTATGAATTCTGAAATTATATGCATTGAAAATATAAAGTGTATATCCTCAGACTCAGTTGTATGCAAGAAATATCATATGACCCAAGGGAAGTTAGATTGTATAGTCATAAAAAAGAGCCCCGAATATGGACCCACTGACTTTTTACCATTAAAAAGGTAAAAAGTCTAGAGAGGAGCCATGTCAACATTCAAGAACTAAGAATTTTACATGCAAGAAAATTCTTACTCAAGCACACACTTCTGCCATCATTTCTCTCTTTTTTTAATTGACACAATCTATAGGGTACATAGTGATGTTTCTTACACATAATGTGTAGTGATCAGATCAGGGTAATTAACATATTCATCATCTCAAACATTTATCATTTCTTTGTGTTGGAACATTCAAAATCCTCCTTCTAGCTATTTGAAACTATGTAATATATTGTTGCTAACTATAGTCATCTTACAATGGTATAGAATACTAGAACTTATTCCTCCTATCTAGCTGTAATTTAGTATTCTTTAACAAATCTCTCTCTACCCCTCTGTTCTCCGTACCCTTCCCACTCTCTCATATCTTTCTTTCTTTCTACTTTTTACTTCTATTACATCAACTTTTTTTAACTCACTTCCACATTTAAGTGAGAACATACAGTGTGTAGCTTTCTATTCCTGACTTATTTTACTTAACCTAATGTCCTCTAATTCCATCCATGTTGCTGCAAATGACAGAATTTCATTCTTTTTATGGTGGAATAGTACTCCATTGTGTATATATGCCACATTTACTTTACCTATTTATCTGTTGTTGGATACCTAGGTTGATTTCATATCTTGGCTATTGTGAATAGTGCTGCAATAAACATGTGGGTGAAGATGTCTCTTTAATATACTGATGATCTTCCTTTGGATAAATGCCCAATAGTGAGATTGCTGGATCATATGGTAGTAGTTCCATTTATAGTTTTTTTTTAAGAACCTCCAAGCTGTTTTCCATGGTGACTTTACTAGTTTACGTTCCCACCAATTGTATATAAGAGTTCTCTTCTCTCCACATCCTCGCCAGCCATTGTTATTTTTTGTCTTTTTGATAATAGGCATCCTACCCGGAGTGACATGATATCTCAATGTGGTTTTTATTTGCATTTCCCTAATGATTAATGATATTGAGCATTTTTTCATATATTTGTTGGCCATTTGTATGTCTTCTGTGAAATGTCTTCTCAGATCATTTGCCCATTTTCTAAATCAAATTGTTTGATTTTTTGCTGTGGAGATGTTTGAGTTTCTTGTATATTCTGAATATTAATTCCCTATCAGATGAATAGTCTGCAAATGTTTTCTCCCACTCTGTAGGTTATTTTTCACTTGCTGATTGTTTTCTTTGCTGTGCAGAAAGTTTTTAGTTTGATATAACCCCATTTGTTTGCTTTTGTTGCTTATGCTTTTGGGCTCTTATTCATAGAGTGTTTTTTTAAAACCAATGTCCTGAAGTATTTCTCCTACATTTTATTTTAGTAATTTTATAGTTTGGGGTCTTACATTTAGGTCTTTGATTCATTTTGAGTTGATTTTTGTGTAGAGTGAGAGGTGTATGTCTAGTTTTATTCTTCTACATATGAATATCTAGTTTTCATACATATATGTATGTACTTTCATACGTATAGGTATGTACTTTCATACATATATGAAGTAATTTTGGGGATCTCTATTTTGTTCCACTGGCCTATGTGTCTGTTTTTATGCCAGTACAATGCTGTTTTGGTTACTAGAGCTTTGTAGTATATTTTGAAGTCTGGTGGTGTGAGGCCTTCAGCTTTGTTCTTTTTGCTTAGGATTTCCTTAGCTATTAGGGGTTCTTTTGTGGTTCCATACAAGTTTTAGGTTTGTTTTTCCTAATTTCTATAAAAAATGACTGATATTTTGATATGGATTGTATTGAATGCAGATTGCTTTGGATAGTATGGTCATTTTAACAATATGCTTCCAATCCATGAGCGTGGGATGTCTTTTTATTTGTGTATCTTCTTCAATTTCTTTCATCAGTGTTTTGTAGTTTTCCTTGTAAAGGTATTTCACCTCATTGGTTAAATTTGTTGCTAGGTATTCTTTTGTAGCTATTGTAAATGAGATTGCCTTCTTGATTTCCTTTTCAGCTAGTTCTTTGTTAATGTATAGAAATGTTACCAATTTTTGTATATTGATTTTGTATCCTGCCACTTTACCAAATGTGTTTATCTGTTCCAAGAGTTTTGTGGTAGTGTTTAGGTTTTACTATGTATAAGATCATGTCATCTACAAACAGGGACAATTTGACTTCCTCCTTTCCAATTGGGATGCCCTTTATTTCTTTCTCTTGCCCAATTGCTCTGGCTTGCCATCATGTCTTACTGCAGTATCAGGCCCACTACAAGACTGGTCATGGTCTACCATAGGTTGAACCTTGAAATCGGCCAAAACACAGATACACTGAACATCACCAGAGCAATAAGTATTTCTCTCATGGAATATTTTGTGATATTAATCAATGATATCACAAGATATCCCACCTGATATTGTCCTAATTTAAGTTCCTTACACCCAGTGTATCTCATCTTTATGCCTTGGGGAAGAGGTGATGCCACAGAGTGCAAAGAACAAAAATATTAAATAATTAGTATTTGAGTTTTAAAAGCCAATGTTCCAGCCTAGAATAACAGAATCTGAAAACAGATAATAAGTTTAGTTTTTGGTCTGCAATTCGTTAATGCTATATAATTTTTAAATTAAAAAGTTATTTTAGGCTAGGAACTTGGTTGTTGAAATGCAAAAGTGGGCTATTTGACATTCTTGTCCTCTGCATTCCATCCCTGAGGCTTGAAGGTGACAATGGGATCAATCACAGCATGGCTTTTGCATGACATGATGAAAAATAAACTCACATTGTAAAAGGCATAATTTAGGATCTTTTTTTTTTTTTTACTGTCCTCAAATATTTACTTCTGAGTGCTCAGGGGATGTTTTTATCATCATCATTGTTATTATTATTCAGAACATTTTTCCCTGCCACTTTCAAGTCTGTAGCTTTTTCAGAAGCCTAAAGTTCTAAAAGGCTGGATTTTAAGTGGTTGCTCTTTCTTTGAATGAGTATATTTAATAGTCATTAAAAATCAGTCTCTGGGAGGTTGAGGTAGGAGGATCACTTGAGCCCGGGAGGCGAAGGGTGCAGTGAGCACTCCAGCTTAGGTGACAGAGTGAGAACTTGTTTAAAAAAAAAAATCAGTTTCATGAAGAATTTTTAATGACTTGAGGAAATTAATGCTATGATATTAAGTAGAAAGAAGTGCAGTCATAAGCCACCTAATGACGTTCCAGTCAATGACGGAACAGATATATGGAGGTGGTCCCTTTGGCTGTAATAGAAATGAAAAGTTCTTATTGCCTAGTGACGTTGTAGCTGTCATAACATCGTAGTGCAAAGTATTACTCATGTGTTTGTGGTGATGCTGGTGTAAATAAACCTACTGCACTGCTAGTTGTATAGAAGTATTACATATACAATTATGTAGAGTACATAATACTTGATAATGATAATAAAGAACTATGTACTGGTTTATATGTTTACTAAACTATACTTTATTATTTTAGAGTATGCTCCTTCTACTTATTAAAAAAAAAAAAAGTTAACTATAAAACGGCTTTAGGTAGGTCCTGAGGCAGAAGGTATTCCAGAAGAAGGCCTTGTTAAAAGAGATGGCTGCTTCATGTGTGTTATTACCACTGAAAACTTTTCAGTGGGACAAGATCTGGAGGTGGAAGACAGAGATATTGATGATCCTGATTCCGTGTAAGCCTAAGCTAATGCGTTTGTATTCTAGTTTTTAACAAGAAAATTTTAAAAGTAAAAATTAAAAAATAAAAAAATTAAATAGAATAAAGCTAATAGAATAAGGATATAAATAAAGAAAATATTTTTGGACAACCGTACAATGTGTGTGTTTTATGCTGTGTTATTACAAGAGTCAAAACTTTTTTTTAAGTTTTTATGGTAAGCTAAGGTCAATTTATTATTGAAGAAAGAAAAATATTTTTATAAACTTAGTGCAGCTGAAGTATACAGTGTTTATAAAGTCTATAGTAGTGTACAAGAACATCCTTTGCCTTCATATTCACTCACCACTCACTCACTGAATTACCTAGATCCACTTTCAGTCCTGCAAGCTGCATTCATGGTAAGTGCCCTGTAAATGTGTACCCTTTTTTATCTTGTATGCCATATATTACTGTACCTTTTCTATGTTTAAATATATTTAGATGCACAAATACTTATCATCGTGTTACAATTGCCTACATCATCCAATATAGTAACATGCTATACAGGTTTGTTGCCTAGAAGCAATAGGCTATACCATATAGCCTAGGCATGTAGTTGGCTATACCATCTAAGTTTGTGAAGGTACACTCTATGATGTTCACACAAAATTGCCTAACAATGCATTTCTTAGAATGTACTTCATCATTAAGTGATGAATAACTGTATATAAAACCATATATTTTTATGATAATGATCTCATCTATGTAAAATAAAATAGAAAAAATTGATAGAAATATACCAAAATATTTTTCTCTGAGTGGTTTAAAAAATGAAAACTTCTGTGTCTTCACACATTTCCCTAGTTTATATATTTTCTGCAAGACAAATGCTACAATAAGAGCAGTAGTTTTATTACTTCCTGTATCATATTTACAGATTTGCTTATACAAATTTCATGAAATCTTTTGTCTGTTTCCCTGATTCCCAGCATGCATAGACCCCAGCTTCTCTCAAGTGACACCTCCAACAGGTAGCTCATCTGTGCCCCCAGGTTTGGGCTCTCATTGCCGCCATGGGTCAGAATTTAAGGCACCTTCACTCCATAGATGAAGATTGTATTGGATCAATTTTGCTCAATTTCTCATTTTAGCCTTGTGACTCATTTCCAACTGCTGAGTCTCTGGCCAGAGTCAGGGTTCCATAAACTTCTGTTAGACCCATCCAAATTTGTATCTTCACAAATAATCTGCATACTGATGACTGGTTCTCATTCATTGGCTACTAGCTGAATTTTCTGCATCAGAACCGCTAGTCTCCAAGAATATTACTTGTGCCTCATGCACTGATATCCCTATGGTTTATCTCGACCCTGCTATCCATAGATTCAGTGCAACCTACCATTGCTCCTTCTAGAGATCCATTGCCTCCTTAACTCTTCGTCTTAACAAAAGCATTGCCTTTTATTTAATTATCCCAAGTATTTGCATTTTTGAGCCTTTTAAATGTAACAGTAGACTAAAAGACATTGTGTGTCTTAATGGAAGCTATTTCTAGAAATTGAGCCCAGATACTGGATGACCCTCTAAACATTTTACCTAAAGGTAGCCCTGAAGTGAAAACTGCTTTAGTGGTAAAGGTAAGAGATTTTCCAAAGCAAAGCCAGGCTTCTCAGCCTTTTCTTTATCTCCCAGGCTCCAGAGATACAGGAGCCAAAGTTGAAATAGGGTTTTCACTGGTTTTCTTCCTCGTGAATACCCCCAACCATGTTCTCTATGCAGTTTCTCCACTCCCAGTATACTGAGGCCCATGAATCCTACAGGATACCATTGCAGCACCAGTCACTGTGCAGACTACCCACCTCTACTACCATCCCCCTCTCGGGCCAGAATCACTGCTGTTTCAAACTCTCACTCTAGGCATGACTATATGGACAGAAAAATGAAAAGCAACTGGCAAGGAACATCTGATGGACAGAGATAGCAAGGAGATTATTGATGAGGCTCATGGAGGCAGAGAACCTCAGTGAGAGATGGGACTGGGTCAAGGGGGTGGGGACAGAAACTGTTACCCATGAAAACCAAGTCTTAGGAGAAAAGAAGGAAACCCTACTAAATACATCATTTAGGGTTGTTTACCATTTATGACTAATTAGTCTGAGCACAAAATCAATTCTGAATACCAACTTCAGACTAAAAAACTATCCTTCCAAGTTACCTTAAAGTTCATCTAGGAGGCCGGGCGTGGTGGCTCACGCCTGTAATCCCAGCACTTTGGGAGACGGAGGTGGGTGGATCACGAGGTCAGGAGATCAAGACCATCCTGGCTAACACGGTGAAACCCCGTCTCTAGTAAAAATACAAAAAATTAGCCGGGCGTGGTGGCGGGCGCCTGTAGTCCCAGCTACTCGGGAGGCTGAGGCAGGAGAATGGCGTGAACCTGGGAGGCAGAACTTGGAGTGAGCTGAGATCACGCCACTGCACTCCAGCCTGGGTGACAGAGCAAGACTCCGTCTCAAAAAAAAAAAGTTTCATCTAGGAACAAGAAGAATGAGAATCTTTCAGGTTTCTTTGCTTCAAAAATTATTGCACTGTTAAAGTGAGGTTCTTGACAAATCAAGAAATGGTTCTTGAACTTTAACATGTATGGAGAGTTTATCAGGTGGTAGAGCATGTTGTTAGATACTTTGATGCACTTTATTTCTCTTATCCCGTACATTAGGCCTGTAACACTAAAGCCCTCACCTTTTCTATTGTTAAAAAAATGTAAAAAAAAAAAAAAAAAACTTAAGGCAAATTAAATTTAACAGAGTTTATTTGAGCAAAGAATGATTCATGAATCAGGCAGCATTCAGAACCAGGAGAGGTTCAGAGAGTTCCACCCAGCAGCATGAACAATAAGCTTTTATAGGCTGAACACTGAAGAAAGTATATAAATCATCTGATTGACTACAGCTAGACAGTTGCCTCATTTGGGCATGGTGTGATGAGTCTTTTGACTTATTGGAGCATGGTCTGATCAGTTGCAGCCTATGATTGGGTGAAGCTCAACTGTTTGTTACAAAAGTGTGCTCCTAAATTAAGTGTTTATTTATTTAAGTACTAAGTTATATTGCAGTGTATTACATAAAAACTTAAAGAATGGAGATATTCTCAGGGCAATGGCCTCCTACTTATTTAATCTGACACCATCTCCTAGAAATTACACAGTAATTACGCCATGGACTCCCATATTAGTCATGTCCAACCCTGATGTCACCACTTATAAGCTAAGTGACCACAGGAGTTACTTAAGTTCTGTCTGCCTCAATTTTCTCATCTGTAAATGGAGGTAATAACTGATTCAACCTCAAAATGTTGGTACCCGCCACTTGGGAAATTCCTAATAAATTACCTCACATGTTTTAAAATTTTGTAATTTTAGAAGTTCATGTTGTTCAAGTTAGAGGGTAAATTAGTCATAATGATTTGTCACATAAAGATTCAACAGTTATTTATTGCCTGCTATTTGCCAAAGACTGCAAGGCACTGTGAAGACAACAGTGAACTAAACAGATAAAAATCCCTGTCCTCATCTGGGTAGGGCTGGGGGAGGACAGGGCAGACATAAGCAAGTAAAACATGTAAGTTATTATTTGGTGAAAAGTATTAAAGAGAAAAAAGGACAGGCTTGTAGGGATTGAGGGCTAGGTGTGCAGGCTGCTATTTTAAATATAATAACATTACTTACCCCTTACACAATTTTGTTAATTATTAGTGAGATATTAAGTTTATGATTTTAATTAAAACCATGAATTAGTCTTTCCTAAGTCAACGAGGTTATCTGCTCACAAATTAAAAACATCTACACAAATTTTTGTAGCTATTTATATTTAATGAAAAAGTTTATCAGCATTTCTCACATACTTTCAATGAGAGCACTCTGACCACTTAAAGATCACAAGTAAGCATAAAGTGTCTCATTTTAGAAGTTCTATCGTAATGATAGAAGTACTATTTAAACTCATAGAAGATGAAGGAGTAGGAAACCATGCCTTCAGACTTAGCAAAGATCCTCATTTCTTTCTTCAATCACCTAGTCTGCATTTGCAAATATTGCAACATACATTTCAGACAAAGTTTTCAATTGTACCCTTTGATACAAAATTTCACAATGCAAAATGGTTGCAAAATTCCTCCAACATATAACAATACAATATTTACTTTACTCTCAAAGACTTGGCTTCGAAAGCAGGTTAGTGCAAACCACAGGCACCAGAACATTAATAGGAAAGAGTCTAGAGAGTGGACCTCAGTGCAGATCTGCAGTATCATCAAGAAAGCAGGCTTGTGTGCCCATTGCCTGCCTAGTGAGTGGGAAGTAAACTGCTTTGGGAGCTTCTTTCAAGATTCCTATTTAAAAGGTCATTATTAAGGAAAAGAGAGTCTGCCGTAGGAATTTTGAAGATATGCTATTGTATTAGTATGTTTTCATGCTGCTGATAAAGACATACCTGAAACCGGGAAGAAAAAGAGGTTTAATGGACTTACAGTTCCACGTGGCTGGGGAGACCTCACAATCATGGCGGAAGGCAAGGAGGACCAAGTCACATCTTACACGGATGGCAGCAGGCAAAAAGAGAGTTTGGGCAGGGAAACTCCCCCTTTTCAAAACCATCAGATCTCATGAGACTTATGCGCTATCATGAGAACAGCATGGGAAAGACCCGCCCCCATGATTCAATTACCTCCCACCAGGTGCCTCCCACAACACATGGGAATTCAAGATGAGATTTGGCTGTGCGGACACAGACAAACCATATCAGCTATTTAAATTTTTACATAATGTATCAAAGTTTAATTCCCTTGTTTTGAAATATACATGTAATTCAAAATGGTTCTGATTGCTTCTGCCTTTGACACAGAATCATAGCCATTTTGAAACAGACATGAGGCATGTTCTCTTAACTTAATGAGTATTTACTACTCACTGGAGAATGGTTTATAAGCATTATCTTGTTCCATTCTCTTAAGACTCAATAAAATAATTGTTAGCATATCCATTTACAGTTGAGAAAACTGAAGCACAAAGAGGTTTAAAAAGTTTCTCAGGTACACACAGATAGGAGGTAGCAGAATTGGAAATGAAACCTAAGTTTATGTGACCCTAAAGTTCATAACCTTAACCTTAATATTAAGCTGCTATTAGCCAGATGATGTTTTAAATGAGTCATTAGTATTCTTTTCTTTTTAGGAGGCTGGAATATCTCATTCGAATGGTCCTGCTCCTTTTAAGGAGGAAATTTATTTTATGTATAACTATGACTTCGAAGTTTAGAATAACCCCTACCACCACAAAAAATAAAAACAAAAACCAATGATCAAACACAGAGGAGAAACAATCCCCGAACTACAGGAAATTGCATTCTAAGGGTTGCTATAACTAAACATCTCTCGGTTTTGGAATGTGAATAAAGCTTTCAGGGGTAATGGCAATATTTTAAGTCTATTATTATCCATCGTAATAATAACACTTCTTAAATAAATATTTAATAATAAGCTTAGATTCCTAGAGTCACTGGCACATCTCTTGTTCTCTTCCTATAATCTGGTTTCTAATCTTTCTCTTCAATTTTTAACCTTCTACAGCTGCACTGTCCAGTAGGGTAGCCACTAGTCACATGTGGCAGCTAAGCATTTGACAGGTTGCTAGTACGAATTGGGACACCCTGTAAGTGTAAGCTATCTCAATTGTTAATATCGATTACATATTTAATGATATTTTGATACATTGGGTTAAATAAAATGTTTTTAATTTTATTTAATTTACATTGTATTAGGTTATTCCCAGAATACATGAGATCTACTGCCTATATTTCAAAGGAGTTACTAAAACAGAGATCTAAGACTGAGTAGGTCTTGGTTAGTATGCTAAGCTTTGGTTTTTGGGGAACTAAAATTGTCCCTATGAGCTCGAATTGGGGCTTTCTTATTTACCTAAAAACATATCATTAGGTCAATCAGTTTAATCAGGCTATTCTTCCCTGATCACTAGAATTCTGAAAAGTTAACCCTAACTAAATCCCTTTAATATGTGTGAAAAACTAGACTTCAGTTGTCCTTTCTAATCATGAAGACCACTGTGTTGACAGGATTATTGAGCACTGTGTCTTTGAATCTTCTCCCTGGGAGAACCCTGACAGTAGAAGACCATTAAGAGTTAAGTGGAGGTGATGCCCATCTCTGGATGCGGGCTTTGAGTTTTGAGCTTTGAGCTTTGCAGGAGCTCAAATTTTCTTCGTATCTCCAGTTTTGGTTTTAAATTCATGCAAACTTAGGATTTTACTCTATAACATTTTTTAATATAAAAATCAATTAAAAATTAACACTGGATCCACCAACTTCCAGACTTCTTTAAGTGAGCTCAGGTTTGTGTTAAGATATTTTCAGTTTGTTATTTTAATTCTTAGTCAAGAACTTCTCAATTGATATACCATAACAGAAGCAAGAAGAATATAAAATGTTAACAACAAAAGATGAAGCCTAACACCTTGGATGTTCTGGATGTTCCAAAAATGTTCATGGATGATGAATATAACTATCAAATGAGTAAAGTTTTAATGTCAAAAATATCCCCAAAAAAGTCTATCTATTTTTCTGGGAGCTTATTTCACTAACAAATGCAGGATGTGTCCCAATTAAACCTCAGGAGCACATGGCCTTTATTTACCAGTAAAGTTTGTCCCAGATATTAAACGGTCTTGCTCAACTACAGTTTACTGTCCACAGCCAAGACAGCTATATGTTCCCATAGCATATGTAGTGCAGATGACACAGCTAGTGTAGGCATTTTTCTGCTTTTCTAGTTGCTTTTATATCTGCCCTGAATTCTTACTGTAATATTCACTCCAAAACTTGCTCAATTGATTTCAAGAGGATTTCTCAATAGCTGGTATACCCCAAGCCACTTACTTCGAGTTACAAGAAAACTATGTTCTCATCCTAACCCCACCTGCCTCTT
Organism: Homo sapiens; assembly: GCF_000001405.40. Classification (NCBI taxonomy): domain Eukaryota; kingdom Metazoa; phylum Chordata; class Mammalia; order Primates; family Hominidae; genus Homo; species Homo sapiens. Next base: position 117,444,904 of record NC_000006.12, read on the forward strand.
AAACCTCTACTTCTGTCTCTTCCTCTGGGAACTGAATAGTCAGGGATTCCCAGGGGAACAAGAGAGCCTGGAAATGGGTCTCAAGAGACCCAGTTGTGAGAGCTGTGTTAAGATAGCTGGCCTGTGGTCCCCAGGACAAGCACTGGCCTCATCAGGAGTGAATACTCTTATCTAGAAGGACAGGTACACATTGTTTTCCTCTTCCAAGACTTGAGTTGCTGGACACCAACTCAAACTCTGGACACTTCATTCTCTTCAGATCTTACTGCAACACTTGGAAATTTCAACATGGCAGTCTACCAGATCTAATTCTATACCAACACACTGTGTAAAGATCAGTTCTTCCCCTTCTTAAAACATTTTCGTGGCTAACGCATGTAATCCCAGCACTTTGGGAGGCTGAGGCAGGCAGATCACGAGGTCAGGAGATCGAGACCATCCTGGCTAACATGGTGAAACCCCGTCTCTACTAAAAATACAAAAAATTAGCCGGGCGTGGTGGCGGGCGCCTGTAGTCCCAGCTACTCGGGAGGCTGAGTTGAGGCAGGAGAACGGCCTGAACCCGGGAGGCAGAGCTTGCAGTGAGCCGAGACGGCACCACTGCACTCCAGCCTGGGCGACAGAGAGAGACTCTGCCTCAAAAAAAAAAAAAAAATTTTGCTGCCTTTCCATTTTCCTTAGAACAATCTCTGAAATCCCTAAAGTTGATGTGGTGTACAAGGACTTCCTCAGCCCACCTGGTCACCCTCTCCCTCTCTGACCTTCTTCTCTTACATCACCCTCCAACCAGCCAGACTCCTTCTGGTCCTTCCCTCCCCCCGTGAGCCTTTCCCATAAATCTCCACTGCCTGGAAAGCCCACCCCCCTCCCCAGCAGATTCATCCCACCCATCCCTCACATCATTTCCCCAGGGGCACCTTTTCCAACCCCAAAGACTAAGTTGTTTCTTCATTGTATGGTCTCAGGGCTCCTTGCATGCTCTTTTTGCCTACAGTTGCCACACTTATAATTATTTTATTGTCTTATATAACTTTTTGATTATTTATTTAAAGGATTTATTTCACCCTAGATTGTAAATCCCCTGAGATTAGAGAAGGTTTCACTGCTGATTCCTTGAACAACAATTTTGGCTGATAGGTTCAACCATGTGAAATGGCCGATAGACCAACATCTTGACCTTAAAAAAAGTCAGTTTTAGGCTGTGTGCAATGGCTCATGCCTGTAATCCCAGCACTTTTGGAGGCAGAGGCAGGTGGATAACTTAAGCTGAGGAATTCGAGACCAGCTTGGGCAACATAGCAAGACCCTGTCTCTAGAAAAAACAGAAAACATTAGCAAGGCATGGTGGTGCATGCCTGTGGTCATAGCTACTTGGGAGGCTGAAACAGGAGGATTACTTGAGCCCAGGAAATCAAGGCTACAGTGAGCTGTGATCATCCCACTGTACTCCAGCCTGGGTGGCAGAGTGAGAGACCCTGTCTCAAAAAAAAAAAAAAAAGTTAATTTTATATGATCCAATTCAATAACCATTCAATACATATTTATCAAATAAATACATTAATAAACCATACATTGTGGTTTTAGGTGGTGTGTGTGTGTGTGTGTGTGTGTGTATAATCAGCTACTAATGTAAATTTTTACTTTTAAAAGAAACTCCTTAAGTTCTGCTAACTTTTTAAATGTATTTCATTGGGTTTCATAGATATTTCTCAAAGTTAAACACAACAACAAATTCCAAAAATGGTCCCTACTAGAAATACAAGTTTGGCAATTTCCCTCACCTCCTTTGATCTTAGGTTAATTTTCTATTCTCCTGAGTTTTCTTCATTCTTCTGTGAAATTAAATTCAGCCGCCTGTCGAGCTCTCTGGATCCCTTGCAGGTGAGTTCTGCATGACTTCCTTCTGACCTGTGGAAGGAGGAACAAGGAATATTTCCAAATTTTGCACTGCCACCCCCTTCCCTCCCTGAGCGTTAGGCTAGACAGTAGTGGCCAGAAGCCCTTCTTGCTTCTCTCCTCCTGAAATTGATTCAGCCATTTAAGACTATGACTGTTCTCCCACACAGAAACTCCTCTCCAGAAATGCTTGGCCCAAACTCCCCTAACATTTGTAACTTCGTATAACTCTTTTGGTTCAAGTGCAACAAAAAATGAGTGGTACGGTGATGCCAATTTTGAGGTATCATAGTTAAGCCATGCTAAGTCACTTTAAAAACATTCCATTTTATTCCTCCCACAAAGTCACCCCCTCAGAGACTCTGGATGAGGGGAATACTGAGGGAGGAAAACATCCAGAAGAACAGAAAAAGGCAGTGATGTGGGACTTGAAAAATACTGCACAGAATTCTGTCTTCACCCCAAAGGCTGATTATTATAAATTAAACAGTTTGCCCACCTCAAGCAAGCATTCAACAGGCACATCCTATGTGCCAGTACTGTGATAACCAGCACCTTAGAGGCACTGGCATCCTGGCTTATGAAGCCCAAGGAAGGTAAAGAAGAGATGATTTTCCAGGCATGGTGGCTCACGCCTGTAATCTCAGCACTTTGGAAGGCTAAGGCAGCAGGATCACTTGAGCCCAGTAGTTCAAAGCCAGCCTGGCCAACATGGCAAAACCTCATCTGAACAGAATATTTAAAAAACTAGTCTGTCATGGTGGGTGCATGCTTGTAGTCCTAGCTACTTGGGAAGCTTAGGTGGGAGGAACGTTTGAGTCCAAGAGGTTGAGACTGCAGTGAGCCATGATCGCACCACTGGACTCCAGTCTGGGTGACAGAGGGAGACCATGTATCAAAAAAATAAAAATAAAAAATTTAAATAAGAAGAGATGATTTGATGATACAGAGAAAAATAGGAATGATCTAAAAGAAAGCAACTGAAATGGCTTGCTGCTCAAACTTAAAGCCTTTGCTAAATGCCCATGCTTTGGAGCACTAGAGAATGCCTGCTTTAAATATAGGACAAGAGAGGTGCTGTGCATCATGAAATAAAATGATGCCTAACGGCTAACTGGAAGAAAACAAAGATGAAGGAAGAACAAGTGGTCTAAGAAGAAAGGAGCAAGTCCTTCAGAAAGAAGGTTCTTGAAAACATCACATCCTGTCCCTCATCCCACCTCAGGAGCTGCTTGCGATCCAGGACGCCTGAAACCCTGCCTTTCCAGGGAGATTAGGGTAGAAAGCTCTCCCAGTAACAATCTGCTGATTTGAATTTCTGATGAATAGCAGCTCTGTGGAATTTATCAACATAGCCAGACCAGAGCCACTCTCCAAGGGACAAAGAGCCAGCATCGCCTGAGAGGAGAAGCTTTCTCTCCTTCACCCAGACTCAGCACTTGGTCTGTACCTGGCAAAAACAGGAAACAACAGCAATAATAGGAAAAGGAGAGTGTGCACGCACAACAGTCACAGTAATCCTGCCTTGGAAGGCCAACCAGATCGCTCAAGATCCCCACTCCTTTAATCCTTAATGCTCAATTCAGTGAGCACAATTATGAAATCTGTTTTACAGACGAGGAAACTGACGCTTGATTGATTGAGCCAGAGGTAAAACCCAGATGTGTCTGACACTACATCTCCAAATCTCTATATAGCCAAACATTGCATCTGAAATTCATGGCTTCCTTACTCTCTTAAATCATTTCCAAGTTAATTGATTCTATAGTCTATAGACCTGAAAGTAATTAATCATGGAAATGTTGAGGAATAAACTAGTTTTTCATATACTGCCTTTCTACTCATCATCCCTTTTGCTGACAGTCTGCTGCAATGAAAACATGACACCAAGGATCTATTTACTTTATTTTTAAACAGCTTTATTGTGATATAATTCATATACCATACAGTTCACCTATTTAAAGCGTGCTATTCAGAGGCTTTTAGTATATTTACAGTTGTGCAACCAGCACTGCTATCGAATTCCAGAGCATTTTCATCACCCAAAAAAAAAGAAACCCCGACCCATTAACAGCCGCTCCTCATTCCCCCTCCCGACAGTCCCTGGTAACCACTAATCTACTTTGTCTTTACTGCCAACTCTGGACATTTCATATAAATGAATCATACAATATGTGGTCTTTTGTGTCTGGCTTCTTTACTTAGCACAATGTCTTCAGGGTTTATCCAGGTTGTAGCGTGTGTCAGTACTTCATTCCATTTTATTTCTGAATAATACTCTATTATATGAATATGCCACATTTTCTTCACCCACTTAGCAGTTGACAAACATTTGGATTGTTCTCACTTTTTGACTATAATAAATAATATTGCTAATAACATTAGATCCATTCACTTTTAATTCATCAGACTTTCCTTTTACCCTAAGGGTTACTGTGAGCTCCCATAAGTCTGTAACAAATTGCTAGAAGCAAAAAAGGCTAAAATCCCTGGGCAAAAGAGCCATATGTGTGTCATATGTAGAAACTCTGCCCAGTTTACCAACAACTTTCCCATTTTTAGCCTTAAAGTCCTGGGAAAACTTTGTCCCAGGAAAAATGGAACAGTTGATCATCCTAGACTGGAATTTAGCTCAGAAGACAATTCTAGAAAGTCTATTTCCTGGGATGTTTTTTGGTTTCTGGTAAAGGTATGGTTATATTTAAAGAAACTGACTTATGCAGTAACCATCATTTTCCATACTTTCATTTAACAGGAAACAATTATTTTTAATTTTTAGTGAACAATGCCTAACATTTTCATATATACTCATTTTAGAGTTACAATCGATGAGGCTATTTGCCTTGCATATTTTTTAAGTGGAATACTAGTTACATATTCAAAGGCCTTGTTGGGACCGGGCACAGTGCCTCACACCTGTAATTCCAACATTTGGGAGGCTGGGGTGGGTGGATCGCTTGAGCCCAAGAATTTCAGACCAGTCCAGCCAACACGGCAAAACCCCCATCTCTACAAAAAATACAAAAATTAGCTGGGGTTGTGGCACGGGCCTGTAGCCCCAGCTTCTTGGGAGGCTGAGATGACAGGATCACTTGAGCCCAGAAGGCAGAGTTTGCACTAAGCAGAGATGGCACCACTTCACTCCAGCCTGGGTGACGGAAGCAAGACCCTGTCTCAAAGAAAGAAAAAAAAAATGAAAAAAAGCCTTGCTAGAAGCTGAAAAACTTATGTCCACAGGGTGGCGGTGTAACACTCTACAAACTCGGAATTGAAGTAAAAGCTAAATTAACCAAACTTCATCTTTTATTTGAACTATGCGATTTTATGGGAAAATGGGTAAGACCAACCAACTACTTGTGAAACCAGTTGCTTTATTTTATATTGATAAACAGCCACTTATGGCTAACTATTGATATATCTGAACCACAGGGTAAAGACAAGAAATACAAATTGGATGCCTTTTTCGGAGCTTGTTTTTAAAAATGCTTTTGACAGAATTATAGAATCATAGAAACCTTAGAAATCACACAACTCAGTATTTTCAGACATTTTCTCACCAAAAAAAAACAAAAAAAAAAACACAGGTCATGTTTTCTAGTGCTATATATGCCTGTGACATTTAATAGAATGCAACTTCACCTCTTTCCCTTCACTTAAGAAAGAATATTGAAATTCACATGAGTGACTTTAAGGGGCATTATAAGGGTAATCTCAAATCTTTATTTTTAAATTAACTACTCCCTGGCTTCAATCCTTGATTTTTAGAAATAAATTACTTGTATATGGTTTCCGGTCAATCCCAACACATGAGTGTGTGAAAGTCCTTAAAGTGAGGAAGTATGATCGTAGCACAACCTCTCATCAAATGCTGGACCCACTCTGACAGCATCCTTAGCAGATATCTACCCTCAGGGAAATGGACACGAAAACAATGACCTTTAATGTGCATTGGCTCCATTAGCATAAACCCAGTGTTTGCAAGCCTGACATTTATTTTGCATATTTTTTTCTTCTAGATTCTTTTTTCCTTTCTTCTAGACTCCTTTTTCCCTCCTGGGGAAATGTATACCTTTTCTAGCAAACAGCAACAGACTTGGAATTTAGAAGTTATTTTAGTTTGTTCATGTGATTAAAGGTAAGGGAAAATGTATGCACCAGCCACTTACATGATTAAAAAACAACACTGAAATATCTGAGAAAAACAGCTTCTCTGTTATGGTTTGTAACTGGCACCCCAGGCCAGCTTTCACCTTCTGTTAATAATGAGGCACTATAGGCTCAACAGCTGAGCAAAGATAATTTAGCAAAAGAAAGATAAACACAAACTAAATTTGAACTCAGTGATATATATTTGTATTTTCTAACCTTTCTGTGTCAAATCATGATGTCCATGGAATAAAAAGCAATTTGATCTCTCAGGGCTATTTCTGCTGTTATCTGTTTTCTTCTAGGAGTCTTCAGTTCAATCTTAGTGGTGTTTCTTTCAGCCACGTTGATTCAGACATTTATGATGGCATTGCTGATATGCAAACATGTAGGCAAACATGTAGGCAATGAAAATCTAATCTAGGAGAGACTAAGATAGCACATGTTTAAATTATCTACCCTGTTCTATGAACTTTTGTTTTGACAATCTAAATGCCTACTTCTGTGACTCTTCTAAACAAAACTACTGGATAATAACAATTAGATTGATCTGAGTTGTTTTCATTTGTTTTTAATATTAACAAGTGCCCTCCAGGACTGCAATACTTTTGCTGCAGAGGATCTTTGAGGCATAAAATATATACCTAGGAGTGTGAAAACTCCCGTATTAGTCTGAGTTAAATAATCCTTTCTCTAAATAGTATTGCCTGATATGTGTGAAGTGATCCTTTGCTAATTAGTTAATACAATTACTCTCTTTTCCCACGAGGCCAGGGACTTCCCACTTGGAGAGTTTCTCAATAGATCCTGAAGTTTACATAACAACATCCTGTTTGGTAGAATAGGCGATACAAGCACTCTTCTGAGATGAACGATGCTTTTGAAAACTAAATCTTCAATGTTTCTTTTTGGGATGGTTGCTCAACTTTGTAACAGATTTCAAAGGCCCATGAAGGCAACTTGTCTGTTGTTGGTTGCTCCGGCATGCAAAACCAGCTTTCTGAGCTCATTAAGGTTTGTCCATAGGAACTTCCCCTGGAGCTGCCTATGCTGACGTCTGAAAATCTGAGTTACTATTTTTGAGGTCCTGAAGTTCAAACTAGAACTACCTGAGGGTGGTAATCATAATAGCTTCCACTTACTGAACTCCTTACTACCAAAGCTAGCTGTCTAATCCTTGTGGTTTTTATCCACAGGTGCAAATGAAGAAACAAACTGGAAAGCTCAGTGACCTACTCAGTGCAGAGCAAGGTTTGAACCTGGGCCTGATACTTACCTTGACCTTTTTCCACTGAACCATCCTGCTGTCCTGGGGCTCTTTACACAAGGGAGGACAGAGGCTTGTATGGGAAATACCTATATAGCTAACCCAAGAAGCAGTAAGGCAGTGACATGAGTCCTAATGCAAGTTAGAAAGCTGGACAGCTGTGGCCCCTGCCCTAGGACTACTGAGACAGAACACTTGACCTCCATCAAAGTGTCATCAGTGGTTTTTTATTATAGATATCTCTGACTCTTATCCTTTCCTAAACTTGCCTCATTTCAAGGCTTTTTCTGCTTTACTCATTTTTATGTTGTTTGGAATTTCCATATATCTATTACCTTTGTAATTTTTAAGGCAATGAAGATACTTTTTTTTTTTTTTGAGACAGTCTCACTCTGTCACCCAGGCTGGAGAGAAGTGATGCCATCTCAGCTCACTGCAACCTCCACCTCCCAGGCTCAAGTGATCCTTCTGTCTCAGCCTCCTGAGTAGCTGGGACTACAGGTGCGTGCTACCACACCTGGCTGATTTTTGGTGCTTTTTTTTTTTTTTCTGTAGAGACAGGGTTTTGCCATGTTGCCCAGGCTGGTCTTGAACTTCTGAGCTTAAGCAATCCTCCTGCCTTGACCTCCCAAAGTGCTGAGATTGCAGGCATGAACCACCTGTGCCCGGCGGAAGATACAGTTTTAAAGTTTTGCAAAAATGTTGTCCAAAACTAACATTATAGAGGTATTTGATAGTTTTAAGTGTAGTGTGTGATACAAAGTACTGAGATAATTTATAATTATAATAATAATTATTATTATCTGAGACAGAGTCTCAATCTGTCACCCAGACTGGAGTGGGATGGTATAATCATGGCTCACTTCAGCCTTGACCTCATGGGCTCAAGCAATCCTCCAGCCTCAGCCTCCCAGGTAGCTGAGACTACAGGTGTATGCCACCACACCCGGCTACTTTTTTTATTTGTTGTAGAGACAGGGTCTCACTATGTTGCCCAGGCTGCCCTTGAACTCCCGAGCTCAAGCAATCCTCCCACCCCGGCCTCCCAAAATGCTGGAATTATAGGCATGAGCCACCACACCCAGCAATGAGAGAAATTATGAAATTGAATCACGGCTTTCTGAGCAGTTTGAAGTGAAGATGGGAATCAGCACATTGTGGTCCAAATATCCCTCCCACCATCACCTGTCTTACCTGTAATAGACATTGTTAGGTTTCCTAACAATGATTGAAGCAGGTATGGTGAACAAAGGACTGCTGGTTACACATGCTCTGGCAGCAAGTGTCTGTGCCTCACCCACCCCAGCCCCCTCCTTGAGCCTAACACTAAGGTGATTTAGTTATATAGAGGATGACACTCAAGTCTGTTGCACGCATTAGTTAAAACTAAGAACAGATAAAAGTTCAATAACTCATTTTTTAGGACTCTAAAATGGTCCCATGTCAAAACAACTGTCAAATTATCATATATTCCTGCCACTCACTATGTGACTTTGGGCAAGTCACTTAACATCTCTGCTATCATTTCCTCATCCAAAAATGAAAGGGTTGGAATGTATAATGGTGCATTCTCTTCTAGAATTAACATTCTAGAATTTTAATGTGTACTTTCAAAATTTCCATGGGTCCTCAGGTTGATTGAGAGAATCAGCCCCAGAATGATCGCCAGCATAAAACAATCTATGGTAAGGCCAGCTCTGTACAGCTACCACTCCACACCATCTCTCACTTCCCACTCCTGTTTTCTCACCCCACATTGCAGCAGTTTCCTTCTCTTCTGTCCACCCTTCCTCAATTCCAGCACTCCTTCCTATGCTAGAATCAACTAGACCAAATATTTAGATATGGATTTATCTTGGCTTACCAACATTGACTGATTTTACATTAGAACAAAATATCATTAACCATCGTGCAAACACAATGGTTGCACAAAATAAGGAAAAGCCTTGTGTACTTCTGAAAATGTGTTTTTACCTCACTGAAATACCTGTAGGCTGGGCATGGTGGCTTACACCTGTAATCCCAGCACTTTGGGAGGCCGAGGTGGGAGGTTCACTTGCATCCAGAAATTTGAGACCAGCCTGGGCAACATAATGAGACCTTGTCTCTACAAAACATCAAAAATTTGCCTGGGTGTGATGGCTCATACCTGTAATCCCAACACTTTGGGAGGCCAAGGCAGGTGGATTGCTTGATCCCAGGAGTTCAAGACCAGCCTGGGCAACATGAAGAAACCCTGTCTCTACAAAATATACAAAAAATTAGCTGGGTGTGGTGGTGCATGCCAGTAGTCCCAGATCACCCGAGCCCAGGAGGTGGGGGCTGCAGTGAGCTATGATTACACCACTGCATGCCCGAATGGGCAACAGAGTGATACCTTGTTTCGAAAAATAAAAGGAAGAAAGAAATACCTGTAAAAGTGACCTCAGAACTGTACTACACTGTAGAATTACAAAGGCTTTCAAGTATAATATTTTAATATTCCTGATGAGTTTGAGAAGTAGGTTTCATTATCTCTCTCTGATAGATGAGGAATCCAACACTGAAAAAAATAATTTGATCAAGAACTCACAGTTAATAACTATGTATGCAAATCTATTAAATTGAGATCCTCCAGGGTAAGGCCATGAAATACAAATTTCTATCTCTAATTTTAATTTCCAAGATAATTTACTTTGGCTTGTATAAATCAACTTTATGACTTTTTTCTTGAGAAATATTACCCCAAAATATCCACTCCAAGAATTATAACTAGGCTGTTGATGTTTACCTTCTTGGAGATGCCATTGGTGTTTTATGTAATGTTTTGTTTTGTTTTAAAATCCTCTTACATGCCATACCAGAGAAGGTGTTTAAAAAGTATTTTTTAAAAGAAGGCGTGGGTAGAAAGATGGATGGATGGATGGATGGACGGATGGACGGATGGATGGACAGTTGGATGCACAAATTAAACATCAAATGAATGAATGAACTTGGAATCATTTGTCTTTTCAATTATTGATGAGAAAATATTGCAACATTTTTATTAGAGCCACTTTTTGTTTCCATTTATTTAGTAAGCACTTTTATGCATTTATTTAGTATTTGCTCACTTTAATCAAGCATTGATAATTGAAAATATAAAACTGAAAATTACTCCTCTACTTACGTTCATCCAACCCCATTTGATGTACTTAAAAGCATCAAATGACAAATTGTTAAGCTTTTTATTTATTTAAGACCAAAAAAACTTGACAATAACCATCTCCAAAGTACTCAATCTGTCAGAGGCAGAGTTCAAGCTACTATTGCCCATGCTAGTTGACTTTTTTTCTACAAAGAAGAAAAGTAGAAAAGCAATTTATCCTACAATTATTAAAAGTTAAATATATAGATATTGCAAAAGCAAGTTTTCACTGGGTGTATAAAAATTTTGGGTAAAGATGGATTGAGCCTGGAAGACTGTGGGAACCAGGAAACACAGGCCTAACCAGCTCTTCTGGTACAAAAGAATTGAATTTAAAATGAGTCAGGTTTAACACTGTAAAATGATTCCTCAAAGTCCCTATTATAACTTTACATATATAAAACCACATTTTATCTGCATTTAAAAACTTTATCTGTACGATGGTCAATGTAGTCACAGTATAATAATTGTATTTGAATAGCAACATTCCTGTGCCAAAAATCAAAGCTCAGTTTTGGAAGTTCTGGAGGGATATACACAAAATATAACAGTGGTTATCTGAGGAGGGTCAGGAAAGGGAATTAAGAAGACACAAATCTAACTCTGTCCTATACTTTTTAAATGTTTACCTTTATACAATAATCACATACTGCATTTTAAGCATAAAAATATTTAACTTTTTTATGTTCAGTTTCTGGAGTATGTGATAAATAATTCCTAGCAGATTTCCACTCTGCATTGTAAAGATATCTTCTCATGTTTATATTGATTCCTTCTAATTCAGTGTGCATGAAGATCTAAGCATTTGAGTGAATATAACGACTCCAGAGATCAGATGTGTATTTCTAACACACTAGGAGATGTGTGTTCTAATGATCTTAGAAACATTACTGCCAGCCAGAGTTTTCAAACACGCTCACAGTTTCCTCAAACTAGAACAAAAGAAATTAAAAAGTTAAAGTCATTATTATCATTCTAAGATGGAAAGAAGTTTTGCAAACATGGCCATATATGTAATATAAATTTATTACAGATTACTATTTAACTATGTTTCACCTGATCAAAGTCTACCATTGCATAATATAGAACAAACATATTGCAAATCCACAGCATTCTATAAAGCAAGAGAGCATCTAGGATAATGGTTTAAATTGAAGATACTTCTTTGTTTAACACACTTATATGTTTAACTGGATTTAGAAAAGAGCTTAGAAGTACAAAGCATCCATAATAATAAACTAGGCTTTATTATTTAGATCACTGCAGAGAGGAATAAGGTGTACATTTTTAGAAGAGTAACAAAAGTAGACTTTATAAATATATAATTATTTTAAGATAGTAATATCAAACCATATCTCATCAAATAAGACTGAGGGATGAGGTGTTGCACATTAGCTATTTTTCAAATAGCTGAAGTTAGCCATTTCAGATGACTTTTTTTAAATGACAATCTATTGAAAATGGATTAGATATTTTCTTACCTAATGAGCAGAATACGGAGCAGAAATTTGCTTTGTCCTGAGGCTACAGATGTTGGTTGTTGTACTGGACAAGGCTCTCCTCGATGGCTAAGGTTTCTAAGTGCTGTTTGACCCTCTTGCTACCTCCTGCCCATTGTTCCCAGTATGTCTGCAGCCCTCTTTTCATTTTTCCTTCTAGAATACCCCACCCTAGTAACATAGTAATAATTGAAAATGTCCAGCGAAAGCCTGATAAGCAAGCTTGTTTAATCTGTGATTTTAATTTTACACACAAACCTGAGTCAACAGATTCTGATAGGAAGCTCCGATAACAACTACACTCCTCTCTAGTGGTGAGAATAGTACGTTTACTCCTTAGCTCAATACGCTGCTTTTTGTTAAGTCCAGGCTGTACCTTGATCCAGGTGGATAAGATGATAGAAAAATTGGCTGGCAAATCATCATAATAACAAAGTTCAAGTTACTTGCGTGCCTGTGAAAGCTGTAGTCTCCAAGAGGGGCTCCCAATTAATAGCACCCCTCTTACCTACCCAGTGATGAGCAATTTGAGTAAGAAAGTAAGAATAGAAGTCATTACTAATTAAGTTCAGCTGGAAGTGTAGAACCCAAATGGGCCTACTGGCTAAACCACAGAATTAACATTTGCCCACTCAATCCTAGGAGGCCCAAACCTAAGCGAGTCCTCACAACGGAGGCTGGCTCCCAAAAGAAAGACAAAGAGCTGAGCTATGCATGTTTCAGGTGTCTTTCTAAATTTACCAATACCTCTTTTTTTTTTCCAGTGGACAGGGAAAAGTTATTTACTAAATCAGTAAATGAATGTTTGTGTGAATGAATAAATTTGATTCTTCCTGGATGATGAGTGGGAAATTTAAAAAATGTGGAACACGTCACAAATTTGCGTGTCATCCTTGTGCTGGGCCATGCTAATCTTCTCTGTATCATTTCAATTTTAGCATATGCACTGCTGCCGAAGTGAGCACTAAATTTACCAGTGCCTCCTAGCTGCTGTTTGCATTCAATCTACTCAGCTTTCAATTCCATATAACCAGCCTTCCCTTACTTCTTCATCTCTTCCTCCTTTAATTACCTCAGGTGCCAGCTAATCATACTCATTTCAAGGCACGGCATCATCAAGGTCCATACCCAGCCCCTTTTTGTTTATTTACATATGTATTATTTATCTACCATCCCTGCTCTCTTTCCAGCTACAGGCAACAGTTGTAATGTGGTTTATATGCTTTCTTGAATTTGTGTGCAACCTTGTAAAAAAAAGTATTGTTGTTTGTGTATGTTAAACCCTTCTATAAAATTACATATAATGGTTCCAATCTGCATCTTACTTTTCTTACTCTATACCATGTTTTAAAGACCTGTTTGTGCTGTTACATGTACATCTAGTTCATTGCTTCTAAATGTGATATTGTGCTCCATGGTGTGCATCCACCACGTTGTACTTGCTCATTCCAAGTGATGGACATCCTAACTCCTCTACTTCCTCATTCATGTCCTGTTATGATCCCGGCAGGGTAGTAGAGCTTTGGGTACCTAATTTGGTTGAAGACTGCAAAATCACTGTCCATAAGCTATACTAGCCTACATTCCCTCCAGCAGTGCAGAAGGTTGCCTGTGACCCAACACCACCACCAAATGTTGTATTATCCAACTATTTTTGCCACTCTCGTCACTGTAAATTGGTATCTCATTGCACTGAAAATTCGCATTTCTCTTGTTACTAAGAAATTTTGACAGCTCTTTATACACTCGTTAAGCATTTGGATTTCTGTGAATGATTGTCATATTTATTTTTCTCATTTTAAGTAACATTCTCTGTATTTTTCTGAGGAATTTGTGGATACAAACATGTTGCAAACATTGGTGTGTGTTTAGGAGTTACAAATATCTTCTCCCAATCTTTCCATCCTTCTATAAATTTTGTCCATTGCATCCTTTACAAAATAGAAACCTTTAATTTTTTTGCAAGAAAATTCTGAAATGATATTGCCTTATGGTTGCATTTTTCTTCTCTCTGATACCAAAATGAGCCTATATTCCTTCCTATGACAGTTTAGGATAGGCTATTCAAGTTTATTTTTGCCCCTCACAATCAAGTTACATGATGAGTTTATCTATGATCTCATTAATAAAAGATTCATATAACCTACATATCTACATACAAATAATACCTTTTTGCTTTAGATGAAAAAAAAGGTTGGTTTGTTTTAGTATCAAGGTTGTGTGGGCAAACAGACTTGGTAACTGTACAGAATAGGAGTTGAATAAGAATCTCCTCCCCTAACTTCTTCAGTGGATATGAACCAAATTACTCTAAGCAGTAGATTAATAAATGGGAGAAGACAAAATGGGCTGTCCAGACCTGTCTAGAAACCCACAAATCAAGCCGAGCCTAAATCAGGCCTGAGCCCAAATCTCAAGGGCAAAGACTCAAACTAATTTATCATCTTTAGATTGACATGGAAATTGCAAGGCCTTTCATTGTAGTCTTGCCTTGTGGTCCTCCAGCACAGTGTGTGCTTTTAACACACTTTTAAGTGCTTTTAAGTGCTTTTAAAGGTTTCAACAACCTTTAAAAAAAAAAGTGCTTTTAAAGCACTTTTAAGTGCTTTTAAAGGTTTCAACAACCTTTAAAAAAATTTTTAACTTTTAAATTTGAGATAATTTTAGATTCACATGCAGTTGTGAGAAATTATGTAGAGAGATCTAGTGTACACTCTTTACCCAATTTTTCCTACTGATACCATCAACAAACAATTGTGCAATATCACTACCAGGATATTGATGTTGATACAGTTAAGACACAACCATTTCCATCACCACTAGCATCCCTTTTGTTGCCCTCTTACAGCCACACCACTTCACCACTGCTGCCCCCTACCCCTTACCACCTGGCAACCACAAATGTACTCTCCATTTCTACAACTCTGTCATTTCAAAAGTGTTATATAAACAGAATCATATAGCACATGATGTTTCGTTATTGGCTTTTTTCACTCAGCACAATATGGAATGAATTGGCAATTTACTCAAGCTGATGTATGTATCAATAGCTTCTTGCTTTTTTTGCTGAGCAGTATTCCATGATATGCATGTGGCACTGTTTAACCACTCATTCATTCATTGAAAGACATCTGAATTGTTTCCAGAATTTGGATATTATGAATAAAGCTGCTATAAACATTTGCGTACAGGTTTTTATGTGAATATAAGTATTCCTTTCTCTGTGATAAACACTTATGAGTGTGATTGCCGGTTTGTATAGAGTTGCATGTTTAGTATTTTAAGAAACTGCCAAATTATTTTCCAGAGTGGCTGTACCATTTTATAATCCCACCAGGAATGAATGAGCATCAGTTTCTCTGTCTTCACCAGTATTAGGTGTTGTCACCATTTTATTTTAGTCATTATGATAAGTATTACTGATAACATATAGTCTTAACTTGCACTTCCCTAAGCTATAATGATGTTCGGCATCTTTACATGTTCTTGTTTACCATCCATATATCCTCTTATGTCATATGTTTCTTCGTGTCTTCTTCCCATTTTCTAATGGGATTGCTCGGTTTTTTTACTGTTGAATATTGAGAGTTCATTATATGCTCAGGTACGAGTCCTTTGTCAGATATGTGGTTGGAAAATATGTTTTCCATGCTGTAACATGTTTTTTTATCCTCTTAGGCTTTTTTTTTTTTTTTTGCAGAGCAAATTTTTAAAATTTTTACATAGTTCCATTTATCAACTTTTCCTTTTATGGATTGTGCATTTTAAGTAACAAGTCTAGGAATTTCTACCTAGCCCTAGACACTGAAGATTTTCTCCCATGTTTTTTTCTAAAATTTCATAGTTTTAACACTGAAGATATAATCCATTTTGAGTTAATTTTTGGATAAATTGTGTTTGTTAAGGTTCTTGTTTGTTTTTGTTTTTGTTTTGCTCACAATACGTACACCAACATAGACCATATCCTGGGCCATAAAACAAACTTCAATCACTTTAAATAATTGAAGTCATACAGAATGTGTTTTCTGACCACCATGAAATCAAACTAAAAATCAATAGCAGAAATATCTCAAGAACTTAGAAAAAGAGGAGCAAACTAAAACTAAAGCAAATAGAAAGAAGAAAAGAATAAAGATAAGAACAGAAGTCAATGAAATTAAAAACAGAAGGCCAGGCGTGGTGGCTCATGCCTGTAATCCCAGCACTTTGGGAGGCCGAGGCAGGTGGATCATCTAAGGTCAGGAGTTCAAGACCAGCCTGGCCAACATGGCGAAACCTCGTCTCTACTAAAAGTACAAAAATTAGCTGGGTGTGGTGGTGGGCGCCTGTAATCCCAGTTACTCAGGAGACTGAGGCAGGAGAATCCCTTGAACCGAGGAGGTAGAGGTTGCAGTGAGCCGAGATCACACCACTGCACTCCAGCCCGGGTGACAAATGTGAGACTCCATCTCAAAAAAAGGAAAAAAAAAATTAAAGACAGAAAAACAATGGAAAAAATAGGTAAAATAGATTTGGATCTTTGAGAAAATCAACAAAATTGACAAACCTTCAGCAAGACTGACAGAAAGAATAGAGAGAATATATAGATTACCAACATCAATATATAAAACAAGGGATATCATTACAGATTTTGCAGACCTCAACAGGAAAATGATGAAATACATTACTATAAACAACTCTACACACATAAATTTGACAACTTAGATGTAGTGAACCACTTCCTTGGAAAACAAGAATTACTACAATTTACCCAATGTGAAAAAGATAAGTTAAATAGCCCTTTAGCTATTAAGAAAATTGAATTTATAATTTTAAAGCTTTCAAAAAGAAGTCAGTAGGCCCAGAAGATTTCACTGGAGAATGCTACCAAATATTTAAAGAAGAAGTAACATCAATTATACACAACCTTTGGAGAAAAGGAGGGAACGCTTTCCAATTCATTTTATAAAGCTAATTTTTCTCTCATACCAAAACAGACAATATAAAACAAAACAGAAGAAACAACTTTCAGGCCAATATTTCTCATGACTATATACACAAAAATCCTTAACAAAATATTAGCAAATAGAATTCAGCAATATATAAAAAATGTACACCATAACTATGTTTATTCCAGGGATGCAAGGCTGGTTCAATATTTGAAAATTAATCAGTATAGTTCACCATATCAACAGACTTAAGAAAAACAAAATTTACATGGTCATATTATTTGATGCAGGACACACATTTGACAAAATTCAGCAGCCACTAATGAAAAAAACTTTCAGAAAAATAGATATAAAAGGGAACATAAAAGGGAACATTCTCAACTTGATAAAAAAAATCCACAAAAAAATCTATAGCTAACATTATACCTAATGGTGAAAGCATGATGCTTTTTTCCTAAGATTGGGTACGAGATAAGGATGTGTTCTCCTCTTACTGTTCTTATTCAACAGAGTGCTGGAAGTTCCAGTCAGTTCAGTAATGCAAAAACAAAAACAAAGCAGGCAAGGAAAAAAATAACCAAAACAAGCAAAAGAAAAGAAAAGAAAAGCATATGTAAAGGAAGAAATAAAAAAATAAGACTGTCTCTATTTGTAGATGACATAGTTGATTATGTAGAAAATTCCAATGAACCGACCAAAAATTTCCTAGGCAGCATAAGTGAGCACTTGAAAACAAATATGTGTTCTGCTGTTAGTTGGTGAAGTGTTCTATAAATGTTAAATAGATGCTGTTCATTGATGGTGTTGAGTTCTTGTATGTAATTTCTGACTTTTTGTACAGTTGTTCTATCAATTGCTGAAAGAGGGGTGTTGAAATCTCTAATTATAATTATGTATTTGTCTATTTCTTCTTTCAGTTCTATCAGTTTTTGCCTCACATATCTTATGGCTCTGTTGTTGATATCCACATATTTTGTATTGCTACATCTTCCTGTTGGACTGAACTTTTTATCATTTATATATGTATAATGTCTTTATCCCTGATAATTTTCTTTGCTCTAAAGTCACTTTATTAGATAATATGGCCACTCTTGCTTCTCATTGATTAATGTTTGCATGATATACTTTTTCCATCCTTTTGTCTTCAACCTGCCCATATCATCATATTTGAGGGGAGTTTCTCGTAAACAGCATGTACTTGGGTCATGGGGTGACTTAAGTTTGCCATTATATTTTTTCTTTTCTATTTGTTCTTTCTGTTTTACATTTCTCTATTTTCTTTTCCCTGACTTTCCATGCATTACTTAAACATTTTCTAGAATTTCATTTGGATTTATCTATAATGTTTTTGAGTGTATCTCTCTATACCTTTTATTCAAGATATGGAGAGAGAGAGATCTTAATCATAATCTACTGATGCCGTTATTTTTCCTGTTCAAGTGAAGTATAAAAATGTTACCTCCTTTTACATCCTTTTACTTATTTCTTTTGTAATAAGATAGTCTTATACAGTATATTTCTTCCACATACATTTTTAAACACATCAGGATCTGTCTGAAATAATAATAATATGATAATACTATATTTTTGCTGTACCTGTTTAATGTTCAGATATGTTTAGATACACAAATACTTACCATTGTGTTACAATTGCTTACAGTATTCAGTGCAGTAACATTTTGTACAGGTTTAGCCCAGGAGCGTGTACCATGTAGCCTAGGTGTGTAGTAGGCTATACCATCTAGGTTTGTGTAAGTACACTCTATAATTTTATTAGTTCATTTTCACACTGCTGTAAAGAACTACCTAAGACTGGATAATTTATGAAGGAAAGAGGTTTAATTGACTTACAGTTCCACATGACTGGGGAGACTTCAGGAAACTTTCTATCGTGGCAGAAGGCAAAGGGGAAGCAGGCACTTTCTTCACAGGGTGTCAGGAGTAAGAGAGAGCATGGGTGGGGAACTGCCAAACACTGTTAAACCATCAGATCTGAGAACGAACTCACTATCATGAAAACAGCATAGAGGAAAACACCCCTATGTGTCAATCACCTCCCACCAGGTCCCTCCCTTGACATGTGGGGATTACAATTTAAGATGAGATTTGGGTGGGGACACAGAGCCAAACCATATCAAAAATGCTCAAACAATGACGAAGTCACCTAACAATGCATTTCCCCATCATTAAGTGACACATGGCTGAATTATGTTATGAGACCCAGGAATTTATTTATACTTTCTCTTTTAGCTGGCTTTCTCTCTGATGCATCTCCAGCAGAAGAGTGATGTACGGCCTCATGGAGCTCTCAGGTGGAGGTAGAAGTCCAGGTTCCCCACATGGCCTCCTTGACATTTGAGGTGGGGGGACATTTGTGGAGTCAGTGGAGACAATGTGGAGGGGATGTTGGGATGCTTTGTTACAGCCTCAAGAGGGTGAAAGTCTAGGTGCCCCACTTTGCTGGTGTGAGTGACAGTAGGGCCACATTTGACTGTGGTGTTTGAATGGATTAGAGCAGTTACTATCTAAAAGTTTTCCCTCATGCTCTGCTGACCCTTTTCTGATCCTTTGACTAGAGAGGACTGGCTTTTGTTGGTTTTTATTTTATCATTTTTGTTTTGTCTGTGCCTGCTGGTGTTTGCCGGTTGCAGGCTTATTCAGTTCTAAGTCTGGTGTATGTAAAGCAAAAAGGAAACCCAGGTGACTCACCACTGTGTCACTTCTCAGATCCCAATATCTCTAGGCAGTCTGCCTTCTCTCTTCCTTCTAAAGTCTTATGTTTGTACTATATATAATATTCTGCATTTTTAGTTATACTTAGAGGAAGGAATAAGGAAAAGTGTGGCTACTCCATCTTCCCAGAAGCTGAAGTCTAATAGCTTCTTTTTATATAACACATTTTTAGAACACAGCACATTGTACATTTCTAGAGCAGATTTCCCACAGAGCGAATTAAGAGGGTTATGGGATTTCTGTGATATGTGAACATACAGAAGAACAAGGGAGAAATAGGCTTTGCCATCATGAAAGACAGGAAGGCAGAAAGGAAACAGTTGTCTCTAAAATAATAATCTAGTCACTCTTGTGCACTAGCAGAAGAGAGCCAGTGACCTAGTATAGTGTGCAGAAGTACCTGGCTGAGACTCCAACAAAAGCTTCAATTCCTCAGCCTGTCATTCCCAGTGTTGTGCTTTTATTCTGTGAGCATTGACGCTTTCTTTTAATACCTCAGTCAGACATGCATGAGAAGCATAACAGGGGCCTTGCTATCCCACATGATCAGATTTTTTTACCCCCAAACCAAACTGTTTAGTTTGCTTGGCTCTGGAAACCCCCAACCCTAATTCTACTTGTGGCCTAGTCGTGACAATTTTCTTGGTCTCAACAATTCCCAACATTGTGCCATTTTGTCTTTGGCAGTTCCCTGTTACGTTCTAATTGGAGATCAGGCAGATTAGCCTCCTTCCAAGGAAAAGCAAGACGCTCTTAGTCTCCCAGGGAAGGTCTTGTGACTCCAGAAAACCTAAGCTTATGCTCTGAATCCCAGTTACACTCAATAACTAGAGAAGAAAACTTAAGAATATAGGTACAAAGATGTCATGGGTCCCAGGCCCCAAATCTGATGAATAGTACTTAATTCCAAGTCCCATTGTTAATAAGGAAGAATATCAAATGTGTCCCAGCACTCAGGGGAAGTCTTTGGAATAAAGCCAACTGGGTTCACCTTCAAGGAGGGACAGAAAACCTTGGCTGAGGAAATGAGACAGGATTGATATTCTTAGTTTTCAATAGCTCCTCTTAAAAAATAAATCTTCAGTAAGATGTGATCAGTTACCATCTGAAAAAGATCTCTGAGCTGCAACAAGAGAGCAAAGCTTTGTAAAAATGGATCATAGAATAAGCATGGAGGACCCTTTAAAACTGCAAAGAGGAAGAGTGTGGAAAGGAGGTGGAGGAGAAACTGTTTAGCTCATATTTTAACCACAGTCTGCCAAATTTGTCTCCTTAAAGATCTCATTTGGTAAGTTTGAGAAGGCAGTAAAGAGCAGGGTGCCAAGACAGGGAGGAAGTGGTGGCACACACTTGTGGTCCTAGCTACTCAGGAGGCTGAGGTGGGAGGATTACTTGAGCCCAGATTGAGGCTGCAGTGAGCCACGATTGCACCACTGCACTCCAGCCTAGTTGAGAGAGAGCAAGAGCCTGTCTCAAAAAATAAAGAAAGAAATAAAGACAGGGGCAAGGAGAGGGGAAAAGGAAAGTGCCTGGGATCAGACTGCTTGGCTTCCAACAGGAGTTCTGCTAACCAAGTGTCAGGGCTTCTGGATTCTTTATAACCTGCCTCTCAATCTCCTAATTCTATGTTCTCTATCCAAATAGAAGTTCTATTAACTAAGGGAATAGTTGTCTGAATAAAGACTTTGGAATTAAACCTCATAAAGGATTCCCTATTTACTTAGAAATCTCTGCTAAGAAAGATTATTCAACTTCTTGATCTCAAGATTTTTATCTCTCTTGTTTTTCTCTGAATATTGATCATTTTCGTTTGGTCTGGAGTCATGAAAATGTTTAAATCACATGACACAACATTAAGATTTTCAGAGAAAATGGAAAAAAAAGATCTCTTTAAAAGGCAAAGCCTCTATGCTCTCAAACTTGCTGAAAATTCAATCCTTCATGTATTTAACTAAATAAGGAACTTTTCTCAGGATACAAATTGTAAATGTAGGAGATAAAAGACTATAGAAAAGTGTATGATAGGTTTTTTTAATTAGTAAAATTTACTTTTAGAGCAATTTTAGATTCACAGCAAAACTGAGTGGAAAGTACAGAATTTCTGTACACTCCCTTTCCCCACACACTAACAACCCCCGCATTAGCAACATCCGCCACCAGAGTGACTTTTGAATGGATACTCTCATTGTCCCATGCTTCATACCTTTCCTCTCTGTGGGCACTGCAAAGTGTTCATGGGTGTCCTATTCTTGCCCCATCCATGTCAGATACCTGTATTTGAGAACTCTCAGATCTCAGGTCTGAACATCTGAGAGTCACAGTGGGAGGCCAGGGGATGGGAACCACATTTTTATTGTTTCTATTACTTTTTAAGCTTCCAGTAATACTTTCCAGACATCCCAAGAGATTGCCTCCACTTCCTTGGAGTCTCACAGCATCCTGACAGCCACGCAGGAGGTGTTCCGGGTCATCCATGCCTCCTTCTTGTAGAGATGAGTGAACTGAGGCTGAAAGATGGGGAGGGGTTTGCACCAGGTCATGGAGTTGTGGAACCAGGGCTAGAACCCAGTTTTCTTTGACTGCCTGTCCAGCACCTTCTCACTGTGTCATATATCACATAAGCATAGCAGTTGAGGGCAGGAACAGGGCTGTGCTAAGGGCTCTTCAGTTCTCCTACTCCCTCCTCTCAGCCTCCCCTGCTCTGACCATATTGGTTTTAATTTCTCAGAGGTTTTAATCTCTCAGTTCAGCCTAAAGGCTGAAGGTCAGTATCAGGTTCAGTATTGGAAGACCCTCCAGCCCTCTACCCAACCAATGGTAACCTCTGCCTCCTGCTGTCCGATCTCTGTTAACTACTTGCTCCCCAGGGTCCCTCTCCAGCTCTTTCTACTTTGGTTCCTGGCTCAGATGGAGGGGCCCAGAACAAAAAGGGTGAGGCACTGCAGCCTATTAGCTGAGCCTCCTGAGACTCAGCTTCTGGGTCTGATCCCAACACTCAGGTCAATAGTTTGTGGCTATTATGAGTGAAGTGGAGAGTTCTCCATCTTTATCTTGTGGGCTCTGAATGATGGTTGTACTGTTATAGATGTGCATGACTCCAGAATTTTCCCAGAGTACAAGGACCCTAGCTCTGCCTGACACATGGATGTTGAGCCTCCACATTCCCCTCCTCTCCACATTACCCAGGTGAATGCCTCAAGGCACAGTGGAATCCCAGCCTCTGAGCAAGAAATAGAAACTCTGAAGACAGTAAAGCCTGGAACTCTTCTCCGGCTTGCTTTATCAAGCACTGCACATTTGTCTGTCCCTTCAGTTTCAATTTCTTTTTTTTTTCCACTTATTATAAAGGACATTGCAGAGGATGCAGATGAAGAGACACATAGGGTGAGTTACGAAGGAAGGGGTGCAGAATTTCCATGCCCTCCCTGGGCATGCCGCCCTTCAGGAACCTCCACATGTTCAGCTATCCAGAAGCTCACTGAACTTTCTCTTCTTGGGTTTTTATGGAAGCTTCATGACGTCAGCATTCTTTCCTCCAGGGTATAGGGTGGACCCTCTCATGGGAGGGTCTTAAGACCCACAATCAGAAAAGTAGGGGGACATTAGAGGAAAAGGAGGGCAGGAAAAGGTCAGAGGCCTGCCCCTGAGGCCTGACAAACCCAACATTATAACAAAAGATTGCAACAAGGACGATGGGAGTTGTGAGTCAGGAACTGTGGATAAAAACCAATACATATCACAACACCACAGCCTCCCCACACTGATTTTGTGTTTTTTGTTTTTTTGTTTTAATTTGAATAGTTTTTGGGGAACAGGTGGTGTTTAGTTGCATAGATAAGTTATTTGGTGGTGATTTCTGAGATTTTGGTGTATCCATCACCAGAGAAGTGTACACTGTACCCAATGTGTAGTCTTTTATTCCTCATCCCCCTCCCACCCTTCCCCCGAGTCTCCAAAGTCCAATTTATCATTCTTATGCCTTTATGTCCTCATAGCTTAGTTCCCACTTATAAGGGAGAACATACAATGTTTGGTTTTCCATTCCTGAGTTACTTCACTTAGAATAATGGTCTCCAACTCCATCCAGGTTGCTGTGAATGCCATTATTTTGTTCCTTTTCATGGTTGAGTAGTATTCCATGGTGTATATATACCACATTTTCTTTATCCACTCGTTGGTCAACGGTCATTTGGGCTGGTTCCATATTTTTGCGACTGCAAATTGTGCTGCCATAAACATGTGTGTGAAATATATACTACACACAATCATTAATAATTAATCCAGTTCTTCAGATTGTATGAATGTCTCCCAGGATGAGGCCACTCAGGTTTGCAGGCTTCCTCTCAATCGTGTCAGCTTCCAAAAGCAAAAGTGGCCATGGTAAATATAAAGCTTCACTCTTTCAGGCAGCTGGGAAAATTGAGCTAAGAGACAATATCATCTCTTGCTCTGAGACTATTTTGCCTTGTTAATATAAAATTAAATTTTCCTCAGTGACCCATTTATTCATGTCTTTACTCTCAGCTACGATTTCTCCTTCTCTCCTGTAACACCCAAACTTTTTGCCTTTGGAAGGGACACTAGAATCACCACTGTGCTGGTGTAGATTGTAGGGAGCAATACAAATCTATCAAGTAGCTCCTCCTCAGTTCATTCCCATTCAGACAGGGTAAGGTTACATAGGTGCAGAACTAATAAGCTATTTACCACCAGGCAATATAGCTGCATTCACTCCTAACCCCAATATTGCTAGAGGGAGTGAAGGCACAACCTACCCCCATTACGCCCTTAGGAATTTTGACATAAAGTTTAAAAACATAGTTACAGTTTTTTGCTTATAAACCAACGCTGCTGTGGCAACTTGCAGTTGCAGCCCTGGTCTTAGGACCTCAGCATCAGGTAGAGGGGAAAAACTAATTTTTTTTCGAGGTGACAAGGAAGAAAGAAAAAATTATAGTCACTATACCAATGTACTCCTCCCTTGGCAAGAATTGCAACATCATACCAGCATCGTCCCCACTTCCTCTTCCCCAGGTCAACCAGAAAAACAGAGAAAAAAAATCTAGCAGCAACACTCTAGTCCCATTCATGTTGAGTGCGAGCACCCACTTGTGAAGGTGTGTAAGCCAGCCCTTCATGCTTTTATTTCCCCTTGTTTTAGACAATCAATGTTTCAAGTGCCCATTCTACTTTTCTATCAAACTATCACTCCAACATGGATAACTGTCTGCTCATTGTTAGACTTTATGGGCTGTACAGTGAGTTCCTCAGTCTGAAGATACGATAGCCATCCAGACAGTCAAGCAATATCTTCTGTTCTGGTTCTTTTTATGGCACTCTGAGCATTTTCATCTTTCATTGAATAAAACTTACTCCAGAGTCAGTGTCTATTCCTGTCAAGACTCATCTGTAGCCCCACAAGGCTACTAGCATCAGTCTTACTTGCCCACCATGTTCAGGGACTTCCCACCAGAGAATGTGCCTCATAGCCATCAGCAGTCTCTGTCACTCTTGCTGAGAAACAGAATAGTTCTTCCTGGCATTTTGTGCCCGAGAGGTTGCAAAAGGAACATGAATAGATTCAGCCCATCTCTGCACTGCTGTAGTACCCACTCATTTCATGGACCCGGGCAGCCACCTCAAGGGAAAACATGGGGATATCTGCTTGTCGATTCCAGTCACCTTCTGAACCTGAAAGTTCGTTCTTCTTATGGGCATTGACTTGTTCTACATTAATGCACCCCTCACATCTCCATAGGGCTTGCTCCATAAGGGCATCCTTTTAATAGGCCAGGTTTCCGTTGCCCTCTTCCATGAGTATGGCCAAGCTATTGGTAACTGCCAATGAGTCAGTAAAAACTCAAATTCAGGGGCTTCTACCACATTCAATTTGCCCATCACTGTTGGAAAAGCAGCATGCAATTTAGCCCACCAAGCAGATCTGTTTCTACTTTTTTGTCAAAGTAGCGACCCTTCAGACAGGATGGTGTCCATTTACCTTTGAATTACCATTCGCAAACCAAGCAGCTCTTCGTTGGTCAACTGAGAGTGGTTTATTGGGCACTGTAGAATCCAGCAGTTTTTTACACACTTTCAGAGTCAGTCCTAGGGGAAAAGAAACTCCCTGCTGGAGGGTATCTCCTTCTTGCATTCCCTAAGTAGCAAGATCCTCCACAAACCATTTCCATTTTATTATGGAACTCCTCTGGGCACTGCCATCCCCATTAGAATGTTTCTCTGACATCACTCAAGATGGTACGGGTATTTCAGGTGCCATAGGATAGCTTCAGCTAACGTTTCATAGCAAGGCAGTAAATGCTTCTCATGTGGAAATTCTCTAGTCCAGTCTCTCAGTAGGTGTTGCTGGGAAGAGCTCAGAGGCTTTTGCCATAAGCTCCAGGAAATGCTCCACAGAGGGTTATCAAGTGGAGAATTTGTCCCCACCAGCATTCTACGTTCTGCTATGCATTGTGAACGCTTGGGCAATCCCACTGGTTCCCATTAAACAGACCTTACGGTGGCTTTTACCCAGTCCACCAGGCTGGCTATTCTCTCAGGAATAACCTCCTGTGTGTCTACACCACATATTCATCTGCAATTGTTCAATGGTGGTCTGATCCCAGCCCAGCCACATGGGCTGCTTGAAGGGCAGATTTACATGCCTTTCGTTTTATGGTACCTGGTATGGGAAACATTCCCCAATCAGATACAATGTTCATTCCCACAACACAATCAGGTAAAAGAGATGCAACCACTTCGCATGAAGTGTATTCAAATATACCAACTTTCTTTCTTTTTTTTTTCCTTTTTTTTTTTTTTTTTTTTGAGATGGAGTCTTGCTCTGTCGCCCAGGCTGGAGTGCAGTGGCGCGATCTAGGCTCACTGCAAGTTCCGCCTCCCGGGTTCATGCTATTCCCCTGCCTCAGCCTCTAGAGTAGCTGGGACTACAGGCGCCCGCCACCACGCCTAGCTAATTTTTTGTATTTTTAGTAGAGACAGGGTTTCACCGTGTTAGCCAGGATGGTCTCGATCTCCTGACCTCGTGATCTGCCTGCCTCAGCCTCCCAAAGTGCTGGGATTACAGGCTTGAGCCACCATGCCCGGCCGACTCATATATACCAACTTTCATAATCCTGTCAACCCTTACATTTTTATATCCTAGTTTCAGGAACATCTTTTCTCCACGCCCAGACCAATTTACCCTCTCTTGTGCAAAAGGCTTTGAGTCCTAAGCTAACGGGGACTCAAAGGGCTGAGCCAAAGGACCCTGGCCCTTTTGTCCATCTTTCTTGATTGGTGGGCCTGACTATTGCCCTAGGCAGTTTCAAATCAGATTTTTCATTATAATCTCTGTCTTCCAGCTTTTAAAATTTCTCCAAACTGGGAGAAATACACCAAGGTGGTTTGGGGCCCTTTAAAGATGGTGGACAAGATGGGGGTCCCTTTGGTCCACCCAACTTTCAATGTGTTCTAAGTCCTTTGTTCTAACCCATCAATTTCCATTTTATTCATTTCATTTCTGAATAACCATCTAGAGATCTTTATCTAGGATGAGTCCCATGACTCTCCCTTTCTTTTTCTTCTTAGTTTTACCCCATCACTACTTTCTTTATTCACCTTATTTCTTAATAACTGTTTAAAAATTTCCACCTTCCTGGATGAGTTTTTGACTCTCCTTTTTGCCTTTCCCAATTCTCTTGTTAATTAACTTAGTGTTTTTCTTAGCATCTGTAAGACTTGGCAAGCTGAGGCAGCAAATTTGACAAGGCTTCTTGAACTGTTGTTCAGTTCTGCAGGACTCACATCACATGGAGTACCCATGTAGAAGGGGCCCCCTTAACCACAGCATTTACCATGACTTGGGTAATAGACATATTCAGCAGGTGAATATTCCCATCATCACAAAGCCAGTCCCACATGGCTTGCATACAAAGCATATCAGCTGCTTCATCTGGGGTGTTCTACTTGGAATTTCTAGGTGGTGTTGGATAACCCCTCCCTCAGATTAAACAGACCTAAGGTGGCTTTTATCCTGTCCACCAGGCTGGCTGTTCTCTCAAGAATAACCTCCTGTGTGTCTGCATCATATATTCATCTGCAATTGTTTAATGGTGAGCTGTGGGTCTGGCATTAACCGAAACACACTCTTCCACTCTGCAGCATTTAAAACCGAAAATACTGCCCCTACGTTAGTCACTCTCATAATCCATTTTATTATAGCAAAGATTCCACAGGAAGCTAATGTTACCAATCTACAAAACAATTCCTTCATACTGTGTCCTCTGGTTTCAATAGTTACTTGGTTTTGCCCTTCTCTCACATTGACTGCCTTCTTGGTAACCACAGGTCTTAGAGGTACTTTCTGTTGTTCCTGCATAATTCTGCCCTTGGGGGGCATCTTTGAGGCTGGTGGCCTAAGCCCAGATTGAAATCCAACACAGCATTCTCTTTTAATTTCATTTTAGCTGTTACAGATAACAATAACCAAGAGATTGAAGATTTCACTTTTTCATTATTAGTTTGTATTTCCTTATACATCTAGTGAACCAACTCCTGGGAAGTTGGACCATCTCTAAATTCCACTGCTAACTTTTACCTTTAGCAACTGATCTCAACACATTGCAGCTTCATACCATTTTTACCAGAAAGGGGCCTGGATCCAGACCCCAAGAGAGGGTTCTTGGATCTCGCACAAGAAAGAAATCAAGGCGAATCCATAAAGTGAAAGCGAGTTTATTAGAGAAGCAAAGAAATAAAAGAATGGCTACTCGATTGGCAGAGCAGTGGCATGGGCTTCTCAACTAAAGATACTTATAGTTGTTTCTTGATTATATGCTAAAAAAGAGGTAGATTATTCATGAGTTTTCTGGGAAAGGAATGGGCAATCCCTGGAACTGAGGGTTTCTCCTCCTTTTAAACCATATAGGGAAACTTCCTGATGTTGCTGTGGCATTTGTAAGATGTCATGGCACTGGCGGGAGTGTCTTTTGGCATGCTATTGTATTATAACTAGTGAAAAATGGTGTAATAAGCAGTGAGGACAACCAGAGATCACTTTCATTGCTATCTTGGTTTTGGTGGGTTTTGGCTGGCTTCTTTACAACAACCCATTTTATCAGCAAGGTCTTTGTGACTTGTATCTTGTGCTGACCTCCTATGTCATTCTGTGACTAAGAATGCCTAACCTACTGGGAATGCAGCCCAGTAGGTCTCAGTCTTTTTTTACCAGCCTCTATACAATATGGAGTTGCTATGGTTCAAACACCTCTGACATATTTCTCCCCTCCCTTTTACAAGAGAACCCTTAATCCTAAGAGTTATGGAGAGATGAAGATTCATTTTCTGTAACTTCTTCAGGCTGAATGGGGCAATGATATTCCTGTCTAATTATTAGGGTCTCTTGTATTCAGGGTAGAGAGGAACTCATTCAGAAAGCATCAGTATGTCAAGGGGCACTCATAACTCTTGAGCTCTGGCAGAAAGTAATATCAGGAAAATTAATGTGTTCAATTTAAGAGAACATTGATTAAGCTTATCCTGCATTCCTACATATAGAGTACAATAACAATATATTCCACAAGAGTAAAGCTAAATAAGTAATACTATCCCAAGTAAACTAAATAAGAAGGCTTTCCATGAACTGGGCAATTGTTGAAACCAAGCTAATATGGAGTCACTAGATGATTCCAATACCTGCCCAGAATTAGAATACTAATCCAGATTTTTACATTACCCATCTGTCTTGTTTCTTCTGAGCAGCAGCCAGAGATCACTTGTTGGTTCACAAGAATAAGCGGGGTTAGTCTGAATTGCAGGGAAAAAAAAAACCTCAAAAACAACTGACGAGACTAGAATCTAATAACGGCACACCACAGTTTTTGGAACATAATTTTTCTCTCTCCAGTCTCCCATTTTTACTAAAGACAAATCATGGTAAGACCGATATGCTTTTTTCTCACTCATACGTGGGAATTGATCAATGAGAACGCTTGGACACAGGGTGGGGAACATCACACACCGGGGCCTGTTGTGGGGCAGGGGGAGGGAGGAGGGATAGCATTAGGAGATATACCTAATGTAAATGACGAGTTAATGGGTGCAGCACACCAATATGGCACATGTATAAATATGTAACGAACCTGCACGTTGTGCACATGTACCCTAGAACTTAAAGTATATTAAAAAAGACCTATATGCTTTATTATGCTTGGCCTGATTATCTGTATACAGTACAGCAAAAATAATTATTTTTCACATAGGCGTTTTCAGTTGGCTTTGATGGAACTCTGTTTCATAAGGAATCTCAGAAAAGACTTTTTTTTTAAAGCTAAGCCCAGTCATGGGTTTGTACCCTCAAATACCTATGAGTTGGGTAACTTCCTCTCCTCTTGAAGTCCCAAGATAACCTGGGGTTCCTGGGCCTGTCGGAAAGTGACATTCTTTACCTATCACACGTCAGGAACCCTGTACAGGGACTGTGTAGACAAGGTATGAGGCCAGTTTTCCCAAGGGACTTTTATTGGCTCTGTAAGTCAAGTTACACTCCTTAAAGGAAAACACATAATTCCAGTTAAAGCCTTGGTAAAATAACGAGTTTCTCCAATTGCATCCTGTTGCAAAAGAAAACATTCTTATTGCACTTATGCAAATAATTATATTTCCATAAGTTAAGGATATTCACAAATAGTCTTCAAATTCTGGAAAAATCAGGTAGAGAGAAACAAATATGCTCCAAATTTTGCTCATGGGAGTATACTTTATTCAATTGCTAAAAGCTGCCAATAGCTCAAAAGTTCTCTTGACTCTGAAAAACAAAACCAAGGATCTACAATATTTTAAGCAAAAAGTTAAAAAAAAAATACTTCAGCCTTCTACATGTTCAGTCCATGAATATTCATGAACATTCCAGCTCTCCATGAAAGTCCTGGAAGTTTTTCCTCTATTCTAATGTCACAGTCTCCAAAGTTATCAGAAACCTGCATTCAAGAGCACCTGTCAAAGTCCTATAGCTGACTATAAACTATCTTTTGAAGAGAATCCAAACAAGACAATAACTGTCTGTGGATGACAAAAAGTCCTAGGACAGCCATTATTAAAACCACAACTGACTAGAAATTTTGGTTACTTCTGTGGCATAAAACAGTTTTATGTAACAATGATAATTATTAATAACATAGACTAAGTCCTATCAGAATTATAGGAGTTTCCCATAATTTTGGAACACATAGCAGTAACATATTTATGCAATACAACTCAAAGAAAGCCAAACACCATTTCATATTTAACAATGCTTCCTGTATGATTTTTATACCAAATAAGCCAAATGTCATTTTTGGACAGTGACCCCCTAATATCTAAAAGATTAATTGCATCAGAAAAAGTCACAATTTACAATTTGATTTTGGAAAGTTTCTCAAATATCAAATCCTAGGTTACCAAAAGTCACTCATTTAGCTAAAATGGGAGCTCAAAAAAAAATTTTTTTTTGAGTTGGAGTTTCACTCTTGTTGCCCAGGCTGGAGTGCAGTGGCACGATCTCGGCTCACTGCAACCTCCGCCTCCCAGGTTCAAGTGATTCTCCTGCCTCAGCCTCTTGAGTAGCTGGGATTACAGGTGTCTGCCACCATGCCTGGCTAATTTTTGTATTTTTAGTAGAGACAGGTTTCACCATGTTGGCCAGGTTGGTCTTGAACTCCTGATGTCAGGTGATCTGCCTGCCTCGGCCTCCCAAAGTGCTGGGATTACAGGCCTGAGCCACTGCGCCGGGCCACAAAAATTTTTAAAAGACAAAAACGTTTACTCATCAATAGAGGGAAAACTTAACTTTCCAAACAATCTGTCTCTTTCTTTTTTTCTACAGTTTATTCAAAAGGGTAGACAAAAAACTTTCTTTTTTTAAAATATTACATGAAAATCTTGTTCAAGAGAGAGAGCCAAATTTACCCTTGCCTTAGTGCACTATTGATGTCAAACCTAATTCTTAATAAAACCTTATAAACAAATCTATCCAATCTTAATCATTATGACCATAACACTAAGATTCTTATAAACCTTTTCTAATCCTTTACAATTTTTGTGACAGAGCAGACTAGTGTTGTAAGAAAAAACCTGTTGTGCTTTTATTCCAATGTTCAATTTATGAAAAAACTAAATAATACTCCTTTAACTTTTAGCTAATATGTTCATATACAGAATTTCTTTTACAAGATTAATTTTTCACAAACATTCCACAACTTGCCCAAATCTTCAGCTTTTTCCTATCTAACTTAAAACAATCCTTTAACCTTTTAATCTAGGCAAAAAATCCACATTCCCATGGTTTCTTATATAATCTTTACCAAAAACACATTTCACTTTCCTTACACAACTTGCATGTAAAACTGTTTTTATTTCCCAAAGATTACTTAAGTTATGTGAACTAAAAGGCATTACACTTCTTACTTTTCTGACGAAATGTTTGGTTTAAGCACTTATTATTTTTTAAGCCAATTAATTAGAGCTCCTGTATATATAAACATCACATGCACAACACAGATAAATAGAAGAAGATCTACTAGTTGTAAGATTTTTCATTTGCCCGTGTTTCTTAATTGAATTACTGGCTTCAGGGTGGAACAGGGACAGGAAAACAGGCAGTTTCTACAGCCTAATAAGCAGGCACAGCTGGAAGGCAAAACAGATTCCCCTAAAATTAAGGGTCCCATTTTATACCAGATCCTGGATCCCCAAAATGAGAAACACTATGGAAAAAGACAGTACAGTGATTTTACTGTGCATTTCATTGCAAAGCAATCTAAAGCCAATCAGTCCATTCTGTGATTAGCCCATCCCTCATAGGAGTCTTATCTCTGGGTGTGTGGGGGCTGGGGAGACACATCTGCATACCTTCCAGGTGGCCAAGAGCATACTTCTCCAATCCAAACACCAAAGAGTCAAGTATTCGCCCATAACTGCCATTAGCCTTTCCTAAAAGTATATTTCCTACCTAGTTATTATACACAAAGTAGTTTTTGATACCCAAGAGTCAAAACATCAGATAACACAATGTAATGCAAAACAGAACAGAGCCTAAGATTTTGAGAGAGATCTATCCACTTTCAATTACTGATTTCTCTGAGGAAAACAGAGGTTTTTCCCAGTGCTGGATCTGGGGCATCTCCTCTGTTTTTCCCAAGGAGTCCCAGGCTGTTAGAACTTGAATATCCACTTTCAATTAAGTGGACTTTTCACCATAGCACTCTTTTTTTTTTTAAAGTCCTTTTAAATCTCTTACTACCACCTTTAGCCATGCCAAACTGCCAATATTTCTGGCTTTTGAACTTTACCAAAAATAATCTCACA
Organism: Homo sapiens; assembly: GCF_000001405.40. Taxonomy (NCBI): domain Eukaryota; kingdom Metazoa; phylum Chordata; class Mammalia; order Primates; family Hominidae; genus Homo; species Homo sapiens. The sequence continues at coordinate 117,477,880 of NC_000006.12, forward strand.
GGTGAAACCCATAAGCCTTAACTATTAAGCTACAACATTGGGAAGTTTCCATTGCACTTCCCAGAAGGAGTCTAGAGCAACCAATTTTGAGTTTGCAAAGGCATAAATTTTGGGAATAACTATGACATGAACCCCCAAATTCCTGCTCCCTGGATGGCAGAGACCAAGAGAAAGTACTGCCACATGGTTACAAGGTCAAGCTCCCAAGGACATTTTTCAACATGTGGTCTCTGGGCAAGATGAAAGAGTGAACAGTTAACCTAACAGAAAAGTTAGAAAAGAGAAAGAAGAGAAAGAGAAACACAATTAGGAAACAGCTGTCCTGGGGTTGTCATAAGAACCAACTCAGATCAAGTATATGAAACTTCTTCAAAAACTACTTCTTGAAATGACACAAATGTATCGCATGTAGTACAGAGGCAACTAGAATTTAAAAATAGGGCTGGCCCTGGAAAGTGATACCGTAAATTAGTGAATAATGAATCAAACACAATGACGGAATAAGGGAGAAAGCCTGGATAGGAGAGGCATGCTTGCCTCAATAGCATGCCTAAAGAAGGAATCGTAGGACAATGGTAAGTTTTATCAGAAATGAAAATTAGAGAAAGGCCACTTTGGGAGGAAAGTGTTGACTGTGCCCTGCTGAGCTCTGCCACAGGGAGGGAGGGGTCTGACCTTTGTAGCCTAGCTGTTTAGTGCTTGTGGCAAAAATATCCACATGGGGGTGACAAAGACTCTCTGTGACCAAACAGTCAAGCTCCCCTGAGCCTTCTTTTTATCTAGGCATTGTCCTTGAACCCTGTCTTTGGCCTGCCTAGTCCAGCTTTAGCAAGAATTCTGCTAAGTTAGTTCAGAGAGAATACCCCACCCTCTGTATTGGATCAAGTTTCTCCTCCCTTATCTTTGACATATAAGTCCTTGACCTGCATTCAGCAAGAATCCCATTAAGCCAGTTTACAAGAATCCCCTCTACCCCGATGTCTCCTCCTAGTGATTTTTCATCATGGACTCCCTCACCCTGCCCACTGGATTCACTGAATCCCTGAATTCAAAGTTGAGCCTGATTGCTCCTCTATTGCCGTAATCTTGACACCTATTACAATGCAAATCTGAACAAGTTTCTACACTTTCCCTGCTTCCCACTACCCCCCAGAACCCTGAGATCCTGCTTCTGCCTCCCACTCTGTATTCAGGCTCAAGTTCACTGATAATGTAGGCTCAATCTTTTTTTTTTTTTTTTTTTTTTGAGGCAGAGTCTCGCTCCCGCTCTTCGCCCAGGCTGGAGTATGATGGCATGATCTCGGCTCACTGCAACCTCTGCCTCCTGGGTTCAAGTGATTCTCCTGCCTCAATCTCTTGAGTAGCTGGGATTACAGGCACCCACCACCATGCCTGGCTAATTTTTGTATTTTTAGTAGAGATGGGGTTTCTCCATGCTGGCCAGGCTGGTCTCAAACTCCTGACCTCAGGTGATCCACCTGCCTTGGCCTTCCAAAGTGCTGGGATTACAGGTGTGAGCCACTGTGCCTGGCCAGGTTCAATCTTCATAAGCACCCTGTGATCTCTGTTTCTGAGCTTTAAAAATAATATCTTTTCCTTGTCTGACAAACATTGTTTTCCTTCTAATTAATATCTTCACCTCTCCCAGGCCCTGCCAGACTTTTAAAATCCAGGTTATATGCCCTTCTTCTGTGATTCCATGGTACCCTGTACCTCTGCTATCCCTGTGCCTATCAATCGATATAATTCATTTTGTCTGTATAATTAACTTTCCCAAATTTTTATTATTAGATCATAAATCAGGAAGAGAAGGTATTTATTTTTATTGTACTGCTGTCACATTGTTTCACATATGGAAAATGTCTAAAACATTGGGAATTACAATTGAACTTGAGATTTGGGTGGGGACACAGATTGAAACCATATCAGACATCTATAAGGGCTTCAATTTTATAGCTGATAGTTTTCTTCATAGAGTCACAGGCAGGGTTACTAAATGTTAAGGATAAATTGAATTAGGTCATTGAACTGGACTACAATCTATTTTGAAGCTGTCTGTTTAGAATCATGCTAGGTTTGCAGTTCTGTTTAAATTCTGTCTTACCTAAGCAAGACAGAACACATAATTTATAATATAAAATAAGGCAGCTCCTGACCAGCTGTTATGTATTTTTACAGAAGAGCTGGCAAATGTAAGCATAAATTGCAGTAAGATATGCAAAATAAGGACTGGATGGCAAGTGGGGGGATGGGTTAGAAGTGCAATAGCCTATGAGAGACACTTCCCTAGAGATATTTCCCATCTTAGTATGTGAAATGTTTATAGGTAGATCCTAATAAGCATAATTTTTCTTAATGGAACTTGGTTCTTAGATTCCATCATGCATCATTTTAAAAAATCAAAGTGGAATCGTCTCAAGATTAAAACAAGTATATTAATTCAACAAGGCTTATTTCATTGTATAGAAAAATATACTGTAGTTCCAGCTACTCAGAAGGCTGCGGCAGGAGGACTGAGACCAGGAGCTGGAAGCTGTAGTGCACTGTGATCAGGCCTGTGAATAGACACTGCACTCCAGCTGGGCAACATGGTAAGACCCTTTCTCTAAAAATGATACATACATATACATATACATGTATACACACACACACCCCAGTATATATATTTTATAATCTGTTGTATTTTCACTTTTTTCTTTTATTATGACTTTCTTAACTAGAGATTTTACATTTCAAGGAAGGAATGGCATGATGAAATCAATAGGATCTGGCTGGTCTTTCTGTTTCTTCATTGTTACCAGATCCTAAATCTTTCCCCTTATCTGGCTCAGGATTCAGGTGTACAGCAGATAATTCCATTCCCATCAAGGTACTGACTGAAGTTAAAAAAAAAAAAAAGTCACCCCTGAAAGCCCACCTGCCTCACATTATGAATTCCTCACTGTTAAACAATACTCCCCATTGTCTTTGCTTCATTCATAGCTCACAGTGTCAAACCTGTTGGAGCCTGGAAGCAGCTGCCCAAACTCACTTAGAAAGAATGAAGAGAAATAAGAAAAAGCGAAAACTGAAGTTAGGAGGAGACTCAACGTATCAAAGTATCGTTCTGTGTTTTTGAGTGTAAGAATACTCAATATTTTTATGGGTGTGAATTTACTTTCTGTTAAAAAATGATAAAACCTACCGTTTATTAGGTACTTTCTCTACATGCTAGAACCCAATATACACATTCAGTTAGGTACTTTCTCTACATGATAGAACTTAATATACAAATTCAGTATACACTGAATATACACATATATACCCAGTTTGATTCTGGACCTCAGCTCTTCAACAAAGCTGAGGTCCAGAATCAAACCGGGATCCCCTCCATTTCTAAAGCCCAAGTTCTTTCATCTAAGATATGCTGCCTCAGAGAAAGCAAAGCCCCAAAGACAATCTCATTTGAGATTTTATCAGCTTGTTTATTTAGTTAAAAAAAGAAAAGGAAGAGGAAAAAAGGAACGCATGTATGAAATGAGTCTGTCCAGGGTATCCAAAGATCACGAGGGGCCAATGTTTGCCATTGGAGGGGCTGTTGCTTCCTCTCCGCCTCCACGCTTCCCTGCGCTGCACCTCTAGGTGAAACTTCAGCGTGCCGCGCGGTGGTGCGAAGGTGAGGGCAGCGCGCAGAGGAAGTAAACGGGGACTACAGGGGACCAGAGACGTGAGATAGTCCTTAAAATACATATCTAATCTGTCCTCGTCATTTTCCACTGCCACCACCCTATTCAACTACTCGGTGATAACCCTGTAATTCTCCAGTCTCCAATCTGTCCTCCCCAAACCCTTCTCCGCAACTCCTCAAGAGGATCATCGGGTGGAGTCCTTCCCCCTTCTGAACCTTCCGTGGCTGCTCACTACTCCGAGGACCAAGTTAAACATCCTTTAGGTTATTTAGCTGCACGTCCTGGCCCCTACTCTGTACACTAGCTTCTACATCTGGCCGTGTACCCACCTGTTCACTGTGCTCCAGCTACCTGGCCCTTTCCTCCTTCAGCTTCTTTGCACAACTTGTCTGTTTTGGCTCCTGCTTTAATCTCAGCTTTGATGCCACTTAGGCCTTTCCTAGCTGATTCCCGCCCTCACCCCTGTTACCCGCCATCTAATTACAGCTCTCTAAATGTGCTTCAACAGCACCTTTCATGTCACTGATTGCAATTTGCATTGAATACTTGCCTGATTATTTTTGTCTGCAAGTGCCACATGGGTTTAGCCCTGCTCCTGACAAGCACACTGCTGAACTGAGTAACTTTTGAATGAATGAATGAATGAGTGAATAAATCAGTGAAGGTCCTACTTGGCACTGTCATCATCCTATCATCAAAATATTTCGAGTCCCTCGGTGTTGCTATCCCTGGCATGCCCATCCCCGCGGGCTGGCAAAACCCTGGAGGGGGCAGCCTCCCAAGGCACCGCCGCGGGCTCAGCCCATCTAGGAATGACTCCCGCACCACGCGGCGAGGGGCGGGTCCGGCGGCGAGGTGTCCTGCTGCCTAGCAGGTTCACGTGTACTGGTGCAGGTGGGGAGGAAGGCAAGGAAGGAGCGCAGCAGGGCGCGCCAGATACGTGGAGGGGAGCGCGGGCGGCGCCTCGCTCGCCTCCGGCTTCGCCGTCGGTCACTGCCTGGGAACGCGACTTCCTCCTCTAGGGGCCGACGTGCGGGGCGGGGCGGGGCCGGGCGGGAGACGCCCCCGCAGGGCTGGGCTGAAAGCCGCCCCAATGGGATTCGGTGCGGGGCAGCGACTGCGCCCCGTCCCGGCGCCGCGCTCGTCCGCAGAGGAGGCGGCCCGGCCCGGGCAGCTGCGGCTCGGGATCCGTCGAGGGGAGGCCGAGCTTGCCAAGCTGGCGCCCAGCGGGGTCATGGTGCCCGGCGCCCGCGGCGGCGGCGCACTGGCGCGGGCTGCCGGGCGGGGCCTCCTGGCTTTGCTGCTCGCGGTCTCCGCCCCGCTCCGGCTGCAGGCGGAGGAGCTGGGTGAGTGGAGCGCGTCCGGCTGGCGGCGGGACCCGAGGCGCCAGGGGCGGGCTGAGGGCTGCGGGGCGGGCCGGGCCGGGCCGAGGGCTACGGGGCGGGCCGGGCCTGGGGGGACGGAGCGCGGGAGGAAGTCGGGCTCGCCGCCTGCCATCCGCGGAGTCCGGCTCTACCCGCGGGGCTGGGGGTGAAGTAGGTTACTGCATTCCTTGTCGCTCCCCCACCAAACTCCTTCCTTCCCCCAAAACCAGAGAATTAACCTGGCGTCTCTGCACTTTCTCTCCGCCGCCCCCCAGCCCATTTCACTTAGTTTCCAGACTTCCTGACTCTGCTGGCCCCGTGAGAAGTGACCTGACCCCGAGGGTCGCCTTAGGGGACAGCCGTGTGCAGGGCCAGTTCTTTCCAGCTGCCTTTTGACAAAGCCGCTCCTCGGCCGGCGCTGGGCCCTGCCCTCCCTGCCGTCGCTCCTCCCGCGCGGAATTGGAATCCCGGCGTGTGCGTTCGGGGCTCGTGCGGAATGGCCGGGGCACGTTTGCCGAGGTTGGCCTTGGACGCTGGCGAGCAGGCGGTGCTGCCACCTCCTCTCGAGTGTCCTGCTGGCGCCGCAAGTTGGAATCGTGTGGCTTCCTGTGTATTTGAGCCGGTAGACTCTCAACCAGGCTGCTTTTTCTCTGGAGCTGGTCTTTGACTTGGAGTTAGACCTAATTAACCCACAACCGAGTTTACCCTCTGCCTGTCCAGCATATTAAAGCAGCAACCCCCTTTACCAGCCCTGGGTGTCCCTATTTCATTCGTCCTCATTAATTAGTGCTTTTTTTTTTTTAATAGCAAGGGCCAGCTTTCTGCCGAGTTGTTTCAGTGTTTCCTCTCCTCCCTTGCTCCTGGCCGTATATGCCTGAGCTTATTTAATGGCGCTGAGTCTATCCGGAGTACTTTGACAGCTCCCCCAACCACCATGCTTTCTGGTGAAACAAGAATCAAAACTAAAACCAATGCCGGCATTTTTTTCACTGAACTATGCCTCCATTCTGAAACATTGATACTCGAGATGGTGGTGGTGGTTCCTAAGTTTATATTACATACCAGTTTGTTTAAAAAAACAAAATCCCCAAAACCCTAAAGTGATTTTGTCTGGTACTGTAGCACAATACTAGGCAGATTGTAAAATTGTAATAAATACGTAAGATTTTGTTAAATGCGTAGGACTTTTATAATGGATGTTTTAAATATTTTTATTTTTTTCTCAACTCACAGTTTGAAGGTGCACCTTTAATACTATACGTCTGTGAGAATCAGTCCAGCAGTATGTTCCTGTACTAATCTGGCCAAAGCTGTCACTTATCTTTCCCAATAAAGATTTAGATTTTGTATGGTCATCCAGGCTGTTAACTGGGCACTTTGTGAGAGCGGTTCTCTAGGAACAAGTGTGATTGCTTAGATTCTTTTTAAAAACCTATTATCATTATTGTTATTTTTGAGACAGTGTCTCACTCTGTCGCCCAGGCTGCAGTGCAGTGGCACGATCTCAGCTCACTGCAGCCTCAACCTCCTGGGCTCAAGCAATCCTCCCACCTCAGCCTCCTGAGTAGCTGACACTACAGGTGCATCCCACCACACCTGGCTAATTTTTGTATATTTTGTAGAGACAGGGTTTAGCCATATTACGCAGGCTGGTTTTGAACTCCTGAGCTCAAGTGATCCACCCACCCCGGCCTCCCAAGGTGCTGGGACTACAGGCATGTGTGGTTGCTTAGATTCTTACTGGGCTTCAAATCTTTATAATTTTATAATGTTAGGGTTGTGATAAAATGCTACCATCTGTGTTATAGGCAATTTCGTATTAGACTTTTATTTATTGTGTGGTTTTAGGAAACAAATGGTATAACTTAACCTGAATGTTTATAAGCCTAATCAATACAATTAATTAATTTTTTGTGTGTCAGAGTCTGGTGACCCCATAAAGCTATACTGGGTCCTTTGTAGGGCAACTGCTTGCCTATCTGGTGTTTTTCTTGAATTAAAGTTTTAAAAAAGTGTCCACCCCTCCCGTTGTTTGCAGCCAGCCAGGTCCAGGCATTGGGGTTTAGTGGCCAGAGCTGGGATTATTTCGGCTCCTTATGCCCTGTTCTTCTGGATCCGTTTAACTAAAGGTACATATTTACATAGATTGTTTCACATAATTTTGACCTTTCATAATAAGACATTAAGTTGATCATTAGTTTTTATTCCACTTGTATAAATTCGTAGGTTTGGATTTAGTCCAAATTTATTACCTTGATATACATTTTTGTAGAATAAAATACCCTTCATTTGTGTAATGAATTTGTGCAACCTAAAACTCCCTGCTTCTCTCTCCACCACAAGATTTGCAAATGGTTATTAGCTAAAGTATTCCCTTGTGATTTAAGTGAAGAATCAAAATGAGCGCTTGATCTCTGAGGAAACTTCCAAGTGTAGATTCAAATCTTGCATACTTAAGAATTGCTTCAAAACCCTCTGCCCAACTCTTAATTTGTTATTTAGAAGGTCTGCTGTTAAATCATCTGTCATTTATTTTGGGTTAGACATAGGATCAGCTGATAGATGATGTTTTAGGTGAGTGGCTTTTTTAAAAATCAGCACAAATTTATTCTGTCACCTTCTGTACCAGTGTGTGCACTCACCCTTCTGTTGTCTCATCTGGACAGCTAGCCTTGTAGACTGTAAGATCCTGAGGGCAGAGACTGGGACTATATAGTCTTTGTCTTCCTAGTATCTGACAAAGGTGCTCAGTGTTCCTTGAGTTGAACTGAACAATCTCTTTGTGTTTAGGATATATTTTCAAATGACTTCCTAACTAATGGAAACCAAGTAATAAAGAGCCTACTGACATTCTTTATAAAGGTGTACATCTGCTGCTTCTACTAATTAATTTTGTTTATCAAGCCCAGCTCTCTTGGCATGCTTATTTCTATATGTAAGGATGCCTTTTAAATGAAAATACAGCAGAAAGAAGGGAACATGCCAGCAGAACAATATGTACAATATCTTTTGGCTCTAGTAGATATAATTTGTAACACTCAGAAACAGTGAGTTATATATTAATATTTCAGAGAAGAAAGAGGTTATGTTAAAAAATTCATTAAACAAATCAAATGGTATGTTTAAAGCAGAATTTGAACTCTGAATAATGTCCCAAACTGTTTTTATTAACTTTTCATGTTACAATTTGAACCCTTTAACCTTGTGGAACTGACACAGACTTGAAAATCATTTTAAAAAACCACAGCTTGGAAATTAGTAAGGCATCTGACATTTATGAGGAATTATGTCTTATTTTTAAGATACATGGGGGCATGAATTTAATTGCAGCATTTAGCAAAGGTTTTAGTTGTGTTAAAGCAGGGAAAAAAAGTTTGTTCTGGGAAATATACCCCATAGTGTTTACACCTATTTCTACATGTGTCTTAAAGCATAAAGTCAACTCTGTACGTATTAGAGCAATTAGTTGTTTTTCTTTATTAAAACAAATCAATAAATGTTAGCTATCTTAGTATTCATTACTGTTTATTACTATTGATTTGACAAATATTGAGGACTCTTTGTTCTGTCTCCTCCACTGCCTCTCTGACTTCATTCCCTGAAATGCTCCCCCATACTCAGGCCTCTCTAGCTGTTTGGTTTTTTTGCTATTTCTCCAAAATGACAAGCACTGTTCTACCTCAGAACCTTTGCACATGCTGTTCTCTGCCTGGAATAGTCTTGCCCCAAATATCCACAAAGCTTGCTCCTCCTTCAGTGTTTGTTTAGATGTTGTCCTCTCAGGGAGAACTTTCCTAAGCACTTGAAACCCTCTCTTCATTCCCAGAACTCCATATTCCCCTTCTTAGCTTTCAGTTTTCTCTAGAGCAGGGATCCCTAAGCCCTGGGCTGCAGACTGGTACCTGTCACTGGCCCGTTAGGAGCCGGGCCACACAGCAGGATGTGAGCAACAGGTAATGGAGCATTACCGCCTGAGTTCGCCTCCTGTCAGATCAGCCGGGCATTAGATTCTCATTGGAGCTTGAACTCTATTGTGAACTGCATGTTTGAGGCATCTAGATTGCCACGCTCCTTATGAGAATCTAATGCCTGATGATCTGAGGTGCAGCAGTTTCATCTAGAAACCATCCCCCTCCAACCCAGCCCCATACACGGAAAAATTGTCCTTCACGAAACCCGTCCCTGTTGCCAAAAAGGTTGGTGACCACTGCTCTGGAGCACTTACCCTCTTCCAACAAAGTGTATAATTTACACTTTAAATTGACTGCCTTCCTCCTACTAGATTATAAGGTCTATGAGTTTTGTGCCTTGAACAGTGGCCATATTGGGAGCTCAATAGGGGATGGGTGCTTAGTGAGGATGGGGTGAGAAGGCAGTGAAAACACAATTCCTGCCCTGTAAGACTCAACCTCACTCTAGTTACGAAATCAAAACTGGCCAGAGGTGGCTCACACCTGTAATCCCAGCACTTTGGGTGGTTGAGGCAGGCGGATCACTTGAGCTCAGGAGTTTGAGACAGCCTGAGCAACATAGCGAAATCCCATCTCTAGCGAAAATACAATAAAACTAGCCAGGTGTCGTGGTGTCCTGTGGTCTCGGCTACTCGGGATGCTGAGGTGGGAGGATCTCTTGAGCCTGGGAGACAGTGGTTGCAGTGAGCTGAGATTGAGCCACTGTACTCCAGCCTGGGCAACAGAGCAAGACCCAGTCTCAAATAAAAAAAGAAAAGAAATTAAAACCTGGACACGGCAAAGTAATGAAATTGTATGTCTAATCCAATGTTGAATGTAAAAGTCTGAAAGTACGTATGTAAAATAGAGAAATTCATTCTGGCATATTAGAAATTTGGCATTGAGGGTGAAGGGAAAAATACAGCCAGAATTTCAGATTTTTTTTTTTTTCATTAGACTGAGGAGTAGTTTTGCCTTTTTCCAAACTGAGGAGTCATGTGGATGTTATCTTCCAGATGTTTATTGTCTGCTTTGTATGTTAAAAAAAATAGTTGTTTGCCTTACTGGGTGAGGGAGACTTAGTTTATGGGAAAAATAAAGCAAACGCATGTGATGACTTCTTACCCGATGTGGAAATAGAGTCGTGACTGTGAGCGCTGGTATGCTGAATCTAGAACCAACTGTCAAACTTGCCTTTCAATGGGAGTTGAAGAGGAGGGGTTTTGTGGGATTGTGGGGTAAGCATTGGAGGATTCCCTAAGATCCATGAAAGCAGAGATGAATCTCAGCCTCTTCTTTCACCGCTAGCACCCAGTACGGTGCCTGGCACATAGCAGGCTCCGGGTAACTACTAGTTCCTGAGTCAGCGCATGAATGCTGTGGTTGAGGTTTGAAAAAATTGAAAGGAGGATAATATTCATGTTATTTTAAACAGAAATTGTATATATGACTATTGTGGAGCGTTAGGAAACACTGTGCAGGTATTTAAGAAAATAACTAGGCCGGGCAGGGCGGCTGACTCCTGTAATCCCAGTACTTTGGGAGGCTGAGGTGGACAGATCACTTGAGTCCAGGAGTTCCAGACCAGCCTGGGCAACATGGCGAAACCCCCGACTCTACAAAAAATACAAAAATTTGCCGGGCGTGGTGGCACATGCCTGTAATCCCAGCTACTAGGGAAGCTGAGGTGGGAGGATCCCTTGAGCCCAGGAGGCAGCTGTTGCAGTGAGCTGTGATGCTGCCACCGTACTCCAGCCTGGGCAACAGAGTGAGACCTTGTCTCAAAAAGAAAATAACTAAATTCAACTCTGAAAAGAACCGGGAATCTCTGAGACCCTTTTACAGGCAACAGCAGGAAAACTGCCATGAGTGAGGGGCCGGCAGTCTTGAGCAAATGATCCACTGATTTAGACCGGGGGTCCCCTATGGTCTGCTAATGCTTATACATTTAGGGTATCAGGGGCCTACTTCACCTCAAACATCATTTGGGGACAGTGTCTAGGCATTTGTGACATCAGCACTGTGTTAAGCCATATTGTCGTGTATGACTTTACTGTTTACTGCCATTTCTACTTGATTTATTAATCTCGTTATTAGCTATTTCCTTAGGAGCTACATGCTGTGTAATAATATACCCAATATTTGCAGAAATGCCTTGTGTCTTGTATATAATTATATATGATTGTATTAGTCTGTTCTGTGTTGCTGTAAGGGAATATCTGAGGCTGGGAAATTTATAAAGAAGATAGGTGTATTTGGCTCAAGTTTCTGCAGGCTGTACAGGCATAGCATAAGCGTCTGCTCAGCCTCTGGTGAGGGCCTCAGGAAGCTTGCGGTCATGACAGAAGGTGAAGGAGAAGCATGTGCATCACATAGTGAGAGACAGAGCAAGAGACATGCTCTTAACCATCCAGCTCTTGTGTGAAGTAGTAGCAAGAACTCACTTATCACCAAGGGGATGGTGCCAAGCCATTCATGAGGGATCTGTCCCTATGATCCAATACCTCTCACCAGGCCCCACCTCCAGCATTGGGGATCATATTCCAACATGAGATCTGGAGGGGACAAAACATCCAAACCATATCAACAATAATTTTAGGCTAGGTAGATTTTTTTGTAGGAAAAGCTGCAAAGGATAATACTGAAATGAGGTAACAGCTTAAGTAGCTCTGTGTTACCCCCATACCACCCCCCTTTTAAAAATAGAGCTGTGCTTGAGCTTTTTTAAAAAACAAAAAAGAGGCCGGGCGCCGTGGCTCATGCCTGTAATCCCAGCACTTTGGGAGGCCGAGGCGGGTGGATCACAAGGTCAGGAGATCAAGACCATCATGGTCTAACTCGGTGAAACCCCGTCTCTACTAAAAATACAAAAAATTAGCCGGGCGTGGTGGCGGGTGCCTGTGGTCCCAGCTACTTGGGAGGCTGAGGCAGGAGAATGGCGTGAACCCGGGAGGCGGAGCTTGCAGTGAGCGGAGATCACGCCCCTGCACTCCAGCCTGGGTGACAGAGCGAGACTCCGTCTCAAAAAAAAAGAATAAATTTCTCTTAGGTTGGAGCTTTCTTCCCTACTTTCCCAATGATCTTCCCTAATGCTTACAACAGAAGCAGAACAGTTGTGAAACAAAGTAGGGTGTCCATAAATAACATTGTCCTGATATATCATAATCATGGAAAATGCTACACATAGAACCATTGAGGACATGTTTTAGTTCTATATATTTTTATGTAAATGCACACACACACACACACACACACACACACACCCCTATAGCAAATACATGTGTGTACACACACATTTACTATTGTTTTTATTAAATATTGTGTAGACACAAAATTATAGACTATAAATAAAGGTATAAAGAACAACAATAAAACTAATACCTGGGTTCCCCCCTCTGCTCCCTAGTCTGTGTATGCTTTTATATTCTGATTTTTTAAATCTGTGTTTCATTGAAAGTTTTTTATTACTTGGAAAAATTCCATATTTATATTTATTTTAGAATTTGCCTTGAAGTAAACCAAAAACTTATTTCTAAGTCATTTATTGCTACTGAGAAATATCTAATAGGAAAGTGGAATTTTTGTCCAGGCCAACTTATAATTGATGTGTCTCGTCAATGTTTTTGTTTTATATTATTCAAATTACTCTCTCTTACTAATGGAGTCAAATAATTTGCCTATACATACTTTATTTGAGAAAAGTACATAAGTTTAAACATACTAAGTATCAGAAAGGTAAGGTGTATTTTTTTAATCCTTCTTTGGTGAGATTCTTAATTTGTATTGAATGGATCAGGCTTGTTCATTATTAGACTATTTGGAGTTTATTGAGACCCAAGTTAGTTTTTATAGTCAGCATCTTCAAACTCAAATTATAACCGCTGTTGTGGCCTTCTTATTCAGTGTTCAACATATTTACATTTACTGAAAAAGAATAGTCTTTGTTTTCTTTCTTCACAAAATTAAAATCCTTGCAAACTAATAATATGTATAGCTCCATTTTTGCATTTGAGCATGTTTAGTGATTGTGCTTAAAGGTTGAGTGTAAATGATTTTTAAGAAGCACGGTATTCTTGAAAAACAAAGGAAAGAAAAACTTTATTTCACTATTATTTCTGACAAAAAACAAGACAAAAGGATATTAAAAGTGTGATGTCCAGTTAAATTTGAATTACCAAGGCATAAAATTTCCTACAGGGAAAATAGATAAACATCTATGTGTTTGTTGCCTAACTTTTAAATGGCTGAGTGGATTTAATTCAGCCTTTTTATTGCTTTTCACAAAAGCAAGTTTACCTCATATTAAAATGTGGTTGATTTCAGCCCAAAAGAGAAAACTGTAGAGGCTTAATGACCCATGGGACCACTGGAACATGAGATTCATATATTTGAATTGCTTCCATTCTGAGGATTTTAGAATGGAGGCTGCTTATTTTGAGAATAAAATGAACCAAGGTTTGCCCCCATTCCGCCCACCATTTTTTTGGGATCCCTGGAAAGCTCCTGCTTTGCCAAGAGACTAAAATAGGAGATGGCCTATTGCAGACAGAAAAATGGCCCTGTACCTACTGTCACTGCCAGCTCAGAAGGGTCTACAAGTCTTTTGAGACTTCAAAATCTATTAATAAACTAAAAATTTATTAAGGATTTCTTGACTTTTTTCCTATTTCATTTGAATCTCTAAATATTTTCTTGCATAGCCACAATGTTATGAGCACACCTAAGAAAACTAATAGTTTTTCTTTAATATCATCTAATACTCAAGTCATATTCAAATTTCCCAAGCTATCCTAAACATGTCTTCTAACCTTTGGTTTGTACAAAGATCCAAACAAGGTCTACATATTAGTTATTATGTCTCTTTAGTCACTTTTAATCTATCACTGACCCCCACCCACATACTTTTTCTTTTCCTGCGAGGAAACCAGGTTCAGTTGTTCTGTGACACAGCTCACGTCCTAAAGTGTACTCACCGCTTCAGAGTAGTTTATCTTTTACTTGGTGCGCTATACCTGTATTTCTGTATAAGCCCGAAATTTGACCTAAAGACTCGATTAGATTCAGACTAAGTGTTTTTGGTAAAAGTACTCAAAGGTGCTATGTACTTCTAATTGTATCACAATAGGACGCATATGTTATTATTGTTGTGATTATTGCTCCACTTTTAGTGATGCTCAGAATCACCAGTGACTTTAGGAAGTGATACATCGATCTCTCCATTATAAAACTGCCGTCTCTCTATGAGTTACAAGTAATCTTTGGAATGTTAGTTTCTGACTCAGTAAAAGTATTTCCCTGTCAACAATTCACTGTATGGTTTAAGCATCCAATCACTGTTGTTGCTTGTCCAGTCTGATTTTTCATATAGACAAATTTTAAACCTCTATCTTCATATGTATTTTGAATCGTTGTATGTTTTTTACATCGAATTTAATCCCAACAATTCTGAGAGCTATTGAGGGAACTGAGATTCAGAGAAATAATTATTTACCCAAGACACATTTACTTTGTGTGCCCAAAGTGGGAACCAGGCACGTATCTTACAATTCTAAATGCCTTGAAATGGTTTCCTGCCCTTTGTCTCCAAGGATACCCATCATATGTTCCTATCCAGGGGAGAAAAAGTTAGAAAAGAAGTCATAGGGGAACACAGTTTGAGGGAGTTACTTATGCAATTAAGCCTGAAATTCATAGTCTTTGGTTTATATTTGAGGTGATCACATTTGCCATAGAAATATTAAGATTTTTTAAAGTCCTTACTGGTAGCTAACCATTGCTTTTATAGCATTGCAATACATCCAGCAGTGCAGAATATGGAATGTGCAAAAGCAGTAAAGTTTTCAGGACTGGACTATGATATGAGTTTTATGAGGTTTATTTTTTCTCTCAACTCTCATGTTTCATACCTTATTAGATGTATGATAAGACACCATATGTCTCCCCAGTGAGATTTGCTATTTTCTTGTCAGTAAACATTGATTGCTTGTTCCGTGGATATGGTGCATAAACCTACGCTTGCACAAAGCTTCCCATCCTATTTCTTTGTTTATTTTCCACAGTATGCTCAAGTAATTCCTGAATTGACACTTTTATCCAGGTTTCAGAAATGCCATTTTGGCTTAACTATAGATCGTGGAACTTATTGTTGCCTGTCCTAGACTTATAAATGAAATCTGGAGTGAAAATAAGTATCAGATACAGATGTGTTCCAATTTTAGGAATAGATACTAAAATTAAACCATACAAAATTTTTATCTTGAGGATTTTCTTTCACTTTAAAAAATATTCATGGCAATATCCCTCTTAATAAGGAGGGCTTTTTCAGTCTGTTGCTACTCAGAATATATCTTACAGGATCCAACAGAACAGTCACTAATAAGAGCTTTTTGGAAATGTAGAATTTCCAGGCCCTGCATTTTGACAAGATCCCCAGGTGATTAGTTTGCATACTGAAGTGTGAGAAGTAGCACTTTAATACACTGACACCTTCTTTTACAAAGCATCTTTCAGGAGCTAAGCAAAGTGAACAACCTTTGTTGGAAGTAAAATAGGCACCTCTCATTAGACCTTTCCCTTAATAGTCTAGTAAAGAGTACTTCGATAATTTAAAAAAGGGGATGATAGAACTTCTCATATCATAATTTTTACAAAAAAACTCCTAATTAAACATGACTTTTTTCTCATGTTAATTTTGAGACAAAAAGAGTATGACTACAAAAAACTAAATATCAGTTATGCTGCTCAGCAGTAATGTGAGATTGGGCAATGTCTTAAATATCGCTACCTCAGTTTTGTCACCTCTAAGATGGGTGACTTAGGCAGTAGTGGCACTAGAGCACATGATTCCATTCCATCGTCTTTGAGGTCAGACTAGCTTCAGGTTAGGGTCTGATCCCAGCCCAGCCACATGGGCTGAGTTATGCTGCATCTCAGAGCCTTGACTCCTTCACACACAGAATAGAGATAATAGGAGGGATGTGTGGTGAAGAAAGGGTTTTGTGGGCTTCAGTTTTGTTGTATAGGAGATGTCCTATCTTATAAGCTACTGGGTATACACTTTGATGTTTGTGAAATTACTCTTTGTATGTGTGTATCTGTATATATATGTGTGTGTGTATATATGTGAAATAATTTGTAATCAATTTTTAAAAACTATCATTATCAGATATGGTTGTCATGAAGGCTAAATAAGGTAATATGAAGTCCTTAGAACACTGTATCTGCTACTTTTTACAATGAATGTTTGGTAAATGCTAGTTTTTAGTAAGGGCCCTTTCATAATTTTATTTTTTTCCTTTCCCAATAACTTTTTGGCTCTCAATTTTTAAAAAACTATTATCTGTGAAAGTGAAAGCTCACATCTATGTGCAAAGGAGAAGTGTTTACAGTTTTAATTTATAAAACTCAGTTTAACTTTGTCTTTACTTGGTAATATTGGATTTTTCTGGACTCCAGAGAGAAAAGTCAATATCAATATTACACTTTATCTGAATATTGGCAGTATGCATATTTAACATGAAACCAAGGTGAGAAAGCTAGCATGTTCCAGCGGCAGGAAAGATTTCTTGACTTATCTTCAGCTGAAGCAGTGGCAGCTTGGATATTACATCAACATCCTGACATTATTAACAAAGGTCAGCAGCCTCTTTTCTCTGACTTCCTTATTCTAAGCATCTATTCAACAGAGATAAAACAGTTGTCTTAGAATTGTTTCGCTGTACAAACAAGTTTTTTTTTTTTCTTAAAAGTCTTCTTTGAAATTAAGAAACTTCTCTTAACCAATGTGTCCAGTTTGTTGTAGATGCCCACAAAGGACTTGTAACTTAATAACAACAGTGAGAAAAGTCTTGCTTTTGAATCAAGTCACATAATATAACTTCAGTATCATTTTTAGAACTCCAGAGGCCAAAGTCCACTTCTCCACGTAAGATCTTCAATCCCAGAAGCCCTATCATGGGATCTCTCTGTGTGTCCCACTTGTGAGAGTCTAACCCAGGAGTTCACCAGTATGTCTCACAGAGCACTACTCCCAGGAGATGCCCCAAGAGGAAAGAGTTTTCTGGGAAATACTGTAAACTGCAACACGCATCAGAGCTTCACTATACACTGTAAGGGCTTTGAGATGTTCTGTGGTAAAGAAAAAGGTGGAATTCTGCAAGCTTACTGACCTT